>NC_000005.10:115261322-115564352 GCF_000001405.40 Homo sapiens
TTCATCCTTCAGGGCTCAGCTCACATTATTCAACAAATATTTCTTAGTGCTTCTCAGATACCAGGTACTATTTAAGGTCCTAGTGCAATGTTGACCAAAAGGACTAAGCTGTTGCAAATGTTGAAATAGAAACAATTGCCACTGGCCAATATGGCAACTGGGTACTTGAAATGTGGTGGCTACTACCAAAAGAATCACTTAATTTTTAATTTGATTTAATTAATTCAAATCAAAATAGCCAAATGTGGCTAGTGGCTACCAGATTGGACAGGGCAGCCCAGTCCTAAGTATAGAGGTAAACAAGATAGACGAAAATGTTACCTTTGTGAAGTTTATAATCCAGTGTAATAGAAAGACATTAAACAAATAAACCAATACATACGTAATGTGAGGTGGTCATTGGAAGTGGTCCCTTTAGGAAGGGTGTTTAAGGAAGGCCTCTCTAAAGATATCTGGATTATGTACATGCCTGTCTATATACTCCTATGAACACTACACTAACATATAGCACAGAACTCTATACAAATGCTTGTCTTGTTCAGCTGTACTCTGGCACCTACCATAATGTGGTTCTTGACCAAGTGTGCAGAAGTAATCTGCAAAGCTCCCCAAACTGATCCGGTCATGCAGTGTTCAAAATACACCAGCAACTCAGAATTTGGAAAACGTGGGGAAAGAACACAGCAAAAACAAGCCGCTCTTTCCTCCCATCCAGTCTCAAGCAGCTTTTGAGCTTCACTTCAAAACACAGCAATGCGGAGCAAAGATTGCCTTCTCCTTTCTTTCTTCTCATCCCCAGCTTTTACTGTAAATGAAGTCGCTTAGTCTCTGCCGCACCACACTCTTCAGCTATTGCGATACTTTTAACAGGCTGCTTCACGCAACACCACACCTCTTTCGCCTACCATTAGATTTATAGTTCCCACAAAGTTTCTAAGACCTTAGAGGTTCTCTGCCGCTCCTACACATAAAACACCATACAGACACTCTATTAAGAGTTAATGACTTTAGAGAGGACAAGGATGCACAGAAGTATTCATCTAAAAATACGACGACAAACTTTGTCCTTTTCCTTTTACACTCGGAAGTAATGAGGCAAAGTGACAGGCTATGGGAGCGGGTAAAAAAGCAGCTCAGAGTTGCCAGAAGAAAAGGGAAGTGAAAAAGCCGGAAACTGGAGATGCCACAGCCCTCGACCTACAGCCTTCCAGACCTTCCCACCGTACGGCGGGAGAGTGGGGGTAACCTCAAGCCCACTTGAAACCAGTCAGTGCCAACTGGGCGGCCGCGCAGCCCCCTTCCGGCGCCCAGTTTGCGGTCCGACTCCGCCGCGCCTTTCCGCTGGAGCCCGGGCCTTGTGCCAGCCTGGCTGACTGTGCCACGAGTTACCTGCTTGTCTCGAGTGAAGAATAGCGCTCCGGCAAAACCTGGAGGCAGCGCTGGAAAAATCGCACGTGCCGATCCCGTAAGAAATCCAGCCGCTCTCCCTCACCGCTCCCTGCTAGCCTCTCATCCTCAGTGGCCGCCATGCTGCTCCGGAAGCGACGTCCGCCGCGACCCGGAATCAGTGCCCGCGGAGAGAAAGAACCCTCCTGTGCTGAACCACAGGGTGCCGGGTGAGGGGACCTGCGCCCGCCGCAGACTAAGCCAGTATTTGAAACCGCTATCATCTGGGTCCTGTGCAGCACTTCCTCTCTCCGATATCTCCCTAGCTAGCGCATGACCCTACCTTTTCTACTCAAAGCCCTCGAGGCTTGTAAACACCTCGCAGGCCTTGTGAAAATCAAGTCCACAAATCCCTCCGTCAGAATTTTTATCTTGGGAAGCGCAAGGTCAAAAGCATCAAGTACGCTTTGAGACAATTCTGGCTCTGTAGAACCTGAGGATGGTATATCTGAAAACGAGGATGGATCAGTATAAACTTGCTAACAGATTCATTTTTGGAGGGCCAGTTTTAAGCCGAACGGTTAGGGAAACAGAAAAACAAACCAGTGGAGATAAATGTTTATTGACACTACAAAAGCTCAGAGACTTTCCTAATCTTAATCCTTTCTGGATACCAGGAATCACTTAAAAATCTGTGTATAATGCCCCCAAACATATACAACATGCATATTCATACCTATATATGACTGCTTGCGTCATTCTTTTACAAATCTTACAGATTTTACTTTGCTTGAGTCGACGTGTTATCAAGAATCAATGGTGCATCAATCTGCAACAGCAAAATAAGCTCAATATCTTCTCCAATTACCTGCATTCTAAAAAATTTAAACATGCTTCTAGTTCTTTTTTCCAAAAATAGGGATTTAAGTTGTTTAGCCGGTATACTATGCCCTTTAAACTTTCATGAGGCATTCCTGAGTAGCGGGTGGGGGGATCCACCCAATAATATAACTAAACTAGGTTCCCTGTGATCAACTTAGCTAATAAAATTTTGGGTTTAATTTTGTTAGCTTTCTTAGAAAATGTAATTCTTATACTCTATGGGCTGGGGTAATCTTACACTTATTCAACAATCCAAAGTGCTCTGAATAATTTTTGGTACTATTAACTACTTATTCACAGGTATTCCTGCATGTCTTTACAAAATGCCGCATTTAACAGCCACAGACGGATTCTAGGCTGTCCTCGGTACTTCCCTACAAATACGGAGCTCACAGTCCTTGCCCTTCAGGTGTGCCCAGTCTGGAGTTTCCACTGTTATTAAAATTAAGATCTCTCACTTAGCACACATACCCCCAAATGCCTGAAGATTTTTAAAGTGGAGTCTTATACACATTTAACTTACTGGAATCAGCTATGGACACTCTATACATTCTCAGAAAATTAATTCTAATAAACATGGCCCTTAAGTTAGGGAAGCCAAATGTTTCATCTGATTCTCAGCTCAAGGACTAGCAATCTGATCCAAATCTAGAGGAAAAATTTGCAATGTGGGACTCATTCAGAGATAATACAGAATGCCTCCTAGGTCGGTAAAAGGCTTTCCATGAGTGATTTTATCCCTACAAGATTTTTGGCATGTGCATAACAGAATGGGAATGATAGAACATCTATATAATTGAGTGTTATTTAGCCATTACATGATAATGTTTGAATTAGGTAGAAATGTACGAAAATGTGTAATGCAATTATAGCATAGTAATTAATATGTACTGTATGACTGTAACAATTTAAAAATATGTAGGTATGTTTTTTGAAAAAGTTACCCTGGAATTATGGGTACTTTATAACATTTCTTCTTTAGTGTTTTTTCTATGTTTCTTATTAATGTAGTTTTTTTGTTTCCAGGCTTACTTCATTTTATTTTTCTTGTACAACCCGATGTTGTAGCCACCGCTGGAGCCTGGGTCCTCTGCACGGAGACTCTGGTGTGGGTCTTGAGGAGGTGGTCAGTGAATTCCTGATAGGGAGACTTGGTGAATACAGTCTCCTTCCAGAGGTCAGGGTTCAGCCTGCTGTAGACCTTAGAGATGGCATAAAAAATGACCATGACGAAGTTGCCCAGGATGGCAGTGCAGCCCCTGGCTGAGGTGTAGCAGTCATTGATAGCTGCCATCAGCAGCAGCTTCTTGGCCATGGGGGCCGAGACGATGCCAGTGCTCCTGGGCGCAGGGATGACCCGCGCCAGCACAGAGCCGTGGCAGCCTGTCACCTTGCAAGGGATGGTGTGGGGCTTGCCGATCTTGTTCCCCCAGTAGCCTCTGCGCATGGGCACAACGGAGAGCTTGGCCAGGATGATGGCCCCGCAGATGGCAGTGGCCACCTCCTTGGAGCACTTAACACCCAGATCAGTGTGGCCACTGTCCCTGATGGCAACAAACGCCTTGAACCTGGTGTTCTGGCCGGTGCAGGTCTGCTTCTGCACTGGCACGTCTTCAAAACCTCCTTCTTGAGAGAGGCCCCAGGAAAAAGTCAATGATCACAGACTCCTTGATGGGCAGAGAGAAGAGATAGATCTACTCCAGGGACTTAATCTTCATGTCCTTGACCAGGCAGCCCAGCTTGGTGACAACCATCTACTCCTTGTCCTTGGTCTTGCCTCCACGAGCTCTGCAGCTGGCCCCGGCCCCGTCCATGGCCGCGACACGAGTTCCCCATCCCAGGGCCGGCTGAGACCCCAGTTCCCCATCCCAGAGCCCCCCGGGCCTCCGGGCCTCCCAGGTCCCCCGCTGCACCGGCATCATCCGCGATTTGGTGTTTTCTCAGAGAAAAAGCTAATGTACTTTTTAAACCAGTATAAGAAATATTTATTTGACATCTTGTTTATGAACCTGTAACTTCTATGAAGTCTGTAACTGAAGATATTTGTTTATCTTACATCTTTTATATAAAGGATCTATATAATAAATTCATCATTTATTTCAGATTCAGCTAGAAAAACTGATTTCTTCAGAGGAACTTCCATACTTTTCTTTATTTAAAAAAAAAATAAAAAAACAAAGCCATAAGAATCACATCATCCAGAATGCTTACCTTGGATACAGGAATTTGAAAGCTGCATTTCGGTGCAACAAAAAGCAACACGTAAAAAAGCAATATGTAAGAAACATTTTCTGTATCTTGTAGCTTCTCAGTTCTGCTTTTAATTTCCTCATCTTGCTCTGTGTTTTATTTATGTATTTATTTTTTGAGATGGAGTCTCACTCTGTTGCCCAGGCTGGAGTACAGTGGCACAATCTCAGCTCACTGCAACCTCCGCCTCCCGGGTTCAAGCGATTCTCCTGCCTCAGCCTCCCAAGTAGCTGGGAGTACAGGCGTGAACTACCACACCAGGCTAATTTTTGTATTTTTAGTAGAGATGGGGTTTTACCATGTTGGCCAGGCTGGTCTTGAATTCCTGACCTCAAGTGATACGCCCACCTTGGCCTCCCAAAGTGCTGGGATTACAAGCCTGAGCCACTGCACCCAGCCTCTATATTTTATCTCTGAACTACTTCAAATCATTACAAAAAAGTTTTGGATAACAAAATCAGCACTCCTGTTTAAGGATCTTTTATGTCAATTTTCTCATTCTGCACCAATAACTGTACAAATCAGAATTCAGTTTCTAAAATTTGGAAGCCATCTATTTTGAATATTAACTGTAAAATAAGAAAAGATTTTCACCGCTACTCATAGTACCTTTCTAACTGAGTCATTTAACCTAAATGCATCCCATTAACAATGAAAGATAAAGATAAACAATGAAAGATTAAGATAAAAAAAGATTTATAAGAGATAAATTTCCTGTGTTTTTATGTATATAGTATCTTTCCTATGAGAACAAATTAAATAACGTTAGAAAGGAATATTTTATAATATGAAAAGTTGAACTGTATTCAATTACATTGTGTTTTCATGTCTAAAAGTTTAGAAATTTAAGAACTAACTCTTGCCCAAATATGTTAATCTAACAGCTTTAAAAGATCTTATTCATTCATTCCTTCATTCATTCATTTTAGAGACAGGGTCTCTCTCTCACCCAGGCTGGAGTAGAGTGGTGCCATCGTAGCTCACTGCAACCTGGAACTCCTGGGTTCAAGTGATCCTCCCACCTTATCCTCCCAAGTAGCTGGGACTACAGGTGTGTGCCACCATACCCAGTTAATTAAACTTTTTTTTTTTTTTTCTGTAGAGACAGGGTCTCCCTGTGTTGCCCAGGCTAGTGTCAAACTCCAGGCCTCAATTCTCCTACCTTGACCTCTGAAAGTGCTGGGATTACAAGCATGAGCCACCATGCCCCACCTAAAACATTTTAAGTGCCATCAAGAGAAATCACAGTATTTTAAAGCTGGCTTATTTCAGATGATGTTTCAGAACAAAGAATTTTCCTATTTTGAGGCAAACAGAAGCAGAAAAGAAAACTGCATTAGCCAGGAAGATGTGAAAGACACAAAGATTTTATAAATCTGTGAAATCCAGAAAGGCTGAAGGAAAATTTGGAATTGCTGAAGGAAACCAAAAAGATTATATCAATAATACAATTAATAGGGTATATGAGAGACATATTTTTAAAATAAATATTCTCTATATAAAACAAAGCATGCTTCAAACAAATACAAAATATTTATTACACAAAAATGTCATAACTGACAAACTGCCAATTTGTTAAACATAGAAAAAGTACTAACATTTCGTAACTCTAAACAAAAACCACTTTACCTTTTTGTTACTCAAGCTAACTTAACTCCAAGTTATAAAAGTTACAAAATTTTGGTTTAAAAAATGTCATTGTATGATTGTTCCAATTTACTTTGCTATGCTATAACAAAAACAAAATCTCTTTGAAATGTTTTCAGTATTTAAATTGAATAATGTTTCTAACATTAACTTATTTAAATAACTTTTACATCAATAATAGGCCAACACATATATTAAATACCTTCTTGGTAGAAGCAGGAATACTAATGACAAAGCCTCATGAAACTTAATACCTCTCAATTCACAATATAGCACAATAATCAATCTGACTAAGCTATTGATATTTAAAGAATGTGGTTAGTCACTCTCTCCCTGGTATAACTTAGTATGTTAACATTCTTATCAACTGAGTAGCAATTTGATTATCTCATACTCTTCTCTGTATTCCTTGTCTCCAGGTTGGAATAGCCCTAAGGAGAAAAAGAGAAAAGCAATTGTAAATATGTAGGAAATTAAAAAGAAAAAAACCCTATCTGATTAAGTGCTAACTTTAAAATATATATATAACCTACCCTGCATGTTGTTTGGCTGGTTCATATGGGCATGTAGGTTTGCAACCCTCATTAAGGTTTTATTTCTAGCTCTAGCTCTCAAACTGATTGACAGACAAACCAATCAGTTAATCTACTTATTAATCTATCGATCTTTCATTCATTCTTTTTCAATACTACTCTCCTTATAAAAATAAATATTAATGTGAAAAAGGCAGAAAATGGCATCTACTAACATGAATGTAATATCTAATAGGGCATCAGGTACTACTTTTACTTTATTTATTTATTTATTTTTTTGAGACGGAGTCTCACTGTTACCCAGGTGGCACGATCTCGGCTCACCATAACCTCTGCCTCCCAAGTTCAAGTGATTCTACCTGCCTCAGCCTCCCAAGTACCTGGGACTACAGGTGCACACCACCATGCCTGGCTAATTTTTTTTGTATTTTTAGTAGAGATGGGGTTTCACTATGTTGGCGAGGCTGGTCTCAAACTCCTGACTTCGTGATCCGTCCTCCTTGGCCTCCCAAAGTGCTGGGATTACAGGCGTAAGCCACTGCACCCGACCTACTTTTACTTTTATCTACTGTTTATTTTTAAATAAAAGTGACCTGAAAGGCAAATATATATATATATTTTTCATATATATATGAAAAAATATGTATATTTATAGATATTATATATCCTTATATATTATATAAATATGTTATATATTTATATAAAAAAGATTTAGGTAAAAAACATTTATATATTATACACACTTACATATTATATTTTCATATATATATGAAAAATATAATTTACATATAGTAAGTGCATAAAATATAAACATGCAGCAATTAAATTACTAAATGAACACCAATTCTAACTCTTTCTTACCTATGTGGGATATGTAGAAGTGGCCCAGAGCCTGTTGGTCCTATCTTTTTGGTTCGTTCTTCCCAACCTTTGGTGGGTTTGTAAAGCCTAGAGGGATCTCTACTAACATTGTTTTCAACCTGTAATCAGAAGTAAAATAGTACCAGTTAATTATACAAACTCAGTTTGTACTAGTAAATAAGTAAAAGCCTTAGTGCAGTTTTAAAAGACATAGTTGATATTGGCTAATAAAACCATTAATAACCTCAGTAAACTTCTCATTGGGCTCATATAGCTAAAAGAAAATTTAGACTACATCAATCTATTCATAAACTGTTAGTTTATTTCTTTTAGTTCTATTATTTTATTCTATTCCTATTTTTCTATTTCTATTATGAGAGAAATGTAATGCAGCTAAGTATGCTAGTGATATAGCCAGACAACAAATTTAGGATAAGTAACTACCAATAAGTCTTCCGTTTTATCCATGAGGGTCACCAATATCTTTAGCTCTGAGTACTGCAAGAGAGATTAAGCAATGCTCATAGCTGCCATTGATCTAAAATAAAGGTTCATATAGAAACAAATTTTTAAATGACAAGTAGGGGGAACAATAATTCAGAGTGAAAGAAAACGGTGCTCATAAGGTAAAATGACAGAATTCAAATAATGGTTGCTTAAATTGTACCAAGTTATGCTTGCTAATATGTAAATAAGTATGAAATTTAAAGTAGATGTTATAGAAATAAGGTGAGATATAAAGGAAATAGATTTGATGTCAGTATCCTTACAAATCAAGGAATTAGGATAATAACAATGAAAATAATCTCGGTGCAGAGTACCTTTTCTTTTAATTTTGCCAGTCTTCTTTGTTTTTGTGACTTTTCATCTTCCTTTGCCTGTCTATCTAGAATTTTCAGTTCAAGTTTATGTAAATCCTTAAAAAAAAAAACCCATAGCATTAAGAAAGCATGTGAACTAGAATTTGTTCAAAATTTAGTTGTTCACAAGTAAAATTAAATTACCTTACCTATCAATATTCCTTCAATATTAATTCTTTCCAACAAAGCCTAAGAGCTTTATTTTCTCTGAATATAAATGTTAACACATGCACATCCCTTCTGTATTATTTTATTTTAGGCATCTCTTGTTTTCCTTTAAGGTTCAACCTAAAACTCCCTTTTAATAGGTGAGTTAATCCCATTTTCATTCATCAATGCAGGTATGTCTGATTTCAGATCTCTCATTATTTTATATTTTCTGTTTTGTGGGTTTTATTTTTTTCTTTTATTATGTGTCCTGCTTATTTTTGGGGTGTATGAGGAGGAATGGGAACTTTTGTTACTTAGGAAGATTTTTATATATGAACTAAAAGAAATGAACTAAAATTTTCAGTATTAATGTGCTTTGTCTGTGTTTTTGTCCGTTATTTTTCTTTGTACCTCCCTTAGTTTTTTGCTTTACAAACATTGCTGCTATATATTTTGATGCACATAACAATTCATAAATTATATCTCATTTGCACCCTTTTTCATTTTAAAGTCCCCTTCCTTGTCTTAATACTTTTTGGAATGAATTCTGCCAGTATGTCTTTATTAGCATTTTTCTTATATATGTTTGTTTAAAATCACCTTTAATTTGACCACCCAGCAATAATCTCGATTCCTTTAAGAAGATAAGTTTCTACAATGCACTTAACTCTAGGGTACAAGGATGTTCAAAAAAACACACCACTAATGCAAACACACCACTAATGCCCTCATGGAGCCTACATTATGGTGGGGAAATGAACAAATAGGCAAGTCATCAATATGGTAAAGCCAGCCAGTTTGGCAGAGAAGACAAATCATTCAGTCTTGCCTATGGCTACCTTTCTAGTCTCATCATCTGTTGGTTCCCCTCTCCTGCTTAATGCCCTAAGAATACTGAAGTGTTAATAGTCTCCATCACAAACCATACTGTTACACTCTTTCAAGCTGCTATTCATGCTGTTGTCTCTGCTAGGAAGGACCTCATTTTTCCTTCCCTTCTTCAAGACTCAACCTAAGTATTACCTTCTCTCTGCCACTCATAGCTGTGGTAGCGTCCCTCCCTGTACTCCCTCCTAAGTACTATGTCCATACCTCAATCACCACACTCTTTAACACATTATACTGCAATCTCCTACTTCCACATATCTTTCCCACTAGACTATAACCTACTAGAAGTTAGGGAGCACGGCTTACTCATTTTGGTATACTAATGCTATACACAGGTCCAATATACAAATACTCAATTTTTGCTTAACTGAATTTGGAAGTAATACCTCCATGTGTAGCATTTAAAAATTATTTAGGAAATAGATTTACTCACTCTTTCTTGAAATCTGGAAATTTCATCAGCAGCATTTTTCCTTTTTTCTGCCTTTTCTGCCTTTTCCCTTATCTCCTTTTCAAGCCTCAAAAATTCTTCCTGTTCTTTCTTCTGCTGGGTATAACTTTCTAGTAGTAATTTTAACTTAAACTGGCGCTGGCGTTCTTTCTGATGTTTTTTCTCTTTCTCTTCTTCTTCTTTTAACTGGGAAGCACATTTCATTGACATTTCTATACTTTTCTGTTTCTTCCAAGCTTCAACTGCCAATTTCTGTTTCTTTCTTTGTTCCTCTTTTTGCTTTTGATTATCCTCTTGTTTATTATGAAAAAGCACAGGTGTGTTGTCTGCCTTTTCCTTTAACTTGAAAATTTCCTCCCTTTTTTGCTGCTTTTTAGTTTTCCAAATCTGAATTGACTAAATGATTTTTTTAAAAAAAGAAAGCAAGAGAAAAAAGTTTTTTAATAGCCAAAAGTATTTTAAAATACATCAATTCCATCTTTCTAGAAAGAATATTGATTGCAGAATGCTGGATGCTTAGGTTTTTCAGCTTTGTTTTAACCATTGCAATTTTTTTCTACTTCTGTTTTTTAAAAATTGCTGTCTCTTAAAACTCTGAATAATGGGTCATCCTTTTGGCCTTCCTCTTTCTCTCTTAATCAAGTTCAAAAGGACTACAACTCATGAATGATCCTTCTCCTCTTTACTGCTTCTTTTTTTTTTTTTTTTTTTGAGACGGAGTTTCGCTTTTGTTGCCCAGGCTGGAGTGCAGTGGCACGATCTCAGCTCACTGCAACCTCTGCCTCCCAGGTTCAAGTGATTCTCCCGCCTCAGCCTCCCAAAAAGCTGGGATTATAGGCACCAGCCACCATGTCTGGCTAATTTTTTTGTATTTTTAGTATAGGGTTTCATCATGTTGGCCAGGCTGGTCTTGAACTCCTGACCTCAGGTGATCCACCCACCTTGGCCTCCCAAAGTGCTGAGATTACAGGTGTGAGCCACCGTGCCAGGCCTATCTGCTCCTTTTATTTTCATGGGCAACATCCCTTTCCTCTGATCATCTCATTTCTGCTTCCAAATTCTCTTTCTAGGCTTAGAATACTTTCTGAGTGATCTTTATCTGGTCAAATATCAGAAGAAGAATTAAGAGTAGGGTGGTTAAGAACATGAGCACTGAAGTCAGACTATTTGGGACCAAATCCTGGCAGTGCCATTTACTAGGTGTGGCATTGGATGAGCCACTAAACTTCTCTGTCCTCATTTTGCTCATCTATAAAATGGTAGGTAGGATTTCTTGCACAGTGTTGTTATGAAGATTAAATGAGTTAGCGTCTGGCACATAGTGCTTCCGAAGTATGTATAAATAAATAAATAAAACAGCTCAATAGCTACAGAGCTGTCTTTACATATGGGTATGTAAAAATTATTTCAAATTCTAGCAGGCTTCTCCATGCCATTTAGGGCATATTCACTGAATTACCTTCCCTCCAAGTCAAGAAACTATTTCCTCATCTTTCTTTATGGTGTATCATTCATTCCACTCAATAAATCTTTATGGTATGTATATATACTATAAACAAGGCAATGTGATAGGAACAATGAAACAATATTAAAACTATACCAAATGCCACCTAGTACAGTGCTACTCAAAATACCAGTCTGCAAAAATATTGGGAATTTGTGTTAAAACGCAAATCAATGCACTGCTTCTTTCAATGTGAAAATTTTCTATGGAAAAAAAAAAGTCAATTGAACTAAACAGTGCTCACTGCATAGTTAATTCTGGTGCAACTATTTTATCCCACTGTAAACCAGTAACAGTTTGCAAACCCATATTTAGTCCATGGACCAAGTCTGAGCAGCACTGTTCTAGGTGAAATTCAACATGGGCATACCACAACACATCATATAAAAGGTGTTAAGTGTCAGTGAAATCCTGAGGGAAGCTACTTATGTTTGGGTGGGCAAGGAGGAGGCAACATCTGATCTGGGCCAATTTTGATAAGCTGGGATTGGAGGGGGAAAGAAAGAATGGAGGTTCCAGAAAGTGAGAACAAGATAAGCAAAGGCATTCAGGCCAGAAAGTTCAGAGCATGTCTGAAAATGTCAGAATAATATCTTCACTTATTAAAAACACAAGACATATTAAAGGAAGTGGGAGATAAAAATGGTAAATTTACTACTCAACATCTTAAAACTCCGTAGATTTAAAACTGAACTCCTGATATTTTCCTCCAAACTTCCCTTTCCTCCTCCAACATGCCCTACTTCAGTAAATGGCACCTCCACTTTCACAAACCCTTCTATCTCACCCCTATGTCCTGCTCATATCGTATCAAACTGATGATATATCAGTCATCAAATATCAGGAAATAGAGCAGATGGGAACAAGGAAAATAAGCTAGAATCTGAATGGTTTACTTTTATCACAAGAAGCAGTGTGTCTGTTTCTTTTTCCTAAAGAGGTGGTTTTCATTAGCAGAATAAACTAGAGGACTTGGTAAAGCACAGATTGTTGGGCCTTACCCTCACAGTGCTAATTAGGTCTGGAGTTGGAGCCCGCTAAGTTCTAATAAGGTCCCAGGTGATGCTGATTTTGCTGGTCTAGGGACCACTTTGAGAATCCCATGTTTTCAGCATTCTGGGGAAAAAAGCCCAAATGACTTATGTTTCAAACATTTTTCTTAAAACCCGAGAAGTCAATTTCCCTACATTCAATTTATTGCTGGGGGGAGGGAGGAGAATGACAAGAACAACAAAAATGCAGCTATTCCCTCTAAAACTTTAGACTAAACATGGACTCAATTATTTCTTTAATATTCCTTGGGTATACCATCTATGGAATAAACACAACCTTTTTGTTAAACCAGGTAAGTCAAACTTCGTCATCACTGAACTCTACAAAAGAAAAAAAAGACTCTGACTTACTGTGGTTCTCAACTAGGGGCTATTTTTCCCCTCCAGTGGACAACTGGCTAGAGGCATTTTTGATAATCATAATTAAGGAGACATTATAAGCATCTACCCGCTGGAAACCAGGGATGCCATCCTATAATGCACAGAACAGGCCCCCACAACAAAGAATTATCTAGCTCCAAATGTCAATAGTATCAAGGTTAAGAAATCCTGATCTAATGCAAAGCCAGAGTAATATTTTTGTAAAAATGGACCTTTTTAGGTATCTGCCACAATCAGGCGTTATTTTTTTTTCTGGGGTAGCTAACATTTTGAGTCTTTAAAATAAGCAATATGGTTGAAGTTTAAAAATCTCAAAGAAATGTTTACTAGTCAAAGCATTTTTTCTACTGCCTCTTGATTTTTCTATTCAAAACAATGTGGCCTTTGCTCGTAAGATGACTTTTTTCAAAAGTCTCAGTGGATCTGGATTGCTCACATTTCTGAGAAGTGGATACGGAGGACTGGACCCATAATCAGAGGCTTTTTGTCCCATTATGTTATTTGTGACAGAGACATGTTTGGCTATGAGGAAGTCCAAATGTTGTTCTATTAATTGGGTAAAATTACTTAACTTCCTTTTTTTATTTTTATTTTTTCTTGAGACTAGGTCTCGCTCAGGCTAGAGTGCAGTGGTGCAATCACAGATCACTGTAGCCTCAACCTTCTAGGCTCAAGCAATCCTCCCACCTCAGCTTCCCAAGTAGCTGGGACCACAGGTGCGTGGCACCATGCCCAGCTAATTTTTCTGTATTTTTTGTAGAGACAGGGTTTTGCCATGTTGCCCAGGCTGGTCTCAAACTCCTGAGCTCAAGTGATCCATCCGCCTTAACCTCCCAGAGTGCTGGGATTACAGGTGTAAGCCACTGTGCCTGGCTAAAATTACTTAACTTTCAATGCCTCAGTTTCATCTTCTATTAGATTGTCGGGGGCGGGGAACTATAAACACACTTCATGGGATTGCTGTAAAGTTAATGAGACATGTTAAGTGTTTAGTACAGTGCCTAGAACATAGAAACACAGAATGAATAATAGCTATTATAATTATTACCTCTTTTTTTCTTTCTTCTAGAGCCAGAAACTTTTGATACCATTTTTCATGCTGTTGAACTTCATCTTGTGTTTTTCCAGGAAGGTGTTCTAGAACTTCTTCCATAAATGTTGGCTTCCCTTTATGTTTGTTTCTCACCTTTACAAAGTTCTGGTGATCATAATCATCCCAGGCACCTTGTCGCCCTCCTGTTTGCTGAAGGAATTTTTCAAAATCTAGTACCTCTTCTGGAAGAGTACTTGGTGTTACTTTGTCTACAGGAACTTTGCTTGAGATTGCTCTGAAAGCTTTCTCTGTTTCTGAATTACCCAAAGCCCATGTGTCAATTTTTCTTGATATGGCACTCAACTCATTATTAGTTGTCTTCTCTTCTTTAATTAGCTCTTCATATCTAAAATTTTAAAAATAAAGTTTGAATAAGAAGACAATCCATATTAACCCTTAATTTTCCATCAAATTTAAGATACCTGACTCTTTATATCATCTTCTCCACTTAACATTATTAACATTTATAAATTTAAGCCTTAAAAGAGTCTCCTCAGAGATAAAAACAATCTTTCAAATTCTTATTTGGGATTTTATAGTAACTAAATATGAATAAAATTTCGCTTTAAATATGAAAAGCCACCTAAAACTGAAAACAAAAAAGATATTATATTGCTTTTGTATAAGACTCAAATACATAATAACAGAATGCATTATATACAAAAATGTACTGGGGCCAGTTATTAAAAAATAAAGGTCAATAATTTTATATTAAAATGAGTTTAAAACATACATCAACCTCTGCTCTTCTTTAAAAGTGTTAATTGCATTTTCAATTTCTTCCATCATTTCTCTGAGCTTCTCAACAACTGTAAAAGAAACACGGAAAATTATTTTGTGCCATTTTCCCATATGGCTAAAAGTTAAATATTAGGAAGAAAAAGTGGAATGTTCTCCTAATTTTAAAATATTTCTTAGCCTAAGGCATAAGAAAGTTGTGCTCAAAAGTGAATTTTTATGATTGCTATTTTTTCTGATTACAGACATTTTCCCTATATACTCATATCATAATTATCTCCATTTTAGAGCTGAGGAAATGAAAGCTCAGATATATCAAGTAACTTGCCTAAAATTACATAGCCAACAAGTGAAAGATCAAAGGTTTGACCCAACACCTGTCTGATTCCTAAGTCCATACACCCTGAGACCTTTAATTTGTTGCTTTGATTCTCAGGAATGAATATTACAGTAAGCAAGGAGGTAGGGATATAATTTGTGGGATTTTTTTCCAAAAACTAGCATTTGTCCTAAATCAGTTTAACCTTTCCTTATGTATTAGAAATGCCTCTCAAAGACAATTATTTCAAAAAGCAAATGAAGGGAAAACACTGGGACAGGATTAAGGAAATCAATCTTTTTTCCCCTTAATTAGCTGTTTTTTTAAACCTTTCTATAACATAGATTCCCAATCCTGTAAATGTCACTAGTATGTGTTCTGCCTACCTTATAATTTCTAAGGATTTGATAATACTTTAACGGATACACACAGAAATGCCCGATTATAGTTCTCCGGTGTAAACTTACTAAATCCTAACTGATAGAGTTTAGCTCCATTAATAAACTTATTAAGTCCTAACCAATAAAGTAGAGTTTAGCTCCATTAATAAACTTAAGTCCTAACCAATAAAGTAGAGTTTAGCTCCATTAATGCCAAACAGAAAATACTAACACATAAGAAAGATTATAATATCTAAATTTACTTACAATCAGGTGTAGGCTTCACATCTTTTAATTGATGCTGAAGTTTCTTTACATTATTATGTATTTTGGCCAATTGTTGCTGGATTTTTGCTCCTATAAGAAAGAAGTATGCACTTTAAAATAATTCTGTGACAAATGTGGTTACAATTCAGGAATCTACATGTAAGACTGATCACTGTTAGTAAAAGCCAAGAGCAATTAAATAAAGAACAAAAGATATTTATGTCAAAACATTAATACTTTAAGTACCTTTGTTCTAAATAAAGCATCCTTCAATATCTTTCAATATTTAAAAGCATAATGGGTTAAGTCTTACTATAACCCGTGCTAAGGAAATGTCTTTTTTTCCCCTTCTGTGTAGATTGAGTTATTGGACATTGTTTTACATGTAAATATTAGCAGTTTCAGCATAGTTTTTGTTCTTTAATAGTGTTTCATTTCTTTTTAATTTGTTATAACTTATGGAAATAGAATTTGGTCTTAACTCTATTGTGGGAATATTAAAACTATTTAGTTAATTCTGTGAATACTGAGAAACTTCCCATTGAGAATTAATTTCATCCAACCAAATCTTCTAGGAAAGGGGCAGGTGATACTCATTGTTATCACTGGCACGGCCCTGAGGAGGTGCCTCAGGTATCATTCAGTGGTATACTATGCCACAGGTCGCCAAGCTCAATCAAAGGACCAGCCTGGAGTAAAATATTAGGCCCACAATAAAGCCTGAAAAGTAAATGAGAGTCTCAACGATTCTTTCAAATTGTCTTTATCAGCATAAAGGATTCTTCTTTCATATTTTTTTCTGAAGGAATAATCTTACTTTAATATTTACTTAAATTACTAGGCTAATGTCAAAATATTCGCATTCTTATAATAGTAATACTATTATTTTATCATCTTGGGGTATTTTATGCACCCTCCTCTTTTTTGTTTTTGCAACTTTTCCACAAATAAGCACAAAGCACCAAAGGCTCTGTACAAAAGTCCTTAAAAGTAATTATTTTTTTAAGAAAAAGTTTACCTATAGGTTTGCAGTCAGTGTGAACATCCAAAATAAACCTCTTAATACGTATATGACAACTTTGGCTTGTTCTGTGTTTTTCATTAAAATTCAAGAATTCCATAAAGGCAGAAACTTTTTGTAATTTACTTTGTAGGGTCTTACTGTTGAACTTTAGGTCATGAAACCTCTCTAGTAAAGTAATTAGGAAAGTGTTTTTTGTTGCTTCATTTTAGCCTTAGTTTGATCAGCTACCAAAATATCACTACAAGGCTGATAATCTTTTTATTTTATTTATTCATTTGGATAGATAGACAAATCATTTAAGTACAATATGACATAAATGCAGACTAAAATTGAGGTATGCTATTGGAGGTAAGGAATAGGTATTTCTACTGCTCAGCTGTAATATATGAAGGGAAAACTTCTCTACACTAAGGCAAGCATTCTTTACTCTCCTAGACAGGAAAAACATAAAGTGTAGTAACACTACACTTTATAAGAGCAAAACTTATAAAAATAACTTAAAAAAATAAGCAAAACTATAGAACAAAGTGAAATAGATTGGTACAAATAAAGTTGCCATAATAAAGGGAAAATCAAGTGACCTAAAATTTGCACAAAATTTTACTTATTGGCATTACTGAGACATAGAAAAATCAGCCTCCCAGTTGTCTACAAAAGAACTGAGGGAAATAAAGAAATATTGAATCAGGGGTGTCTCGGTTTTTCAATGTATCAAAGAAGGAAAATGATTCCTGCCACTGCTTGACAAAGAATCACTTTTTAAAGTAGTGTAATCTTTTCTTTTAAAAAATAGTGCAACCTTGTATTTTGAAAGAAAAAAATCACTAAGAATTTACTTTAATTGATGACAAGGGAGTATCATGAGCAGTCTCATCTCTACATAGTAAGTCTTAATATTTTATAAAGCTTAGTTATTTGATAACCATTATTTTTCCTTTAAGAAATGCTAAGCAGCTTTTTTATTATAAAGATTTTACAACATACAGAATCTAACGCTACAATGAAACAAATATTCTCAAATTCTTTAAGGGTAACATTCAGTACACTATTGACAATGATTAATATTCATAACAAACAAAAGAACATAGTCATGTACAATCTATCTATAAGGTACATTTTTATATATTATCTCATCAGATGCATAGTACGGCTCTCCTGAGGTAGAAATGACAAGTTTTAGAATGTAGACAAGGAAACTCAGGTTTATGCAATTATCTGACTTGATCACTTCACACAACTGCTAATTATAGCTTTGAATCTGTTGATGCTTACTGAGTCCAGGGCTCAGTCAACAATGCCAGGGTAATGAGCTAACATCAGACAGCCCAGAAATCACTCTGCTTTTAAGAAATTTTAATAGAATTTGGTGGTGTGTCAACCAAAAAAATCCCCCAAATCCTCTCTTTCTTGTTATATTGGAAAAAATATACAACAGAAAACAATCCAGTTAGTATGACTAAATAGTGACCCGAAAGAATAAACATGTCCCTAAAAGACAAATTTTACCAACTAAAATACAGAGAATATAACACAGTCAATAGAGAACTGACTCTATTGATAGAGAACACAATACAGTCAATGCACAAAGACAAAGCACAGGGTAAAACTACAACTTTATATCGCTCAACAGTTTTTAGTTCATCACAAACTCAACTTACTTTCTGTTTTCCTGCTGTGAATCAATTTATTTTCCAATTCTTCTAGCATACTATGCTCAATTCTGAAGTCACTTTTTTGGTTGTAGAAATGACTGTGTTTATCTTTTTCCATGTTAATTACTCTTTAGGAAAAGAAACAAATAGTATAAATATGATCTAAATATATTTTTAATAGTTTAAAATATGAAGACACTCAATAATCCGTATTTTATATTTGGATTAATTCATCTATGGAATAAAAATAATTACTTTGGTTAATAAGGCTAAGGAATCAAAACATTAGTCAAAATAATAGCTAGAAGAGTTAATTTCAATCAAACACAACTATAATTTGAACTGCTATGTAAATCATAAAATGATAATTTAAGAAAATGTGGATATACATTTGCTTTGAAAATGCATAAGCTTTTGACTATTGATTCCAACTCAATCTCACTGGAGCCTGAAAATGGCCATCACTGCTGATGACTGCTTTCAATAGTAGATACTATTAATTTTGTAACCTTAGCCAAGATGGTTAACCTCTCCAGGTATGAACCTCCTCATCACTAAAATGTGAATAATAACAGCTCTCCACTATCTAATAGGGCTATTATTCACATCAAATGAGATAATATATGTGGGAGATCTCTGTACAGTACAAGTATACTATGGAAATGCCAGTTATTAATATTATTAATAAAACTAAAACTTCGAGAGACTAACCATCTACAAAGACAGGAAATTTCGGGTATTTAATGACTATTGTCTACATTTACTTCAGGCTTCTTTCAGCACATCTTTGCCCCTTGAATTTAGTCTAACAGTAAGGAGTTCTCATTGTTAGTTTGCACCCTAAGAGAAAACAAAAATAAAATAAAACACTACTGAGAAACTTTTTTGATTGGGCAAAGAAATCAATTCTCAAATTACCTTTTTTTTTTTGAGACAGGGTCTGGCTCTGTCACCCAGGCTGGAGTGCCATGGTGCCATCTCAGCTCACTGCAGCCTTGACCTCCCTGGCTCAAGCAATCCTCCAACCTCAGTCTCCTGAGTAGCTGGGACTACAGGGGCACACAACCACCATGCCCAGCTAATTTTTTTTTTTGATAGATATAGGGTTTTGCCATGTTGCCCAGGCTGGTCTTGAACTCCTGAGCTCAAGTGATCTGCCCACCTCGGCCTCCCAAAGTGCGTGAGCCATCATGCCCAGCCAAAATTAATTTTCTTAATGTGTTTCTTTCTCCCAGGTGGAAATTAATATGAATATTTCTCCACTAATCTTGGATTTAATAAGTGGTGGAGCATCACTGGCCATTTACTTAATTCACACAACCTGAGAGGCAACTATCTATACCGTAGAGTTTCCCAATCTTTTCCACTTTGCCATACATAGAGAATTTTTTTTTTTTTTTTGAGACAGACTCTCGCTCTGTCACCCAGGCTGGAGTGCAGTGGTGCGATTTCAGCTCACTGTAACCTCCGCCTCCCTGGTTCAAGCAATTCCCCTGCCTCAGCCTCCCGAGTAACTGGGACTACAAGCGCCTGCCACCATGACTGGCTAATTTTTGTATTTTTCATAGAGACAGAATTTCGCCATGTTGGCCAGGCTAGTCTCAAACTCCTGACCTCAAGTAATCTTCCCTCCTTGGCCTCCCAAAATGCTGGGATTACAGGCATGAGCCACCGCATCTGACCGCCCATAGAGAAAAATTTAATATTCATAAGACACATGGGGGTAGACAGATGAGACTGCCCCAGAGCCCACCACACTTCTCCAGAGGCTGAGGGGATCATGTCTTAGCATGTGTGTTTAGGTAGCTTCTATTGTTTGTGAGAAGAAATAATGGGTAGATAAAGATATCAAATAGATTTCAGTCCCACCTGGCAACTCTAATGGACTGAGTCCTGTGTTGAGGACTGGGAAGTTCATCTAGGCTCTGGTTGCAGATGGGGAAAATTACTATGATAAAAAGAAACGTCTGCCATGGACACAGGATATGCTACAACTTTATATCACTCAACAGTTTTTAGTTCATCACAAACTCAACTTACTTTCTGTTTTTCCTGGATTAGAAATATTAACCTATAAGGATATTCAAAATATGCTAATTAATGGAGACAAGTCGACAAAAATGAAAACAACCTCCTCAATAGAAGAAATGCAAATTAAAACTATATCACAGTAACACTGCACACCTATCATATTGGCAAAAAAATCACAAATTTAATATATTTTGTTGACAAAACTGTGAGGAAAACATGTCTTCTCATACATTGTTGGTGGAACTGTTGTCTACGGAGGGCAATTTAGCAATATTTATCACATTTGTAAATTCATTTATCTCTGACCCAGTATTTCCTTTTAGGAATTTATCCTGAAGATATACTTACAAACAAATAATGTTGACCTATGTGGGTATGGTAATTAATTGCAGCACTGTTTGTTATTAAAAAAAGATTGAATATAACCTAAATGTCCATAAATATGGGCAGGTTAAATAAATCATATTACATTCATACACTGGAATATGATACAGTGGTACTCTGTTCTACGTACTGACAGGAAAAGATCTCCAAGATAACCTCTTTTTTAAACAAAGTTTTTGTAGGAAAATGTTAGACATATTCAAAAGTACAGAATGGTAAATTGACACCCATCATATGATATGAATTTTATCTCACCCTGATTCAGCAGTTTTACCTCTCATTTCATCTATCCATCTATCTTTGCTTTGCTCAGTTTAAGTATTTTCAAGTAGATCCATTACATCTACCTTTGCTTTGCTTAGCTTAGCTTAAGTATTTTCAAGTAAATCCATCACATTATGCAATTTCACCCCAACAAACTTTTGTGTGTGCCTCTAGAGAGTACTGATATTTGACTTACCTAACTATAATGCCATTATTGTGCCTAGCAAAATCTACAATTCCTTGTTATCTAAGACATACACTTTAAAAAAAAATGCAGAGCAATGTGGACGGTATGCTACCATTTATACAAAAAAGGAAAAATCTGAATATATATTTCTTTATAAACACATAAAATATCTGGGGAAGGATACATAAGAAACCAAAACTAGTGGGTTATCTGAGTGGAAAGGAACTGGGTGGCTTGGATGAAGAGTAAAACTGAGACTTTCCACTGGGTACCCTTTGATTTGTTTTGATTCTTGAACCATGTAAATATATTACCTATTTTAAAAATTTAAAAAAAGATATTATAGATTGTGGTTTTTCGTTTGTGTTTATGTGAATTGTTAGATAGAAACACTCTTACAATGAGTTTTTCTAATATTCTTTCAGTGAGTTTTTCCAATGCCCTAAAACAGATGAAGAAGCCTTCTCAGAACTGTAAAACACACTGGTTGCTGCATCTATGGATATTAACCATTTGGTGGACATTACCCTATCTAGAAAGAAACATAAAACAGAACCTCTAACCTAGAATCTAATTCTATCTAGAGTAATGCATTTTGGATATTTTAAAGAACTGTATTTTTTCAAATTCTGAATACTAAAGATATATGTATTAGCAACTTCAAGCATACAATACGTTATTATTAACTATACTCACCATGCTGTACATTAGGTCTCTAGATCTTTTCTATTTTATAACTTGTACCCTTTGACCAACATCTCCCCATTATCCCCACTCCCACCTCATCACCCCCAGACTCCTGGTAATCACCATTCTATTCTCTGTTTCTGAGTTTGACTTTTTTAAGATTCCACATATAAATGAGATCATGCATTGTCTGTCTTTCTGTGTATGGCTTATTTCACTTAACATAATGAAAATCTCAGCTCACTTTTCTAAGAAAGTTGATCTTAAATATTCTCAACCCTTCACGCACACACAAGGTAACTATGTGAAGTGATGGATATGTTAATTAGCTTGATTGTGGTAATCATTCTGCAATGTTTGTGTACATCCATACATCACACTGTAGACATTAAATATATATAATTTTTATTTGTCAGTTATACCTCAATAAAAGTGGGGGAAAAGACAAAAGTATTATGTAAATGCAAGGAGAATTTAGTCTCCAAAAGCTACGATATGGTATAGCTTTTCAAAATTCTAACAGTACACTTTTTCATTGGTAGAATTTCTAAATATAGACCTGCCACCAATTCTGACCCAGAGACCATTCCTTATAATAGGCTCCTTTTCTCATGTCCTTTGGCAAATTGATACTATGTAGGTTCAAAGCAACGTTTTGATAAAGCTCTCAACTGTAGGGTAGAGTGGGGTGCCTTGAGTTCTAATTCTTTTTAACATTCTTCATATTTATATGCTGGTACTGCTGACAACATTGAACATTCAATAAATATCAATGGTTGTTTAAAGAAAAAGTTCATATATATTGAAAATTTAAAATAAATGGAAGCTTCTCAAATAGCTTGGTCATAATGGGCAAAATGGATCTGAAAGGAGCAGAAACCAAGGAATTGAGATCAATTAAAAAGCCACTCAAAAAAAAAAAAGTAAGAGCACAGACTTTTCATTAAATTGATTCACTGTCTTCCTTAGTGAGATCACACCCACATATTCAAATAGGCTTGGTGGTGAACATCACTGGTTAGTAAGAAGAACAATGGCTTTCAGAGTGGCTGGAGCCAGCCTAAGAGTCCCTCAAACACCATTTATTAACCATGTAACCTATGGAAAGATGTTTATCCTCTATGATCCTCAACATCCTCATTTGTAAAACAGGAAGAAGAGCAATTTAAATATATGATGTTCGTCATTTATAAAACATTATAAAACACTTTCATATACACATAATAAAAAAACACAAAAACGATTCACTTCCTCAAAAACATTTACCAGGCATTTAGTTATAAAGTGAAAATAGATTAAGTCTGTTATTCGTTATATAAAATCTAAAGAAACAGCTATTTTTTTTCCCTTGAAATACACAGATTCAAAATTGTAAAAATAAAGAAAATTGAAATAACTCTATTTACAATTAACTTTATATTGAACAGCCTATTATTTCATACCTCCCATCTTTCTCTTGTTATATTTGACAGGCTAGTGATTACAATTTTATAACTTAATGTGAGCCTAGGTAGGGTAGAGTAGAATTAATTTTTTATTGTCCATTATAAAATGGCTAGTAATGTTATTTGAAGATTATATTCTTATACTTACTGATTTTTAAATTTTTCTGCTGTGCGTACAAATTCTGCTTTCTTAGTCTGATTAACTTTCTGCTTCCAGTTCTGAAGATGAAAAGGACGAATTCCACCTGAAGTACTAAAACAGCCATCACTCTGCATTGAGAACAAGAAAAACTTAACAGTAATGAAAATAGTAAGACATAAATGTGGAATTTTTTCAGAGAGATAAAATGTCAATAGTTGAGTTTCTTGAAGGATAATTTTGGGGCCAATCTCACTTAACTCTTAAAAGTACATTTGTGGAAGAAGGAGTATCTATCAAATGAAGGAATATCTATCTTAAAATGCTAAACTGAGTAAGAAATGTTAAATATCCAGGGATTATTTGCAAAATGATCTAATTCATTCAGTCGGTCATTTAACAAATATGTATTGAACACTATGAAGTGACACGGGCTACATTAGACACTAGGAAAACAATGATGATCTATAATAATATGGTCCCTGTCTGAAGGTCTAGTGAGGAAAAACAGATTTAAAGAGATAAGAGTAAACAAGCAATAAAATGAAAACTCCACCAGCTGCAATAAATGCTATTAAGAAAATAAATATTAGGGCTCAGATGGAGAAAGCGGAGAAAGGGTTTCAGTTACAGTGGTCACAGAAGGTCTATTTGAAGGGATGACTTTAAGGAAGATTGAAGCCAGCCATGACAGGAGCAGTAGGAAAGTGTGTTCTAAGCAAAGGGATCCACATGTGCAAAAGCCCTAGAGCATGAAAGACTTTGCTGAGTTCAAGCAGAGAAAGGCCAATTGTGTCATGAGATTAGTAACGGTGTGGATCTTGGTAGGAAAATGAAAGTAGAGAGGCAGGTATGTGCCAGATCATACAGATATTTTAGGTCACTTAGGGGGTCTGGATTTTATTGAAGAGTTTTGAGCAGGGAAATGCCATGATACATTTAACTCTTTAAGAACAATTTTCTGGCTATTTTTTTGGAGAGGAAATTGATGGGAGGTGTGGGGGTGGAGTGAGGCAAGACTGGAAGCAGGAGATCAATGAGGTACTTAGTACAGCTATAGAGACAAGGAATGACAGTGTCCAGGACTACTGGGCTGACAGAAAATAAAAGAAGACTCAATGTATTTTGGAGGTATCACCCAGAGGGATTGCTGAGCAATAAAAATGGGTTGTGGGGGATGAGGGGAAAAGGAAACAAGGCTTCA
This sequence comes from Homo sapiens, assembly GCF_000001405.40. NCBI lineage: Eukaryota > Metazoa > Chordata > Mammalia > Primates > Hominidae > Homo > Homo sapiens. The sequence continues at coordinate 115,285,982 of NC_000005.10, forward strand.
AATTTCCAGGAGCAAAAAAGAACAAAGTATTAAATCTAAATCTAGGAAATATATTTTAAGTCAAAATGTAATTCACAGACCATAAAATATGTCTGTTTGAAGTGTACAATTCAGTGGTTTTTAGTGTATTCACAAAGTTTTGTAACCATCATGACTACCCAGTTTCAGAATATTTTCATCATACCAAAAAGAAACCTCATACCTATTAGAGGTCACTCCCCATTCCCCTTCCTCCCAGCTCCTGGCAACCATTAATCTACTTTCTGACTCTATGGATTTGCATATTCTGGAGAATTTATATAAATGGGCTCATACAATGTGTAGCCTTGTCTGACTTCTTTCACTTCACATGATGTTTTCAAGATTCATCCGTGTTGTACCATGAATCAATACTCCATTCCTTCTTACAGCTGAATAATACTCCATTATATGGGTCTACCACATTTTCTTTATCTACTCATCAGTCATTAGCTGATGGACAATTGGGGTGTTTCCATTATTTGGCCAAATTAATCTGAACATTTGTGTACATGTTTTAATGTGAATGCATGTTTTCAATTCTCTTCATTATATACCTAGCAGCAGAATTTCTGGATCATAAAGTAACTATTTTTTTTTACTTTCCCATTTTGAAAAATTGGGTGGCATAGTGGGGCCTGGTGGCTCATGCCTCTAATTCTAGCACTTTGGGAGGCCAAGGTGGGAGAATAGCTTGAGCTCAGGAGTTTGAGACCAGCCTGGGAAACATAGCAAGATCCTGTCTGTATAAAAACTTAAAAAAAAATTAGCCAGGCATGGTGGTGTGAGGCCACCAGGAGGCCACCTCAGGAGGCTGAGGTGGGAGGATCACTTGAGTCCAGGAGATTAAGGCTGCAGTAAGCCATAACCACACAACTGCACTCCAGCCTTGGGGGACAGAGCAACACACTGTCTCAACAACAACAACAACAAAGGATTGCCCTTTTATTGTTGAGCTGGAAGCATTCTTTATATACTGGATGTAAAAGTCCCTTATTAGACATACGACTTGTAAATATATCCCCCCATTCTCTGAGTTGTCTTTTCACTTTCTTGATAATGCCTTCGAAGCCCCAAAATTTTAAACTTTTTAAAGAATTGCCAGACTGTTTTCCACAGTGGCAGCACCATTTTACATTCCCACCAGCAATGTATAGGGGTTTCAATTTCTCCACAGGCTCACCAATAACTGTTATCGTCTGTCTTTTTTATTACAGTCATCTTAATGGGTATGAAGTGATTTCTCACAGTGGTTCTGATTAGTCCATAATGACTAATGATGTTGAGCATTTTTTTCATGTGCTTGCTTATTGGCCACTTCTTTTAAGGAATGTCTACTTAAATCCTTTCCCTTTTTAAAAATTTGGCTGTCTATTTATTGTTGAATTGTAACAGTTATTTATGCTACTCAACTTTTATGGGAGGCTATTGTTTTGAACAGAGCTCCTGCAGTAGGCCCCAAAAGACCAGACAAAATAAAAATGGAGTTACTCATGCTAAGTGCCACATGATCAAAATGAAACTTTGAGGAAAGAGGTAGATTTCCCCAACTGACCAATTTTTCCTGAAAACAAGAGATGCACGGCAACCAATCAGAAAGGGTCCAGTCAACCTGAGCCCGAGTAATAAGAAAAGCCTCTCTGCTTTTACCTTCATAAGTTACCCGAAGTAAACAGATGTTAACCAATCCCCTTTCCTTTTTTTTTTTTTTTTTTTTTTTAATTAAAGTGGTGAGGGTCTTCTTATGTTGCCCAGGTTGGACTCCTGGGCTCAAATGATCCTCTCATCTCAGCCTCCTGAGTAGCTGAGACTACAGGCACATGCTACTGTGCTCAACTCCAATCTGCTTTTTTCTTTTATTTTTCTTTTTGCTTCAAAATATTATTTAATAATTGAGATTTTATTGGTTGTGTTGAAAATCAGTACACACACATTTCAATTTGCACACAATTTTTAACACAGGTACCAAAAATCTAAAATGCCTTTTTTTTTCCCCCCGAGACGGAGTTTTGCTCTTGTCATCCAGGCTGGAGTACATTGGTACCATATTGGCTCGCTGCAACCTCTGCCTCCCGAGTTCAAGCAATTCTCCTGCCTCAGCCTCCCGAGTAGCTGGGATTACAGGCACCCACCACCACGCCCAGCTAATTTTTGTATTTTTAGTAGACACAGGGTTTTGCCATGCTGGCCAGGCTGGTCTCGAACTCCTGACCTCAGGTGATCCGCCTGCCTTGGCCTCCCAAAGTGCTGGGATTACAGGTGTTAGCCACCGCACCCAGCCACCATGTACTTTTAAAAGTTACTCCAGTGACTTTCCAGCTTAAATTTGGAGGGAAATTTTCCTTAAGAGGTGATCAAGTACCAGTATCTTCACATGTTGATAAGCTGTTAAATACATCCCAGCAACTCACAATTTAATACCATATACACTACAAACTCTAATTTTCAGTCTTTCACAACACACTAACAATGTTATTAGGAAAATATAGGACTACCATAACCAAAGATGTCACAGAGTGCATACAATTCTGACAGGGAAAGCCATGATCAAAGAGTGGTTTTTATAAGGAAACAATTCTACTAAAAAATAACATGGGAATGGAAGTAATTTAAAATGTTCAAGACATTAAATGCAGGACCGTGACTCCATATCGCCATTTAGTACACTTAGTATTAGAAGATATAAGAACTAACCCCCATCTATGGAATGCTATGCTGACACCCAAGACAGTCAAAGCCTCCCATAATTGAATATTCCACACTATTTTCTGGTTGTACCAAAAAATAAACAACCAGCAAATGATTTCACCTCTTAAAGCATTTACACTTAAAAAATAGGATGAGGTGGGATTCCCTCCTTCTTAAAAATGTTCCCTGAGTGACTAAAAAACTTGCATTTACAAGATAGTTGATAAAAATATTCCTCTGGATTGTACAAGGAGGGAGACAGGGACTACTAAGACACAGTAGATGATATTAATCAGATTGGCTTCCTTTTTTTTTTTTTTAACCAAATTCATTTTATTGCCAGACAGACTTGGCTTCTTTCCCTCAGCCTTCATCAAAGGCAGGACCCTCTTTGGTTTTAGTTTCTTTGTTTTCTGCAGATAAGTCTTCTTTAGTTTATTGGTTAGCCACTTTGGCCAGTTTTCCTTTTGTTCTCCTTTTCCCTTCGGTTTGCACTTTGTGTCTGAAGATTTATCCTTTCATGACTGCCTTTTTTGGCTTCATTTCTGCTTTTGTAGGAGCAGGTTTAGATGACAATTGCAAGAATCTCCTCTTGGGCTCTTCCTTCACTTCCCCTTCTGCTGAGCTGACTTTCCACTTGGGCTTCTTGGCAGCAGGAAAGGCACCTGCCTGGTGCTCAGTGCTTGCAAGCCCTGGTGTGTGAGCCTCTGTGGAGCTGGGCTACCTGGCTGTTGCCGCTCCTCCCGCCACCCCAGCGGCTGAGATCCCCACTTTTTTCTATTGTTTCTGGGTTTTTTGTTCCTACTTTACAGAACCCACTGTTCTGTCATGCCCTGTGGAAATTCTTACTCTATTTTATAGAATGGGATGCTGCCCCAATTCATGAATCGCAAATAAAAGCCAATTCGATCTAAATTGAACTAAATTTGTTGTAACTTTGTTCAACATGTATTTTAGATGTAAGACCCTTATCAACATATAATTTGCAAGTATTTTCTCCCATACTCTGACTTATCTCTTAACTTTCTTAATAATGTTCTTTTGCAGCGGCTTAATCCCGGCTCACTGCAACCTCTACCTCCACCTCCCCAGTTCAAGTGATCCTCCTGCTTCAGCCTCCTAAGTAGCTGGGACCACAAGCACACACCATCAAGCATGGCTAATTTTTGTATTTTTAGTAAGGATGGGGTTTCGCGATGTTGGCCAGCTGGTCTCAAACTCCTGGCCTCAAGCGATCTTCCTGCCCGGGCCTCCCAAAGTGCTGGGATTACAGGCATGAGCCACTGCACGTGGCCTAAAGCACAAAAGTTTTTTAATTTTGATGGAATCCAAAGTATCTATTTAGTCTTTGGCTACTTGTGCTTTAGGTGTCATACAGGGGAAACTACTGACTGACCAAAGGTCATGAAGACTCATGCCTGTGTTTTATTCTAAGTTTTTTAGACCTGCATTTAGATCTTTGATCAGATTAGATATTTTTCAAATATGGTGTGAGGTAGTTCAGCTTCTGTAGGTGGTTATTCAATTGTCCAAACTTTTGTTGAAAAGACTATTCTTTTCTTATTGAATTGTCTTGGCACCCTTTTGAAAATCATCTGCCCATAAAACTGTAGGTGTATGTCTTGACTCTCATTGATCTATATGTCTATTGTCTATCCCTATGCCAGTACCATAGTTTGATTACTGTGGCTTTGAAGTTAAATTCTGAATTTAACAAGTGTAAGTCCTTCAACTTTGTTCTTCTTTTTCAAGATTGTTTTGGCTATTTTGGGTGCCTTGCATTTTCCATATTAATTTTAAGATCAGCTTGTACATTTCTGCAAAATAATTTTTAAAAGGCAGCTAAGATCTTTACAGAGATTGCACTGAATCTGTAAATCAATTTGGGGATTATTGCCATCTTAACAAAATGAAGTCTTCAAAATCATAAACATTAAGTATTCATTTATATAAGTCTCCTTTAATTTTTTGAATAATTTTTATAGGTTTTAGAGAATAAGTTTTATGCTTCTTTTGTTAAATTCATCCCTATGTATTTTAATCTTTGTGATACTATTATCAATGGTATTTTTTCTTAATTTCATTTTTGAATTGTCCATTGCTAGTGTATAGAAATACAACTGACTTTTGTATATTGATCTTGTATTCTGCAACCTTGCTGTACTTGTTTATTAGTTTTCTAGTAAGTTTTTTTTGTGTGTGTGTGAATCCCTTAGAATTTTTAATATATATTAGGTCATCTGTGAATAAGTATCATGTTACATCTTCCTTTCCAATACGAATGCTTTTTATTTGCTCTTCTTGCCTAATTGCCCTAGTTAGAACTTTCAGTGAGTAAAGTGGTAAGAGTGGACAATTTTGCCTTGTTCCTGATCATACGGAAACAGCTTTCCATATTTGATCATTAAGTAATACGTTACTTAATGATGCCTCTATCAGGTTGAGAAAGTTCTCTTCTATTGACAGTTTGTTGACTGGATAATCTGAATTGACCTATCTTCATGAAAGGGTGTTGGATTTTGTCAATTGCTTTTCTGCTTCTATTGGGATGATTATGCGGTTTTGCCCTTTATTCTATTAATATGTAGTATTATATTAATTGATTTTCATATATTAAACCAACACTGCATGTCTGGAATAAACTGCAATTGATCATGGTGTATAATCCTTTTCATGTTTTTAGATATGTTTGCTAGTATTTTGTTGAGTATTTTTACATCTGTATTTATAACAGATACTATTCTGTATTTTTCTTTCTTGTGATGTTTTTTGTTTGATTTTGGTATCAGGGTAATAATGGCCTTACAGAATGAGAAATGTTCATTAAAAATGTTCCTTCCTCCTCTATTTTCTGAAAAACATTTGTTAAAAACAAAAATACATTTATGCTGACTTTCATATTTACCTATATATTTGCAGTACTCTATTCACATTATTCTTCATGTGGATTCAAGTTACTGTCTAGTGTCCTTCTATTTTAGCTTGAAGGACTCCTTTTAATGTAGGGCAATTATGCTAAGTTATTTTGGCTTTTGTTTGCCTCAGTATGTCTTAAATTCTTCTTCAATCTTACAGAATAATTTTGCTGTACAAAGAACAACTGGCTGGCAGTCTTTTTCTATTTTATGTCATCCCTCTGCCTTTTGGTGTCCATGGTTTCTGATGTGAAAACAGCTGTTAATCTTATTGAGGAATTCCTTATATGTAATGAACTGTTTCTTTCTTGGTGCTTTCAAGACTTTTTGTCCATATTTATTGGCAGGTTTATTACGATGTGTCTAGATATGAATTTCTGTGAGTTTATTCTACTTAGAGTTCATTGAGCTCCATCCATATGTAGGTTAATGTTTTTCATCAAATTTGGGACGTCTTCTATTATTCTTCAAATATCGGTTTTCCTCCTTTTTTCTCCTTTCCTTTCTTTCTGGGACTCTCATTATGCACATGGTAGTATGCCTAACGGTATCTCACAGATCTCAGACTCTGTTCATTTTTCTTCATTCTTTTCTTGCCTCTGTTCTTCAGTCTGGATAATGTGAATTGACCTATCTTCAGGTTTGTTGATACTTTCTTCTGCCAGCTCAGATCTGGTGTTGAGTCTCTCTAGTGATGTTTTCATTTGAGTTCTTGCATTTTTTAACTCCAGAATTTCTACTTGATTCTTTTTTAAATGTTTAATTTCTTTAAAGATTTCTATTTCATTCCCACACTTTCTCTTAGTTCTTTAGATATGGTTTCCTTTAGTTCTTTGAACATATTTAAATAACTGTTTTGAAGTCTTTGCCTAGTATGTCCAATAGCCAGTATTCCTCAGAGACAGTTCCTTTTTACTGTTTTCCCCATGTGTGAACCATACTTTCTTGCCGTGTCTCATAACTTTGTTAAAGACTGGACATATAAAATAATATAATGGACAACTCCAAAAATGAGATTCTCTCCCCTTAGCAGGGTTTGTTTTGTTGCTGTTTGTTTGGTCACTTTAAACTAATTCTGTAAAATCTGTAGTCTTGGTCAGGTGTGGCAGTGAAATCTCTGATTGGTTAGCTCAGTTGTCAGCCAATAATTGGTCAGAGATTTCCTTAGATGCATTGAACCACTATGTGTCCTAGCCTTTGCTACCTTTGGGAAAGGGGGTCTGTATGCATGCTGAAGCATACCTCCTACATGCAGGCAGGCAGTTTACAACCCTATCTTAGTATTTACTTTCTGCCAGCACAGTGTTTCAAAGACAAACAAGGATGAGGACTGAGAGCTTCTTAGGTCTTTCCTGGTGTCTCCTATTGCTGCTGTAACAAACTCACCATAAGTGCAGTGGCTTAAACAACACACATTTATTGACTTATAGTTCTGGAGGTCTACTCTAAAATCAAAGTGTGAACCTGGAGGACATTACGCTAAGTGAAACAGAGATGCAAATCCTGTATAATCTCACTTAAACTGCACGTGGAATCTAACACAGAGTAGAACAATAGTTGCCAGAGGCTGGTGGGGAGGGCAAGGAAGGAAATAGGTAGTTGGTCAAACGGTGCAAAGTTTCAGATAGACAGGAGGAATGTTTTGAGATCTACTGCACAGTAGGTTAACTATACTCAGTAATAATGTATTGTGTATCTCAAAATAAGAGTAAATTTCAAATGTTTCACCAGAAAAAAATAAGTGAGGTGATAGATATGTTAATTATTAGCCAGGTTTAATCATTCCACATTGTATACATATATCAGAACATCACACTGTACCCCATAAATGTATATAATTAAGATTTGTCAATTAAAAATAATGTTAATTAAAACAAAGGTGTTAGTAGGGCTACATTCATTCTGGAAGCTTCAGGGAAGAATCCACCCCCTTACCTTTTTTTCCAGCATCTAGAACCACCTTAATTCCTTGGCTAATGGCCCCTTCCTCACATCACTCCATCCTCTTCCTTCCATCATCACATCTCCTACTTCTGACTCTGATCTTCCTGCGACTCTCTTATAAGGACCTTTGTGATTACACCAGGTCCACTCAGATAATTAAGGTATTTAATTTATCTTAATCACACCTGCAAAGTCCCTTTTACGATGCAAGATTACACAGTCACAGGTGAAAATAGTTATTATTGAAGGGTTATTTCAGGCAGCCAAGGAACATAAAATTCAGGTCATCAGAGGGAAGGTCCTTAGAAACAAAACAGAAGACAGAGCCTTATGCTGGTACAAAACCAGCATCACACTAATGTGATACTGTTAAAGATACTTCAAAAAAGTCATAATTCAGCAACTACAATGATCAAGAGAACAGATGGTAACAAGAAGGAAATGACATTGGAGAGGAGGATAGAGATTTGCGGTCTTCAGTTTTGAAAGGCAATAGCTAAGAGGGGTTATGAACAAATAATATACAAATATTAAAAAGTATGGAAAATGTGTTAACTTTTCATAATGAGTGAGGAATTTATGAGATTCCACGCCCTGAGGATATTGTAAAATAAAATACAATATAAAATAGTTTTAAAACTTCAGAGATATTTACTCCAAAGTAATTTAAAGACACTGTGATGGACTGAATTGTGTTCCCTCAAAATTCCTATGTAGAAGGCCTGATCCCCAAATAACTCTATCTGGAGATGGGGTCTTTATGTTAAATGAGGTCATTAAGGTGGGGACCTAATTTGATAGAACTAGTGTTCCTATAAGAAGAGATGCCAGAGATCTCTTTCTCTCCTCTTGTAACAGAGAAAAGACTATGTGAGGACACAGTGAGAAGGTGGCTGCCTACAGGCCAGGAAAAGAGGCCTCACCAGAAACCAACCCTAAGGGCAACTTGATCTTGAACTTCTAGCTTCTAGAACTGTGAGAAAATAAACTTTTGTTGTTTTAGCCACCAAGTCTGTAGCATTTTGTTATAGAAGCCCTAGCTGACAGGAACTTTAGATATTTTGGTAGACATCTCTAGTATCATGAGATTGCCACCAGGAAAATTCTCTCTTCTCAAGAAAATACTAGTTGGTTTCAGTGTTAAAGTCAGTAGGAATATTCGTTCATTTAATCATATGACAAATATTCAAGTTCGGTGTTAGGCTGTAGAATTTGTGTGTATAGGTATGTGCGTGTGGTATGCTGGGGGAAGTACAAAAATGGATAACATGTAAACTCCTAAACATTATCACAATATAGCATGCAGTAATGCTGCATTGTTTTGTTTTGTTTTTTTAAAAAAGCCCAAACACACGTGAAGAATTCTACCTAACTATGCTGAGGTAGATTCTCAACAATGAGGCTCTGCTTTCCCTACTAAAGTGGTAAGACAGTATACACCATGGTTCTCAATCTCAGCACTACTAACTTTTGGACCAGATGATTTTTGTTATGGGTGGCTGTTCTCTGGCCTGTATCCATTAGATGCTAGCAGCCCCTCAACACCCCCCTGCTCCCCACTCTGACAGCCAAAAATGTCTCCAAACATTGCTAGATATCCTCTAGGGGATTGATAAAATATCTGAAAGAGCTCCACAGGTGATCTGATCCAACCCCTGAGAAGGCAAACATCACAAAAGTGTGCATCAATAACAACATTAGGCAACTCGCAAGAAATGCAGATCAGAAGACAGAACATTGCTACAAGAATTTAGAGAAATGATGGAGAAAGCCAGCAACATGGTGTCACACATTTTTTTGAGCATAGTACTTAAAAATACTTTACGTATTATGTATATTTATATATTTTACATTTTTTCCTGAGATACTTGGGACAGAGTTAGAATAATAAAGAGAATTATAGAGGATGTGTGAGAAAATTTGCCGTAGGTGGAATTTCCTGAAGGTCTACGAGTAAAGACACTGTATTTCCTTAAAGGAGGAAAAAGATGGAACCTCTCCTCAGCTCATGACAGCCTTCCTTCAGGTTTATATTGATCCACAAATTATTTAGTAAGTGCATACTACGTTCCAGGCACTACACAACAGGCATAGTTCTTGGTGCTGGGAATACAATAAAGAATAAAATTTCCAATACTTTCTGCCCTCATGGAGCTTACATTCTCATGGGGGTGCGAGGGAGGGTGAGGGGTGTGAGGAGAAACATAAACAATAGAAATAAAGTATGTAATATAATATATGGTACTAAGTGCTATGGGGAAAAATAAAACCAGAAACAGGGACTGGGTGTGCCGCGTAAGGCGATTCATTTTAGGGAGATCATGGAAAGTCTCGCTGAGCTGATAACATCTGAACAAAGATACCTTGTCCTCACCACCTAGAAAGCGGTCCTAAGCCGATCACTGGAAACACCTCTGCCTCCGACCATCCCATATTGTCTTTCTCCTTGTGTTCCCAGCGCCGGTACAGTAACAGAGCTGCCACCAATTACTGAGCACAGAGTCCCCCTCCAATCAAGCACTGTGCCAGGGGCTCCCCAGACATAACGTTAGTCCAAAGCTCGGGAGGTGCATGTTACTATTCCCAATTTTTAGAGAAGAAAGTGAGTCGCCGACAGCATATGTTCTTATCACGCGGCTAGGAAGCGGCAGAGCCGGGTTCCCACCCAGGTCTTCCTCGACTCCGAAACCACATGGAGGCGGCTCTGCAAAAGCTGTTAAACGCACAAGCCAACAAAGAGCAACGCCCAGCGCGTGCCAGGCCCCGAGCAGGGGAGGCGAACGCCGCGCCTCCCGCCGGCGCTGCAGAGGGCACCTGTTCAGCCAGGGCCTGCAGCCCCTCGCCTGCCGCCAGAGCAGCTCTCGGTTCTCCCGGATTTACCTGTTGAGGCGCTGGCGTCGCTCCCACGCCGGTCCCGGTGGCCGCGCCCGCCCCTGCCACAGCCCCGGCTACCGCGGTGGCCGCAGCCGCTACCACAACCGTCGTCAGTGCGGCCATGTTTACCCGCCGAGCTACTCGGGCCGCGGCGGCCACCGGTGCCTGGGGATTCGTGGCAGGCGCACCCTGGCCTCTGCAGACAGCTCCCTGCGCTGCGGGCTTGGCCGGGATGCAGGGCGGGGCCGAGATGTAGGGCGGGGTCGGGATGCAGGGCGGGGCTGAGATGCGGGGGTGCAGGGGTGCGGGGGTGCGGGAGGGGCGGGACTGGGGTGCAGGGCGGGGCCGAAATGCGAGGCGGGGGCCGGGATTCAGGCGGGGAGGGGCGGGGCGAGGGAGGGGCAAGGTGCCGGGCGGAGCCGGGATGCAGGGGAGGGGCGGGTCTGGGGTTCTGGGGCGGGCGGGTGTGGGGGCGGGGCGGGGCGGGGCGGGGGCTGCGCTCTGCCCTGTCGCGGGTTTATATACCCTTTGGGCACTTAACCGACTGTGCCAGCCCAGTCCCATACCTGTCAAGAAAATTCATTGTCTTACATCGTCCTTAAATTTTATTCGTGTTATAGTCAATATATACATATTTTTACCTAATATACATCCGCTTTCTAGGTTTCTACTTAGCGCTGCTGAGACTGAGTCTAAATGAAAAAACATTATCAATGGATTCTAACAATAAATCATATTTTAGATTTTTAAAGAAAAAAACCCAGCTTGCTCCACAGAACCAGATATCAGAGGCAGGAATGCCACAGTTACATTCCTAGGACTTGGTCAATGAGAAGACAGATTCCAAAAATACAGTGCTGGGAAGTTGGAAAAAAGCCACAGATGACGCTTCCAGTCAAGACAACCTGTGGCAACTGAGCTGATTTCTGTAGGTACTACCTTTTCCCCCTTTATAGAAATCGATTCATTCAGTCAGTCAATATGGAGCTCCTAGCATATGTCAGGCACTGTTCTAGGCCTTGGGAATTCATTGTTGAATTAGACACATAGGTAAGGTTCCTTCACCTTTAACAAGTAAACAAATAGGTATTTATTGAGCAATTCCTTTATGCCAGGGCTGTTATAAGTGCTTTATATGCACTTTTGCATTTAATCTTCACAAATAACTTCATGAAGTAGGTACTATTATCATCTCCATTTCAGTGATAAAGTTAAGGATCACATGGCCACACAGGTAGAGGGTAGGATACCTATCTAGACAGCCTGACTCCAGAGACCATCCTGGTAGAGGTATTAAACAGGCAGCGGGATAAACGCCTCTGGAGCCCAGGAGAGAGAGAGCTAAAGATACGAATTTGATCTTCCTATAGAAAATATTTGAAATAAGACTGAATGAGCTCACCCAGGGTGAGTATAAATTGAAGTCTGAGAACTAAGCCTAGGCCACTCCGAGAAGGTGACCACGGACAAGAGGAGAAGGGGACCAATATGGAGAGATCTGTGAGAAGGGAGGAAAACCGGAAGTCTGTGGAGGGAAGTTTTTGCAGAAGAGGCCGGACGTGGTGGCTTACGCCTGTAATCCCAGCACTTTGGGAGGCCGAGGTGGGCGGATCACGAGGTCAGGAGATGGAGACCATCCTGGCCAACATGGTGAAACCCCATCTCTACTAAAAATACAAAAATTAGCTGGGCGTGGTGGCGCCTGTCTGTAGTCCCAGCTACTCGGGAGGCTGAGGCAGGAGAATTGCTTGAACCAGGGAGTCGGAGGTTGCAGTGAGCCAAGATCGTGTCATTGCACTCCAGCCTGGTGACAGAGTGAGACTTCGTCTCAACAAAAAAAAAAAAAAAAAAAAAAAAAAAAAAAAAAAAAAAAAAAAAAAGAGAAGAAGAAGAGGGGAGAAGAAGAAGAAGGAAGAAGAATGGAGGAGAAGAAGAAGGCAAAGAAGAAGAAGGAGAAGGAGAAGAGAGAAGAAGGAGAAGGGAGAAGGGAGAAGGAGGAGGAGAAGGAGGAGCAGGAGGAGGAGGAGAAGGAGGAGCAGGAGGAGGAGGAGAAGGAGGAGGAGGAGGAGAAGGAGGAGGAGGAGAAGGAGGAGGAGGAAGAGAAGAAGAAGGAGAAGAAATAAGAAGAAAAAGAAAGAAGGAGGAGGAGGAGAAAATGGTCAGCTGTGTGGTTCACTGCCTAGAGGCTGAGTGAAGGGGTAACAAAGAAATGATGGTTGCATTTGGCAACAGGGAGGCCGTGGGTTTATGGGGTAGGTAGACCAAAGCCTGGCTGACTGCATTGAGGAGATAATGGAGGTGACGAGGTAGAAACTGTTTTTCGCTATGATTTTGATCGATTTTATGGTGCAGGTGATCAGAGAAATGAAGTGGTAGCTGGGGGAAGATGTGTGATCAAAGAGGGTCTTTGTTGTTGTGTTGTGTTTCAAGGTAGGGACTAGTAGAAGGAGTTCATGCTGCTGGGAATTATTTAGTGGAGACAGAAGTTTGATGCTGCAGGACAGAGGCAGTCAGACCCTCTTGAAAGTAAGGCTGATGGAGTCCAGAGCATAAGTGGGAGGTTTGGTCTTTGATAGACGCACAGACTCTTCTGACACAGGGAGGTAGTGGGTGGGGACTATGGGGAGGCCAGAGAGTCCTGCATACATGGGTTGCAGCACAAGGTAGTTGGAAGATTTGGAGGGAGGAGATGGTTGGCCCCACCTCCCCACCCCTGTGTGAAGTAGGAGGAAGTAAGTCACTTGGGTGTATTGAGAAGGTAAAACTTCTTTAATTTTTGTATTACCTTTTATCCAAATGAGCCCTGTTACTATAGCACTGTCTGAATTCCTGTAATTATTAGTCCAGAATTATCTTGCAGCCTCGGAAAAAAAGCAAGTCAACCAACGATTTGAGTTGAGTGGTCTTTTACAATTTTAATACTGCCACTAAAAATAAAGAGAAGCCTAAGATCATTTTGCACTTCCTATTGTTTTTAGAGTATATCCTGCACTGGATATCTAGAGTACTGTGTTCAGAAGTTTTCTGAAATCACCCTTTTCTCTATGTGCTATGGAATCAATTTGATATATATTTCAGTTCTTTTGATTACATTTGTGTTCAATTTCAATGTTTCCTTTTTTGTTTTGTTTTCTTTCAATTTACTTTTTTTAAAAAATAAGTAAGTTATGTATAACATGTATAAAGTCAAAACTCTATGACAAGGTATGTTTAAAGAAGGCTTACTCCCCAACATATCCTCTCCATGGCCTTTCAACTAATCCTCTATGGTAAATAATTGTGTTAATTTCTGGTTCTTTTATGTTTCATTTGCAAAAGAAAAAAAGGTAAATAGACAAATACATTTTTATTTTTCTTTTTTTCTTACAAAAACATCTAGCATATTATATTAGTGTTCTAGGGCTGCATAACAAAGTGCCATAAACTGGGTAGTTTGTAACAACAGAAATTTATTCTCTCATAGTGTAGTAGGCCAGAAGTTCAAAACCAAGGTGTGGGCAGGTCTGGTTTCTTCATGGGGGCTTAATGGGAAAATCTGTTCCATGCCCCTCTCCCAGCTTCTGATGATTGCCAGCAATCTTGAGACTCCTTGGCTTGTAGAAGCATTACTCCAATTTCTACCTCCATCGTTGCACAACACATATCTGTGTCTCTGTGTCCAAACTTTCCTCTTATAAGAATACCAGTCACTGGTTTAGGGCCCATTCTAATGCAGTATGACCCCATTTTAACTTGATTACATTTGGAAAGACCCCATTTCCAAATCAGGTCACATTCACAGGTACCAGGGATTAGGACTTCAGCATATCTCTTTCGAGGACACAATTCAACTGATAACACATGTATTATACTCTTGAAATTTTTGCTTAACAATATATACTGCACCTTGAAATTTTTGCTTAACAATATATACTGGAACTTGCTTCATGTCAGTTCACAGAAATTTTCTTAAATTTTAAAAATTAAATGCATAATCCTCCGTTATTTTATTCAGCCAGTCATCTGCCAATAGATATTTAGGTGATTTCTAAACTTTTGTTGCTGCAAGTAATGATTCATAAGTATTTCATATTTGGGAAAGTGATTATCTTCAGTAGAATAGCTAGGTCAAAGGTTAAATGCAAATGCAACCTAGTTAGATATTGCTAAATTCCTCTCCATAGGAGTTGTACCATATTGCACTGCCACTAACAATGTGTGAGGGTGCTTGCTTCTTTATTGCTTGAGATCTTAGTATTTAAGTTGTTGGATTTTTGAAAATCTAAAGAGATGAAAAATCGTATCTCTCAGTAAGTTTAATATGGGCATACCTGTTTTTATTGTGCTCCACTTTATTGTGCTTTGCAGGCACTGCATTTTTTACAGATTGACGGTTTGTGGTAATCCTGTGTCAAGCAAATCTATTGGTGCCATTTTTCCAACAGCATTTGCTCACTACGTCTATGTGTCACATTTTGGTAATGTGACGGTATTTCTCGAAATATGCTCACGATATTTCAAACTTGTTTCCTATTATGGTGATCTGTGACCAATGATGTTTGATGTTACCATTTTAATTGTTTTGGGACACCATGAGGCATGCCGAACTTAATAAATGTTTTGTGTATTCTGACTACTCCACCAGTTGACCGTTCTTCCATCTTTAATTTTGAAAGAAGTTTCACTATGAGTAAAATGCTATCAAAAAGCATAGAATGCTACAGAGAAATCTTTTGTGAAAGGAAGAATCAATTGAGGTGGCAAACTTCCGTTGTCTTATTTTACGAAATTGCCACAGCCTCCCCAGTCTTCAGCAGCCACCATCAACATAGAGGCAAGACCATCAGCAAAAAATATTATAATTCACTGAAGGCTCAGATGATTGTTAGCATTTTTAGCAATAAAGTATTTTAAAATTAAGGTATGTACATTGCTTTTTTAGATGCAATGTTATTACACACTTAATAGACTGCAGTATAGTGTAAACATAACTTTTATATGCACTTGGAAACCTTAAATTTGTGTGTAATATTTCCTGCAATGTTTCTGAGGGATGTCTGTATGCCTTTATGTTATTATGAGGAAGGTCAGCCTTTTTCATAAGTTTAAGGACAATTGCTTGCTTTTTTTTTTTTTAACTGTCTCTTTACATCTTTTCCCAACTGGTATTTGGTGCCTTTCTTCCCAGTTTTTAAGAACTGTTTGTTAATTAGGAGATTATGATATATTTTGTGGTATAAATTGCAAATATTTCTTTCAGGTTTTAAATTTGTTTTATGACTTTTCCTTTTTTTGCTTTGAGCAAGTTCTTTTTATTTTTATGTAGTCAAATTTGTCAGTCTTTTATTATTTTTTTCAGTGCTTTGGGATTTATAATCATCTCTAGAAAGGCGTTTCTCACTCCAAGTTTATAATGAAGTGAATTCCTGTTTTCTTCTGTGGTTTCACCTTTCACATTTATATATCTGGATTATTTGGATTTCTTTCTGATATTCAGTGTGAAATGTGGACCCAATTTTTACTTTTACCCAAATGACTATCCAGTTATTTCGACATTATTCTTTAAAAGCATATGTTTAGTGGTAATTTTTGGTGCCACTTAACTTTTCGTATATAATTGTCCTATTTCTCCTGAATTTTTCTATTCTCTTCTATCATTGTATCGGTCTACTTATGTATTAATGAATAGATGCTTTTTAAATTATAAGGACTTTATGAAATGTTTTAATAGCTTATTGGACTAGTTTCTCTCATTCTTCTTTTCCAGAGTTTTCTTAGCTTTCCCTGCTTGCTCATTTTCCACAGAAACTTTGAATCAATAGTCTACTTTGGGGAAAAAAGCTTGGCATTTTCATTAGAATCACATTAAATTTATTAACTTGGAAAGAATTAATATGTGTATGAGGTGCCGTTGTCCTATCCACGAACAAAGCATATTTACATTTGTTTACATTTGTTCTAGTCCACTTTTGCATCTTTGAAAATTAAAGATTTTAAGTTTATTCTTGAGTTTAACAATATTTACTGCAACTGTAAGCTGGATTTCCTCTTCCTTTATATCTTCTAGCTTATTTTTCTTTGAATATATAAAGACAATCGCTTTTCTTTATTGCTACTTGGGTCATTTTTCTTAATTTTGATATTATTTTTAGAATGATTATCTTAGGGTTTCCATTTATAGTATATACTCTCTGAAAATAGATATCATGCTATCTCTTTCTATCCAATTCTCAGACTTACATTCTAGACAGGAAGAAGGAAAAGGGCTTTCATAGTTTGGGTTCCCATGAAATTAGATCATGAGACAAGGACTTGGGTACAGGAGATAGGTTGTTTGGGAGGTGATCTCAAGAAGCCAAGTGACAGCGTCGAGAAAGTGAAATAGGAAAGGGAGAAAAGCCAACAGAGGGTGTTTTAGTGGTTAGTGCTGTGGGCAACTGGGCCTCACTCCAGCTGGGGACCTCTGAGGAATCTTATAGGACTGTCCTCAGAGTTTCCCTACTAAGGGGTGGGAAAGCTGAGTTATCTATCTACCAAATCCCAAACCTCACTCGTTGAGCGTTGCTGTGGGGACATTAAACACCAGCTTTTATAGGCTGCCCATACAATGGCTAAACAAGCTTCTAGAGAAAGCTGTTAGGTCAAGAAGCGGAACAGCATGGACACAGGTGGAGGCCATCAGTGTAGATGGGTGAACTCAGAGGCAGGACATCTACAATGTGTTGCTACAAAGGCAAAGAGCAAAAGGAGGATGACAGCAGACCTGCCACATTTAAAAAAGCTTTCCTATGAGTCCTCCCTACCCAATGCCCCCCTTTTAGGTATCATTGACTATAACTGAATCACACAGCCACCCCTAGCTACAAAGCATCCTGAAAATATACTTTATTGGGGTTATTATGAGGATGAGTGGGTTAGTTGCTAGCATTGCCTGCCATACCAACCTGTCTTTTTAATTGTTCTTGTTTCTTGGTTCATAAGGTTCATAAAAATAGGCTTGGGTGCAAGCCTATTTTTCCTCTAAGTCTACATATTATTAAAATACTATTTGAAAATATTTTATAGTCAGTTTTACTGCACATTATTATATTCCCTCCCAATCTTCACTTAATTTTTTGAATTCTTAATCTGTCTTAGTCTTCTGATACTTATGTTTCTATTTTTTCTTCTTGTATCTCCTGTAGTCCTTCTAATGAATGTTGATGCTGCGTTATTTAGGGTATAGAATATATAACTTAGATTTTCATTGTGGATTACACCTGTTATTATTGTAAAGTATACTTCCTGTTTAATTATTTTTGCCCTGAATTCAATCTTATATTTAAAATCACTGTCTGGTGATTCCTTTTTGTTCACATTTATTCTGGTACGCCTTTGCCCAGCCTTGTAGTTTCAACATTTTAGAATCACTTTGTTTAGGCCTGGCTCTCATCTGCACCATATAACTCAGTGTTGTTTCACGACCAATATGTGAGTCAAGTCACAGCCTTCTATTTTTTCTATTCCATTTCATTGTCAGTTTTTTGGAAAAAAAAAATACTCTACATTTACTGTCACCAGTTCCTGACTTTTCATTAGCTTCTCAAACCTTCCTTGATCCTGAAGTACTCAGTAGCAGTGTGTTGAATGCAGAAAGGGGGTAGGTCAAGGAGAGTGGAAGAAGAACCTCTGCCTGTCTTCTCCACTGCTGGTTACTGATTCTGGGTCAGGAATAAGGAAAAGCTTTAAGTTGGACATGATATGATGGTTGTGATTTAGGGAACGCTGACGTTTCAATACCTGAAAATGAGTAGTACTCAAGGTGATCAGAAAATATATGGGCTCCACCTAAGATATTATCTGAGAGAGGGAAGAGATATCTAACAGATTAAGTTTAAAAAGCAATCAGTAAGAGGAAAAAAGAGGCTATTTTCCAATTATAACCAAACAAGTTCAACCCAATTAATGAACTTGTTGCCCAGTGTTGCAACTAGTGATTTGATTTTCAAATCAAAGTGATCCTTACATAAGGATCACTATTGCAAACTGAACAGATGGTGAGACAGTTTTGATTCATTCTAAGGTCACAGAATAATTTGCTGAAAATGGGTGGAATTGTTCCAGAGAGTTACACAAAATCAAATGTCTTCATATGCCTGGGGACTGGATTTTTAAATAAGACTTAATTATAACAAAATATTTGTATTAATCTTTCAAATACACCAACAAATGGATGATTTTACAGTGCCCTCTAGAATTCACCAGTATAAATGGACAAGGCAGGAATAAATTGTTTTTCACTGACTAGTGAAATCACAATGCAAGCTAAGCAATATTACATATAGGGTGATAGCTCCCGCCACAATTCTCTCTCTCAGGTAAAAACAATTGAATGTCTTCTATCAACTTTTCACTATTTCCATATAAAATATTCTATTGTTTAAACAATATTTCTGGATATGAAAAAGAGACAGTTATTTAAATAATTCCCAGTCATTTAGCTTCTATTTTACAATTCCTTGGTAATGTTAGAGTTCCCTAACCAGACACTCTCTAACAGACTATAGTTCCCCAAAGATGGGCCTTAAAAGATGGATTCTTTAACAACTGTAACAGCTGCAGCAACAACCGTGAATCTTCAAGTGTAGCTGTTAAGATAAGATAGTTTGAGGGCAGGTATAATAAAAGGAAAAAGTTTAAATATTTATTTAAAAAATAATAATTCCTACTTTTGATTGCCTGTTATGTGTCAAACATTCTTATTAACACTGATAATCTCCTTTTGGTGTAAATAAATTAACTATGAGAGCGTAGTTAATACATTTTTTTAAGACAATATAGCTAAAATATAGCAGAACCAATCATCAACCATGAACCTGCCTTTATCATTAATACTTATTTTCCTAAACCACCAAACCCTCAAAGTCTATTTTTCTTCTTTTGAAAAATAAGTATTTCTTGGAGGCCAGTAGAAAACAAAACAATCAATTGTGTTTGAATGGATGTTGATTATTCTGTTGCTGATAGTATCCGGTTTACGCCCCTCAGACCATCCTCAGAGAAATAAAAAAATCTTCAATGTGGATGACAGTTTTATGACTACACCGCTTAGTCCCAATACAGTATTTTTCTTTGAGAATTCAAACCTATATGACTGACCACAAACCTACCATTTAAAAATTATTCCAGTTATTATATTATAGTCATTTATTTTACAGTTAGAAAATCAAATGCGTACAGTAGATCATCTTTCTACATATTTCCTTGGATTACAGGAAAATTCTCAGAAACTTCTAGCTCATAGGTACAAAATAAGTTTTAAATTATTTACCCTTGCTTGAGAATTTTAAATAAAAACCAGGTCCCTATATATAAATATAGAAGGTAAGAAATGTACTTCAAGAATATAGAAGATAAGAAATGTACTTCAAGAAATGATAAAACATCAGTGGATGGGTGGGACTTAGGTAATGTTGAGAATTTTTCACAATTATCATGCACTAATTTTAACAGCTTTACTGACTACCTCTAATTGCTTTTTATGTGAGAAAAGCAATTAACTGTTTTTTCAACCACTGCTTTTGGATTTTTGTTATACGTAGTCTGAGATATAATAATCCCAACTGATACTGTTAGTTTAACATTAACTGGGATCTATAAAATATAAGAGAAAGGAAATGTCTAGTGATGGGTGTAATCTGGAGCACAGAAACATTTTATAGCTTGTTCATGTTGGAAGGAAAATCAACTAACATTAGGCTGTTACTAGGCATTAAGACTGCAGATACCAAACCAGTTTGCCTACTACAGAGAAATACCAGGAAGTGGATGTCCCACCCTGATTTGGGCATGGAAGCAGGCCATGTTGAGAGACTGCTTAGGGTATTACAGGTCAGTCTGAGGAAAGTGCCTGGTGGAAACCTTGGTGGAATCAGAAGAGAAAGCAAAAAAGTGCATGTAGTTGGGGAGGTTTGTTTTTGTATACATATGCAAATAAATATGCAAATGTGCATATAAATATGCAAGCCTGTGCTTGACCTGGCTGCCAGTCAGTGTAAATGAATGAGAGGTAATAACTTCTTGATTTTTTTTTTCTCTTCCTATCAATATTTCTGCAAGGTTTGGTTGTTAATATTGGACGCAGGAGTATTCACTCCCTTGGCAGAGGTTGGAGCTATAGCTGTTAGACACCTGTCACAGAATTGCTGATCTTCTTAAAGGCTGCTGTGGGGAGACTACCTGAAGAAGGGTATAAAGAGTGGGGTTTCAATATAGAGTAGACTAAATGATATGTTTTATAAGGTAGGTCTAATTGACACATATTGACTCTATGCACTGAAAACAAGGATTATACCTTCTTTTCTAACAGTTTCACAAAAATTTAGGCCCCAAATCCTCAGTAAATGCCAAAAAGCAGAAATAATGTGGATATATTTCATTGATCACAAAGCAAATCAACTGAGAAGACAAAAAGACTCTATTATCTGGAATTTTAAAACTCTCTTAAAACTCGAGTCAAAGATGATATCAAAACTAAAATTGCAGCTTAATTAGAAAATATTGATAACACTACATACTAATATCCACGGAATACAATTAAAGCAACCCTCAGAAGAAACAGTGGTTTTCAATAATTGTATTAATAACCACAAAAGAATAAGAGTAAATGAATTAACTACCCAGCTAAAAAATATAGAGAAAAAAACAGCTACCAAAAAGGAGATAAGGAAAAATGAATTATAAAAGAAAATAATAAAATCAAACTAAGAAAAATGATAATCCCAATGAATAAATTTAACAAGACAGATAAACTACTAGCTAACTTGGCCAAGAATAAAATTAAGAAAGCACAAAAATACATAATAAAAAGATACAAAGGAAAATAAAATAATCATAGGAGCCTATTTCCCTCAACTGCCTGCAAATAAATTTGAACATTTAGGTGAAATTAATCCTTTTTCTAAAAAAACACAATTTACTGAAATTGGTGAATTAAAAATATAAACATTAAATATTAAATGTCCAAGAAAAATAAAAAGAAAACAGTTGTCAAGGAGGTAGGCTCCCAAAGAGCATCAGGCTCAGAGGGCTTCAAAGGCTAATCTTACAAAATCTTTATGGAAGAAATAAATAGGCTGTAATGCTATTTTTTTGTTTTTCAGACAGGGTCTTGCTCTGTCACCCAGGCTAATGTGCAATGGCATGATCACAACTCACTGCAGCCTTGAACTCCTAGGCTCAAGCCATCCTCCCGCCTCAGGTAGCTAGGATTATAGACACTGCACCACCATGTCCAGCTATCTCTTAATTTTTTTTTTTTTTTGTAAAGATGGGGTCTCCTTATGTTGTTCAGCTGGTCTCAAACTCCTGGCCTCAAGCAATCCACCTGCCTCAGCCTCCTAAAGTCCTGGGATTATAGGCGTGAGCCACCATGACTGGCATCTAATGCTTTTTAAATTGTTCCAGAGCAGAGGCAAAAGAGGAAAGCTTCCAAATTCTATTAATGAAAGTAGCATACGCTTGTTACCAGAAACTGACAGCACAAAAATCACTTATGAATACTGATTTTAAAATGTTCACCAAAGTTTTAGCAAACAGAATCCAGCAGCACCTTAAAATAATTAAGGGAAAAAGAATTTTTTCCCTATGGTCTCAAGAATGATTTAACATTATTCACTATTTTAATAAGTGGTTGGGTATAGTAACATGGTTCATTCACTGTCTACCCCAATCTCTCTTTTGTATGACATCCTATACCATAAAGGCTGGAAAGTTCAGAATCTTCATTTCCTAGGCTCCCTTGCAGCCAGGGTCTTCAATGTGAATTACGTTTGACAATCAGACAGATGCATTTGTGTGAGACTTGTTTTCAGAATACAGTTGGTGGCACCTGAGGCAGCCATTTTGCTGGGGTAGCTTGTAGCAGACACAGTGAGACTCTGGAGCTGGTAGTCCTTTTATCGGTTTTCTGATCCAGAGGTGAAAGATAGGAAGGTGTGTTCCTGGAGCTAAGAATTGTGGTGGCAGGCTGTCATTCCCAGATCACCTTAAGATGACATGCTCACAAACTGTGGGATGGGAGCATGACTTCCTGACTGTGACAGAGGGGGCAGATCCCTGGGTGGGCCAGTTTTGCAGTATGGTTCCGGGAGCCACTACTAGACAGCTTGCTCCTCCAGCTTTCTACTGATTTGTATGCAGCCAATTCCCTGTATAAAACCCTCTTCTGTTTTCTGCAACTGAAATTTGTCTGATAAAAGTGATTAAAAAAGAAAAAAGTTATGCATGATTTTCTCCAAATATACTGAAAAGGCATTCAATAGATCTCAACATCCATACTTGATTTTTAAAAAAAATCACAATAAAGGGGAAAGATGGGTATTTCCCAAAAGCCAGCAGTCTGCTCAATGAGGAAACACTAATGCTCAATGAGCATTGCTGTTAAAATGAGCAGCAAGACAATTGTATCTACAGTCATCACTATTATTTGGTGTAGTTCTGGAGGTTTAACCAATGCAATTAGACAAGACAAAGACATGAGTTATAAACATTGGAAGAGTGGTACAATATCACTATTTACAGATCACTGTATGCCTGGAAATCCCAAGAAACTCAATTATACATGTGTTGTGAACAATGTGAGAACTTGTGGAATGGATGGGTACAAAATTAGTGTGCAGAAAGGAATCACCTTCATCTATACAAACAACAAGCAGTTAGAAAACATAATAGAAATAAAGACCCAATTTGACATAGTGAAAAAAAAAAAAAACTGAATGTAAGCTCCATTCTGGAAAGGACTTTGCCTGCCTGCTCACTGTTATGGTTTTTGAATATGTGAAAGAATACAATGAAAACATAAATATTTTAAGTAGACAAGCTGGTCTATAGCTTATAATAAAAAGTAAAGAAAAAATCCAGAAATTTTCAGAAAAAATAAACCAATAACAGTGAGGGGCATGCTCTAATAAACACTTAATGGAATACACTCGCTTTCCCCAAGTAGAAACATTTGACAATTGAGTAAATGATAAAAATAGCATTTTAAATAGTAATTCTTTCAAAGAGAACTCATGCAAGGTTAACTTCATACCCATGCATGTCTGAAAATGCCTTTATTTTTACATCTGTTGGAGAGTTTGGCTCAGCAGAGAACTCTAGACAGAGTAAAAATTCTCTTCAGAATATTTAAGATATTGTTCTCTTGTTTTTCCTATTTACTATTGTCACTGAGAAGTCAGATATTAATCTGATTCTTGTCCCATCTGTAGCTAATCTGTTTACTCACTTTGAAAACTCCTAAAAAAACAAAATTAAATCAGGCCATTTAGCTACTTATTGCCAGAGGTTTAAGCAGGACCCAAAGCCTACCAAATCTACTAGGGCACTGAAGTGTTCTTCCCATCAAATCTCTATCGCAATTTCTACTTAATGAGAATAATAGGATGCCAAAAATATAAGCAAAATTAATCATCAATCAGTAAGGCTCAACTTCTTTAATGACTTCCTACCAGTGGAATTTGAGAACCTCACCTTTCTTAAACTATATAAAATTGCATTTCAGTTTTTATCCACCAGATGTCACCTGAGCAACAGTAGAAAACATGCAGTTCATATTTGATTCTTTCCAAAAGAAAAAAATATTTTCATCTTTTAGGCATGAAAATTAGAATGTTCTTGTTATAATATATCAGTAATAGAAGTAAGAGCAAACCAGTTGAAATCCTGGCAGATAAATAAAAACACTTACTTTCATATTAAGACTCACAAATACAGTCAACTGACATTTAGCTTCTTAAATGGATTGTTCCCAAAATTTTATACTAAATCTAATAATTATTTTTAGCAAAAATGGTTAGAATAGTTTTTAATGCTACCAATTTCTATGTGATACAAATAGTTTTTTAAAAAAACACCTCAATTACTTATACCAGAATATAAATCAAAACAATAAATACTAGCAACTTTGAAGTTCATGAACTAATTTTTACCTGCAATCTCATTCAACCTTCATTAGTTATTCCCTAATGTATTTGAACAGACTTCTTAAATGACCTGTAAAACCCTGCATGATATGGTCCCTGACCACTTTTCCTGCTTCTCTCTCCATCTTTCCTGGTTCTCTAGCTACCCTGGGCTTTTTTAGCTCTCATAACATGCCAGCATCCCTTAGCCTGTATTAGTGGTTATGTCTGGAGGGAGCCTCTAACCCTCGCTTCCTGACACAATTCGAATGTCAGTTCCTAGGGAAGCCTTTTTTGGCCACCTCCACCCACATCTAGATTTGGATCCCATCTAATCTGATTTTTCCCCTTTATAACAGTTGTCATAATTCATTATCTATTTGTGTGATTATTTGATTAATATTCTTTCCCTTCTAGAGGACAACCTCCATGGGGCACCCCTGTGTCTCTGCTATTCAGCACGGAGTCCATAGGAGCACTTAATAAATATTTGTTGAAGGAAAGACTTCCTGAATATAGGTTATAATGTTTATACTCCTCCCCCATTCAAATGCAAACTCCACAAGAGATGATGTTTGTTCCATTTACTATTGCATATCTATGCCTGAGGCAGCCCATCTTAGACATCAATTTGAATTTTTTAGATGGATCCATGAAAAAATAAATGAGTATGTATTTTCTAAACTAAAAATTAGGACATATTTGGACAAGTATTTGGAATGAGGGTCAGCTTCAGATATATGGGACAGATAACTTCTAAATATGAGAACAGTTAAATGTCATTTCTTAATAACTATTTTTGTTCCATTGGTGAAGTGAGATGGAGATGACAAAAACACTGGTCATCTAAGGCAAGTCCTAGGTATATACATTTCGCTTATTTTTTTTTCAATAGTAATTTTTTTTTATTATCCTCACTCACTCAGGAATCAACCAAAAACATGACATTGAGCCATCTTTCCTAGGGAAATTACAGGATTTTTCAATTGGGATGGCTCAATGTAGTTATTGACTGTATCTCACAGGTGGGTGGAAGGATGAAGCACTCTTCAATCCAGGGAAGGGCTTGGATAGATTTTTTATTTTATTTTATTTTATTTTATTTATTCATTTATTTATTTATTTATTTATTTATTTATTTATTTATTTATTTATTTTGAGATGGAGTCTTGCTCTGTTGCCCAGGCTGGCGTGCAGTGATGTGATCTTGGCTCATTGCAAGCTCCACCATTCTCCTGCCTCAGCCTCCCCAGTAGCTGGGACCACAGGTGCCTGCCACCAAACCCGGCTAATTTTTTGTATTTTTTTTAGTACAGACGGGGTTTCACCATCTTAGTCAGGATGGCCTCGATCTCCTGTCTTCGTGATCCACCCGCCTTGGCCTCCCAAAGTGCTGGGACTACAGGCGTGAGCCACCGCGCCCGGCTGGATAGATTTTTTTTTTTAGCCACTGCCACAACATGGCACAGGGACCCTGACTGGTGTAATTCAGTTATTCCATAAACATTATTTATTCATTCAAACAGCTTTTAATTAGACGATCATTATGTGCCAGTTACAGTGCTTGCTGCTAGGGCTACAAAGCCAAATGAGGCATGGTCGTTGCTCTCAAGCAGCTATCTTGTCAGGGAAGACAGGTCAATAGACCAATAGCTGAAGTCCAGTTTGGCTCAAATAAATACAATGCACAGGGTATTATAGGAATATGCAGTTTGGTATAAATTAGAGTAGTGGGAAGGGGTCTTCAGCAGGGCTTCCTTAAAGAAGTGACACCCAAGCTTAGTTTTCAAGGACCAGACGCAGTTAGCTGTATTAATTCCACTATTAGCAGTAGTAATAGTGGAAAGGAAGACAGCTTCTTAGGAGAGAAAACCTGAGATAGAGAGCACGGAGAAATGATATACAATAGTTTGTTTAGGGAACTAGAAGAAATTCAGCATGGCTATAACAAAGCATGATGCCATTTGATGTAGCAGCGAGGAGACTCTCACTGAATTTGAGAGAGCTGACCGGTTCATTCATCTACTCCTCACTCTCACAACCTGAGCCCCAATGAATAATTCTTTCTTTGCACACAAGACAAAACTAGAGATAGTAGAAAAGAAATTTTTAGTATGAACGACAGTTATGGCAAATGCAGTCTTACAAATTGGCATGAGCTTCTATTACTAGTTTTCTAGGAAAAATAATTGAAGCTTGTCATAGAGACCAGGCAAAGGCTCTAATAAGAATACTTTGCATCTGCAGTGAGATGCTTTTGCACCCGTAGAAACCAGAGCCTAAAGGAAAGGCTTATGTGCTGCTATCTGTTTTGGGAGTTACATTCCCAGGGAAACAGAAGTGAGGGAAAAGGGGCAAACATGAGGGAAGTTTGAGTCAGCCTCTTGTTGGCAACAAGTATAGTTCATGTTGCATCTCATGGGATGTGCTCAGTAAGGCCAAATGAACTTTACATATCAAGGCAGCCCACCAGGGGAGAGGAAGGGAAAACAATTTATCTGCCAGTCCATTTCATTCTACATATGCCCCTGGTCAAGAGTCTGCCCATGGGCATTAACTCCCCGGGAAGATGTGACCCGGGCTTTCCAGGTCCCCAGGGGAAGCTAAGGTTATACTACTTGAAGTGGGCATTGCCACTCATTACCTTTGAGCCCATTTTATATTTGGAGAGTTTCCTGATTTCTGAGAGTTCGTTCTTCAAAGATGAAGTCAGAAACTCTCCTGACATCTTCAATTTGAGGATCTAGTGTCCAGGTTCTGCCAATTAGACCCATCTTATTGAGACCTCCATGCTGGAGTGAGTGAGGCATCTCACAGAATCCATCATGGCAGATAGAGGGAGAGGCTCTACCTTCCAGAGATGTTGCCAGAGGTTCTAGGCAGAGTTTCCAGTGTCCGCCACTCGGGGCAAAAGCTGGGTTGTCTGTGCCCAGGCACAGCAGCAATAGAGTGCCCCCTGGAACCATCTGTGTAACTTTCATATGGCTCCCAGCCTCAGAGCAGCCATGGTTTATTCTGTAGCCCTCACTGAGATTCCAAGAACTGCTTAAAATCTTTAATACAATTCCTTTTGCTGCCTAAACTACCTAGGGGGAGTTTCATTGTCTGAAATCAAGAACTCTGAAAGATTCATGTAGCCTAAAAATAAATTTTGGGTTGCCTTCAAGTTATGACATGCTTCTAATCCTAAATCTGCTTGCTTATGTGAAACAGATTCCATTAATTTTTATACTATATCCTAGAACCATAGAATTCTTGAATTTAGATGTAGAAGTGTCCTTTTAGAGCCCATTTTATTTTATCATTCACCTTCGGCTTTGAGCGAATTTTCATATCACAACCATTTGAGGGAACCAAGTTTCTCACAAAACCAGAAAAAAGGTAATTTATGTGGGCTGAAATGTCTTTGTGCCAGTCATGAGTAGGGCTGAGAGGACACCCTTGGGTAATGTTATTTACGTGAGAGACAGGTGAAGGGCCTGCAGGATGTAACCTAATTTAGTCAGACATTTCTGGCACAAAAAAACCAGTGACCTATAAACCAGTACTTTCCTGCAATTTCTAGTGAAACCAGGTCACTATTTCCAGCCTTTACTTTGTTCCCTGGACTCTTAGCATTGAGCTATGTCATGAATTTCCTTTTGATAAGGGTAATTAGTAAATTTATGGGAAAAATTTAAGTAAAAGCTCACAAGAATCTTTGGAAAGTGTCACTCTATAAAGTGTTCAGTTATGTCCCAGTAAGTCATGGCTGTATTATACTAGGATCACAAATTCTTAGAATTGTTATGGTAGTTTTTGTTCTTTTTAGTACATTGAGAAGAATCTGGTGAAACTTTCCTTTGATTCAGTTTAATTTCCCCCTCAGGTAGAAGGCTATAATGACCCAATGGGCCACCAGTTTGATATTTGATTCTGAACAATTTATTCACCAAGAATGGCTGCCTGAATGAGTAAGTATAGATGTTAAATTGGACTTGGTATCAGAATCACCAAAGGATAGTATTGCCCCTCTCCTTCCCCAAGGTTTTCATATGCTACCCTTTAGATCAGGATGGGAAAGAAACAGGATCCTATATTGGGTTTAGCTGAGGCTGATCGAAGCATTTTAATGCAAAATGCATTAGCTGGCAAGATGGCACTAAGCAGAATATATATATATATATATATATATATAGAGAGAGAGAGAGAGAGAGAGAGAGAAATAATATGTAGAAATTATCTTAGTTATAATAGGGGAACACAAAACAATAATGGTTCAAAAGCCTGTCTAATAGTTTTCTAAGGATATGTTCCTTTAAAGCAAACCATTCTGTGATTACATTTTTGGGAATGTTCTACTCTCCCATCCCTCTCTGCCAATGGCCCCTGGAACAAGTTTAAGGCTACATGTCCTAGACCTACGAAGTACGTGGCACTAAACTGAGACTCACCTTTAAGAGGAGTGGCTGTTCATGAACAATGTGGATCCTTCAATGTGTTTGGGGCCAAAACGAGATTGAGGAGCATTAACTTAAAACAATTTGAGGATAGGCCTTATAATATTTGGCTTTCCTTTCCCTTTAATTTCAAATGATAACTGTGTCTACTTTCACTACACTTGAATCCTTAATTTGAAACTCTATTCTCAGTAGGGTGTGGAATTGACTACTGTACCTCTCTATGCTTCACCATAAATACACAAACACATTCACACACACATGCACACATTTATACAGCACATTCAAACATAAAAGAGTGTATGGTGATGAGTTAGTTGACCTCCCTGCCTTGGAATCCATTCCCCTCTCTAGAAGTAACTATTGTTACAGGTTTCTTTTTTTTCTTTTTTTTTTTTAATAATTCTAGAGATATTGTTTCCTACATAAGCAAATACATGTGTAGGCATTTATATATACATATATCTTCTTTTTACACAAATATTTACATAATACATACACTGTTTACACATGCTTTTTAAATTTAAATATATCTTAGAGATAATTCTATATCAGCACACGATTATTCTTTTTTGATGGCTGCAACATATTTGTGAGAGAAAACCTGACAATCTCTTAGCTTAACTGTAGTTATGTTACTTTTTCCTTAGTCTCACGTAATTGTCAACTCTAATTATGTCAACCCATAATTAGAGATTGTGGCAGCATTTGCAATTAGTCAAATAGCAATCACCTGTAGAAAAGCATTTTGTTGTCCATCTATCTGACTCTGACTTCCTTTTATTTGGTCCAGAACTTGGGTGGGAAGAGGGATTTTCTATAGAAAATGACTTTCTATAGGTGATTGGAAGGTACTTTGCTAAAAGTGAGATATTTTTTAGTTTTCCCTGTATTTTTAAAGCCTCTTTTTAAAAGAAAGACTTAAAACTCCATTTTTCCCAAATACCTTCCCTCCTCTTGGCACCAATTGTTACTTCATCTAAATATGTGTAGGATTAGTTTTACATTATCCCCAGGTCTTTTTAATAGGATTGTGTTTCCTGTTTTCACTCAGTTAGATGACCAGAGAGTATACAAGGGTCTAAAGGCAAGCCAGAGTTTTGGAAGGATAGAGGAAGAATCCAAGCTACATCTCTGTCCTAGCCCAAGAAGTTCTTTAGCTATATTGGCCTCAGAAAATCTGCCTTTGGAACTTTTGTTGGCATAATGTTTTGGTAAAACCAATCTGATATTCTTCTGGTCTATTTCTTTAGATTTAATAAGATTTTTCTAATGAGATCACAGGCATTGCAGTAATTGAAGGCTCTGTCAAAGTCTCATTCAAAGTCTGGGAAAGTGACAGTGAGAGGAGTCTGCTGTGTTACCCTTCCCTCACCCCACCACCAGCAATTAACAACCAACAATGGCTCTCTTTCCTCATACCAGCAGATTTGATGATAACAAAGAGAAGCTAGTAGTGATTCCACCTATTTCTGCTGCCAAAAAGCCTCGCAAGCCTATAACAACACCCTTTAGTACAAGGAAAAGGCCAGAAAATAAAAACTTTATAGTGAATAACTCTTCTTTGAAAGAACCAGCAATACCACTTTTAGGTGTTGCGGCGAGATGGTCAGCTATCCTGTAAACATTATGTTCCCCATTCCACGGGTAGGGTAGTCTTGGGAATGAGGCTGCCCAATCAACGTCCATATTTCTTAGCTGGATAACATTTAAGTGTACTACTGTTTCTCACCAATAGAAGGTAAGTGGAAGTAATGTGTGAAATTTCTGAGCCAGAGAGATTAAAAAGCTGGTGTATCTTCGCTTTTTCTTTCTTCGCCTTCTGGCTAGATGTTGACAAACAGGCTGATCTTGAACAGGGGCAGAACATCCTTCAGACTGGATCTTTGGATGGCCCTGTGAAATGGTTGTCTCTCCCTGTTCCCCACATCGACTTGGGCTTTACATTAAGTGAGAAATAAATTTTCATTATGTTAAGCCATTGACATTTCAGAGTTTATTTACCACATCAGCTAGTATTTGTTAACTCATCTAGATATCTACCACTGAAAAATTCTGATACAAGGAAACATACAATAAAATTAATTGTAGTGTTGCTCACTCTGAGGATAAAATGGGAAAGAACAACTGTGGGTTATTCATATGATTAAATACTATACAGTAGTTAAAATGACTAGATCTATGTATGTATCAACATGGAAAAATCTGAACAATAACATGGAGTGAAAAAGGTGGGTTTCAAAAGGATGTGTGCAGGATGAAGCCATTTTACAAAATTGTAAAACACATAAAACAATATAAGATTGTTTACAGACATATAACTATACAGTAAAATTACCAAAACATGTATAGGAAGGATACATTAAGCTTAGTGGGTAGCCCTAGGGGAAGAAGAAGAAAATGAGGTGTGGGATGGAAGAAAGCTTTAGCTATAATGTTAACTTTTATTCATTTTTAAAAGGAGAGTTCTGAGTATGGACAAATTTTAATGTTGGAATTTGAGGAGTCCCTCAAAATAGCACCCTTCTTCTCACCTAAGTTCTGGACCAAATAGAAGGCAGTCAAAGTCAGACAGGTGGTCAACAAAATGCCACATTTATTACTAGCTAAATAGATGATGCAAATGTGGCTCAGATCTGGAATTCAAAATATTGGACCCATAGAAATACACAGGAGTGCTCATCCAGTCACCAACAGGGCTAGCCCTCCCACACAGGGGCCTTTGAAATGTAGCTTGTCACATGGCAGAAAGCAATGAAGAACATATGTACCCTGTGGTCAAGCATGCTGTCAAAAGGAAGAAAACAGCAAGAGAAATGAGTAGTTATTGCTCCCAAACCTTAGAGTGCATTAAAATGCACCCCATCCCCACCCCAACAGTTAGCATCTCCTTAATCTTGGAGGTGGTTACATAGGCATCTGTTACATTATTTTTCTTTACTTTTTTGTTTGTTTGAAATATTTCCTAGTTAAAAATTTAAATTAGAAGACTCTTTAGTGTAAATGCCTCCCAAGTGTCCAGGAGCCCTCCTGTGATACAGAAATCATGCTTCAATGTCAATACTTCTTTTGCATTAAGGCTCATAGTGAAAAACAAAAGCACTAAGACCAAGTATCTTTGCTGGGCATTGTCAAAATGAGTTCTTCAAATGCTCTGGAGTTTGTCCAGTGGATCTAGGCACTTCACTTTAGGAAAATAGCCAAGTGGACCATAATACTGTCTAGATTCAGATTTATGTTTAAATGACATTTCTCAACTGAGAGACCCGAGTGAAATGGTTGAATGTTTATGGACTCTAAAGTCAGACCTAAATAAAAATCTAGGCTCTCCCACTGACCTACTAGCTATGTGAATCTTCACACATCACTTAACTCTGAGTTTCTGTCTGTTTTCTTACCTGCCTGGTCAGGTTGTTCGCAAGGTTTAAATGAAGTAATGGTTCCTGGCACTGGGCAGAGACTGTGCAGTTGACAGGTAGAGCCCAGAGTCTTCCTATGTATGTGTGTGTTCTTTAGAGATGGTCTCAGGGCATGCTCTCCATGCAAACAATACATGTCGCTCCGTGAACACTAATCTTTCTTATCCACCAAATAGGTAAAAGCTATTCTATAAACTCCATTTAGAAAATGCATTTTGTTACATGATTAGAACAAATGTCCAATATTTAATTTGTTTCAGTAAAATCTGGGTAGAATCCTCTTTCAGTTCAATAAAAATATAATCCTACTGGAAGACATACTTCTCATCTGCCCCGCATATCTCACTGGAATCTGTATCTTAATGAAATTCTGAATTCTTGCTAGAGTTAATGTTTCCTAGATCTGTCCAGATAGGTATAAAATAATCTACATGAAGAATATTAAAGATGGGTCAGGACTATTATTTCAGAGATCTTGCTTGACATTTAGAACCACCAGATTTAAATCTGGATTAAATTTATTTGCTTACTTTATAATTGTCTGTTTGCCTCCACTAGTACATAAGCTCTGTGCAACCTTGGAATTTCACTTAGTACATAATAGGTACTTAATAAGGCATTGTTGAATAAATGAATTAAAAGATTTTCACTATTCAACTATAAAAATAATGTCTGAGCTAGAAAATAAGGTTGGCATTCAGACTAAGTGTCTTTCATTTAAATGCAATAAGAGTTTTTCTCTAAATTCAATAAATTATTTTAACTTTCCCCCTTTTTCATCTCTAAAGTTAAATCTAGAACCTTTTACATGTATGAACTGCATACATTTACATTGTATGTACACGAGTCCATTTTTAATGATAATATCCATATGCTACTGCCTAATGCATGAGATATGTTTTGTCCTAGGAGTGGATCCTGAAAAATATGATGTCTGCTGAACAGCAGCCTTAGTTCATCTGTGTGTAGGTAACTTAAGGGGCTGTTTAGGTCTGTCATTCTATTGTGGAGTGTTTGTCTAAGTTTAGTAACAGTACAGATGAATGTCTGTTAGAGGTCTTTCCAAGGATAAATGACATCATTTCTTCCATGTGACAAGTCTATTTTTATTTTTTGTGAAAATATTGGAGAACTAGTTTAAGGTACAAGGCTATTTTCCCTACTAGGCTTTGTATGTTAATAGCTTCTCATGCATTTTTTAGAAACTACAAAGGGAACTATAAACAAAATGTTCAAAGAGTGTTTATAAGTGATTTTTGTTCTCTTCTGAAAGAGGGACTTGACTTTTTAACCATGATCCCAGAGACATTGAAGGGAAAAATTACCCCCAGGTATTTAAGTGAGCTCAGCACTTGGGAATTTCATTTTTTTTTTGCTGGCCTTAATGGCAGGTAGATGAAGATTGACAAGAAATAATGTAATTACTAGTTAAAATATACCTCCCATAGACTTTCCAAGTATGTTGCCTAAATGGTAGGAGATAGGACCCATGTAGGAGAATGCATTTCAAAAGCACATTCTGAATAGTTCTACTACTTGACACTTATTTTTTGCATTCTGACCGCATATTGCTCTTTGACCTAAATTAATTTTCCCTAAAAATTTCTTATTTTCTACTTCAGACATGTTTTATAGTTGTAGGGTAAAAATCCTGCTGGTTCATTCATTCATTCATTTAATGATGATTTATTAGCTACCTATTATATAAAAGAAGATATTCCAGGTTCTCATAGAGCTTATGTACTAATGGAGGGAGATGCACAAAGATTAAGGAGGCAAATGAAGAAACAAGATAATTTCAGCTAGTGATGAGGGCTATGAGTGAAATAAAATGGGAAGATGTGATGGAGAGTGTGAGTGGGTGGTCTTGAGAGAAGGTTGGTTGGGGAAGTGCCATTTGAGCCAAGACCAGCATGTGAGCAGGAGTCAGCCCTGTGAAGATATACGGACACACTCTTCCAGGCAGAGGGAAGAGACGAAAGCAGGTGCAAACATCCGAAGGCAGAGCATGCTTGGCATGTGCTAGGAATGAAAGAAGGCTTATGAGCTTGGCTCAAGGGAGTGAGGGGAGAAGAGTGGCAGATTAAGGTCAGAGAAGGAACTAGAGCAGGATCATGGAATTTGGACTTTATGCTAAAATAAGAAGCTGCTGGAAGATTTTAGTCAAGGGAGGTACCTAATCTGATTTGTGTTTTCAATCTGATTTGTGTTTTCAAAGATTACTCTGCATACTGTATGGAGAATAGATCCATTTTAGCCTTGTATTTTGCACTGACACCAATTAAACCAGTATTTCTACCTGGGTCAGTAAAATAATTATTATTTTTATTTTATTATGAATCTAGATTAGTTTATGATCTCTCCCATTATTCTTTTTTATCTTTACACTTGACTTGCAGAAATAGCAGGGCTTTTTTAGGTAATAATCTTTCCTATCCTCAGAGAACATGCCCAGAATGACCTAGAACAGGGGAAAAATCAGCCCATTGCTTCGTGCATTCCTAGCAAACATATTTGTTTGTCTGACCTGGAAAACCCATGCTACAACTGTGCCAAAAACCAAGACCTTTTGATAGGTCAGCTATACATGATTAATTAAAGTGACTCTGTAGTTTTCCTGGAAAGTAGAAGCCTTATTCTACCAAGCTACTGCCCTCATGATACAGGCCTAAAACATGTATGGATTTTCTAAGAGAGAGGCTTCAGAATTATGATGGAAGGATAAACTATTTGGAATATGACTGTATCAGGCTCTTAATGGATGGGAGAGGTTTGTTCTCCAAGACATCAGGGTGAACTTTTATAATAATAGTGAGAACAATAGTAAACACTTACTAAGCATTTAGGTTTCGCCAAGCCATCATTTAAATCAGGTGTCAGCAAACTTCTTCTGTAAAGGACCAGATAGTAAATATTTTCAGTGCTGTGAGCCATATGATCTCTGTCACAAGTACTCAACTCTGTTGTAATGAGAAAGCAGCCACAGATATTATGTAAGGGATGAATGTGCCTGTGCTCCAATAAAACTTTATTTCCCAAAACAGATGGTAGGATTTGTGGGATTTGGCCACAAATTTGGCCCACGGGACATAGTTTGATGACCTCTGATCTACATGACTGACATATATGAAATTATTTGATCCTCAAAATACCCTGATTGTTATTATTATTTTTAATTTACAGGTGAGGAACTTGTGGTTGAGAGAGGTCATGTAACTGGCCCCAGACAGTGTAGCTCAGACATTGTAGAGCTGAGGTTCACACTCACACAGTGTGGCTCCAGAAGCCAAGCACTGACTCACTGTGAATGTGGCTGGGCCAGGGCTAGCCCATACTTAGTCACCCATAGACTTAATTGACACATTTATGTTATCTGGTCTCTTTATCTGTAAGATGTCTACCTCATAGGATTGTTAGAGAATAAAATGTTGGGGAATGAAATGAACCGACAGCACAATTCTTGTATCAGCACCGTGCTTTGGAGGAGTTGTCAAGTCACTCCGCATTTGTGTGTCCTTTTGGTATAATATTTGAGGAAATACCTGAAGTCTCTGGGCTACACTGAGCACCTGTGACTGGGTATGTGTGTTGGCCTTGGCAGTTCCTAGAAGAATGGTAGTATTATCAGTCCGTGGTTTTTCTACTTATGTTTTTTCCTCTATATACTTCATGCAATTATTTTGAGGACCAAATAAAAGGGAAAGAAATACAGAGAATTGTGGAGAATTAAGAATTTCTGTGATAACAGAAATTCTGAAGCATGTTGTATGCATATAGTGAGAACATTTATGCTTCACTTTCTTTCTCTAAAAATATGGATAAGTATGTGTTATTTAAAAGCCATGCCAGGAACTCTTTGATTTTTAAAAGATTAATAACAACATTTGGAGTTAAAGTTTAATATTATTTTAGAGAGCATACTTTTTATGATAAAATCCACTTCATCTGTGTTAAGAAGCTAAGTCAAAGAGGAAGTCCTTTGGATTACTTTTTTGAATCTAAAGGTCCCTCAGTGCTCACTCTCTATACATCATTTGTACTTCCATAGGGCTCCCTTTTTATATATGTCTCTTGAAAAAACACTATTGTGTGCAATGGAAATATATTTTGTGCAGAGCTTCTATTTATTATTTTTTGTTTTTGCTTTGAAATAATTATAATTATTATAACTATTGTGAATAATTATAGATTCATGAGAAGTTACAAAAAATGTGTAGACAGGGATGTCCCGAGTACCCTTTATCCGGCTTCCTCCATTTGTATCATCTTGCATAACTGTAGCTCAACATCAAAACCAAAAAATGGACAACGGTAAAACACACAGAGCTTATTCAGATTTTACCAGTTTTATATGTCCTTAATTGTGCATGTGTGTGTGTGTGTGTACATAGTCCTATGCAATATTATCACATGTGTAGATTAGTATAACCATGACCATAATCAAGATACAAAACTGTTTCATCCACACAAGGCTCCCTCATGCTATCCTTTAATAGTCAAGTCCCCACTCCCTAAACACTAATCTGGCAACTGTTAATCTGTTCTCCATTTCTATAA
This sequence comes from Homo sapiens, assembly GCF_000001405.40. Lineage (NCBI taxonomy): Eukaryota > Metazoa > Chordata > Mammalia > Primates > Hominidae > Homo > Homo sapiens. The sequence goes on from NC_000005.10 coordinate 115,322,758, forward strand.
TTTTGTTATGTTAAGAATGTTACAATAAATGGTGTCACACTTTATGTACCCTTTCGATATTGGCATTTTTCACTCAGCATGATTCCTGTTAGATCCATGCATTATCTATCTTGTTGCATGTATCAATAGTTTGTTCTTTTTATTGCTGAGTAGTATTCCATGGTATGGATGTACCACAGTTCGTTTAACCATTCATCCACTGAAGGATGTCTGGGTTGTTTACAGGTTTTGGATGTTATGAGTAAAGCTGCTATGAATATTCATGTACAGGTTCTTGTGTGAACATGAGTTTTCATTTCTCTGAGATAAATGTCCAAAAGTGCAATTGCTGAGCTGTATGGTGTGTTAGTTTGTTTTCTGTTGCTATAACAGAATACCTAAGACTGGGTAATTTATAAAGAAAAGAAATTTGTTTCCTCTAGTTCTGGAGGCTGAGAAGTCCAAGATCATATCACTGGCATCTGGTGAGGGCCTGCTTGCTGTGTCACAACATGGTGGAAAGCATCACATAGCAAGAGGGCAAGAGCATGTGTGTATGGTAGCCCAGGTTTCTCATCCTGTTCTTATAAAGCCACCAGTCCCATCATGAGAGCCCCATCCTGATGAGCTTATCTCATCCTAATCATCTCCCCAAGTCCCACTTCTAATCATCATATAAACTTGGGGATTACGTTTCCAATACATGGAATTTGGTGGATACATTCAAACCATAGCATATGGTATGTGCATGTTTAGTTTTAAAGAAACTGCCAAATTGTATTCCAGTGTGACTGTACCATTTTATTTCTATTTATTTTCTAAAGTATATGTTAAATAATAAAACACTTTTGTTATTTAATATTAACTGCAATATTTATTATGTGTATTTTAAAATTTAATCAAGTTGTTTATTTTACCACTTGGTAAATTACAAAATTCATCTTAGAGATTTATTTTTAATGTAAAATTAACCTAATAGAGGAAGAGAATGTAATCCTCTTAGTGTTCTTCTGCTATTGAATATACGTTATGTAGTTGATCTTTATTGATGTTTACCTCTTTAGTCTTATAAAAAAGCTGTTGCACTCCAAGGATATACAGAATGTGTTTTTTTCCTCTTTTCATAAATAGAGAATATAAATAAAGTGAAACCAAAAGATTCTTCCAATAACATACAGTTTAAGAGGAGAAGCCCTTATTGGGTTGGCTCAAAGTAAAATTTAAAAACCACAGAAGAACTTGATTTTTGTCTCTTCTCTTCCTTTATATTGTATGTAGGTAGATCAAAAGATCAAATTTCAAGAACTTTAAAAAAAGTCAGAATGTGCTTAGAAATAAAGGTAGGATTCTATATATAAGGAGCAAACAGAAACTAGGACAACGGGTGACACAATTTCATGGACTGCAGAAGAAAAAGAGTCCATGATCAACTGCAATATCCATGACTCAACTGACAAATATTTGTTGAGAACCCACTATATGCCAGACACTGTAATGGGAGCTGTGGGGAGATGGGAGTTTAAAGATTTAGGATAAGAAATATAATGCCACCCAAACCCTTCCTGTCTAGCTGGGAGGCAGTGGATCATGCATGAAGAGACTGGAGAGTGATACAGAAAGGCAGATACTTAATGACAATGGCTGACATGCACTTGATTGTGGGCCGAACACTGGGCAGAGTTTTGCAGATGTTACTCAATCCTCACAACAACTCTGTGAGGTCACTCTCAGCATTACCATTTTACAGATGAGGAAACTGAGGACTGAGGAGTTAAAATATAACATGTTATTTACAACAGTCATTTTCCATGTTCACTGAAAGAGTCTTTCTCATCTATATTATCTTTCCTGTCTTGAAGATGGAATGGACACATTCTCTCTCTTACAAATGTGTAGGCTGAGCTGGGAGGCAACTATAGGATACAATCTTCTCTGGCCAAATGTAGCACCAAGGCTTACTCTAGCCACTGCATATTGAACTTCTCTGAGCTCCAGGAAGCAGGGATTACAACCCAGATCCTTTCCACTCCTCCATCTTTGTTTTCCACCTTTCTTTTGGCCAAAACCCCTTGTCAAACATTTTACACTGAAGAAAAGGAAAAGCAAGGAATTTCTTTGAAAAATAAAGTAGGGAAGGAGTCAGTCCCACCTGTTCTCACCACTTCCCTCCCATGGAGGCCCCTGAAGGGCTCATATTTAAGAAGCTCCTGCACCAAGCCCTGCTGACTCTTGTTTTTTCTCTGAACCTAGGAGGCACAAAACCATTATCCTTTTGGCTGCAATGGAATGAGAGTCCTGTTGAGAAAATGGAAGTGGTACCCAGGTGAGCAGGGTGAAGGAGGTCACACCTCACTTACTTGAGTACTTGGAAGGCCCAGGTGCCCAAAGGGTCCCACCTCATCTGCTCCTCTTCTTGCTAACACCGGGATTCCACAATTAGAGCATTGATGTTAAAATGCAGGTGTTTTTAAAGGAGTAAAAGTTTAAGCTATAGTCAGTCTGTCATTTGCACCTAAATCTTAATTAAAATTTTGAAAGTTGTTAACAGCTGGGAGAAAGAAGCAAAAGATTGCCCAAACTGGGAAACCAGGCTAAAAAATATCCCTCAGCTTCACAATATTTTTGAGATCCAGACTTCAATGTGATATTGTGTCCAGAAACCTTCCTGCCTGATTCAAGTAGGTGAAACCATATCAGAGCAGAGGCAGTTCAAGGCACAAACAAGCTGCACAAAGCATTTGCTTGGCTTTTGTACTGGGCTTTAAATAGAAAACACAACGGCTATGTCCAGATTTGAGAATTTCATATGGAACATGAGGTCATCCAGCCGCTTTTTAAAACAGGCAAATCTTTTAAAGTAGATTTTATTGCTTCCAAAATAATTTGGTATTCTTTGGAGGCTTGCTTTCTTTTATACCATGTGGTTTTCTTTTGGCTTCTTAGATTAAAAGAATATGATAAATATATTCAACATTTAAAAAACAAACCCAAAGTTATGCATGTTCAAGAGAGAGAACTTTCACCCTTGCGTTTCTGATGTCAGTCTTTGATACTCTGCCAGGATTTGATTTTGAGCCATTAATCCATTGGGATGATATAAAAATCTATGTCCTCTGCCCCATGACCCACAGCTGGAGGCATTCAACAGAAAAACTAACATTACAGATGATGTTTCACAGAGCCCACTGGCAGCTTTCAGGGTCAGAGGTTCTAAAAAGAGGAAAATTTTATAGAGAGTTTCTATGTAAAGATTCTTAGCAAGTCTCTCTCTTTTGACTATTCTGATCCACTCATCTTTCCTTTTTGTAGAGTGAAAAGAGATTAGAACAAGATAGACTGAACACATATGCCTACCTCTCCAAATCCTTTCAATTAACAGAATACATATTTTATAAATAAATAAATGCATATAATGCCGGAAAACAAGAATGACTGCCATTAATGTACTAGGAATTTTGAAAGTTACCTGAAAAACAGAAAGAACTTAGGATTGGGTTGATAAAGGAAATCATAGCAGCCCAGACCACTGCTGGGAGGACTGCTGCAGAGGTGGGAGCTGTTCTGGTACGTCCAAGCACAGAGACGCTGGACTCCAGATGTGAACAAATGAGACTCACACACTATGGGGAGTTTGTGACTTACTGGAAACAATGTATTAAAAAATTCAATTTCTATATATTTTCCCTAGAAAAATACATGTATACATGCACAAAGAGTATGAGTAAGTTATTCATTGTAGGATTGACTGAATTATGATACAATCATGTGATATGTTTACAACAGTGGGAAATAAAAAAACTACTGGCATTTAAAATCCTGTACTAGCATGTACAGATGTCTATGACACTGTGCTAAGCTTTAAAAAAGCTTTTAAAAAGTAGTAGAATTAACCCTAAAAGCCTAATTCTGCTTATCTTAAATTCCAGTGGTTAATTTTCTGTATGTAAATCTATAAATATATGTATGTATTTGTGTAAATATATATAAAATTGTCTGGAAGGATATATATATATATATCAAACTGTTAGCCATGATTACATTCTTTTTTAACATGCTTCTGTGTAGATTGAATTTGAAGAAATAGAATATACTTATGTATTGTGTGATTTTTTAAAAAAAATTAAAGTTTTAAGGACATAGAGGAAACCAACTATTGCAAACAACCAAAGTGCTAGACTTAATAAAGTTCTAATTAATAGATTTCAGGTAAATACATTATTCCTTACTGTGCTTATTCCTAGTCTCACTATGTATCATAGTTTAAAAAATATGTGTGATACCCTCAGGCTGGGAAAAGTGGACCAAGTAATAGCAAATGCCTCTCTCTGCTTTAGAAGTAAAAGGGAAGGACCATGCTTGGGAGATCTCAAGTATTGTAACATCACACTTGTAATTGCTGAAATTCAAAGATTTGGGGAAGAGAATGCAACAAGCATAATCTACAACTATCGGAAGCCCTAGTAGGGGGCTTTCAGAATCTAGCTGCTCCCATTGGTTGGAAGTCTCAATGGGAATGGCATGCTCTAAATAACCACCTTGACTGTAATGTAAAGAATAACACATGGGCCTTTCCAAACATGCCCCGTCATGGAACTCCAAACCCTTGTATGACGTTTGCTAATAGTAGTGGCTTACAAATATGTGGGCGAACTGGAGACATCTGGACCGACAGCCCTTGCCACAAGGATCTTCTGAGATATTGGCCAGGGCATATTATGTCTCTAATTTTTTGAAACTCCATTTGTCAGGTGGACCCTCTTCATTTGGCATGTCAAATTCCAAATGGCACTGTAAGTGACTATCCTAAATATGGTTATCCTTATCCCAGGATGTCCTTATTATATGTAAAGAGGGAAAACTTCTGAGATATGAGAAAAATCTGCCAGTGTCTCTCACAAGCCACAACTTAAAACCATCTCTTCAAGGAACAGGGCTATATTTTCTGTGTGGCTCCTGGATACACTTAATCCTCCCAAGAAAGTGGAAGGGAATTTGTACTACAGTTGCAGTAGTTCCTGACTTATTATTTTTAAGTTCTACTGAGATGGCAGCATCATCTGGGGACATCCCTAACTTAAGCTCTTTTCTAGAAACTGCACTAACTCGAATACACCAGACAAAAAGATCTATCATTTCTATGCCTTCATATGGAGATTTAACTGAAAGCGCAGACTGGGGAGGGCATGCACATGACAATCTCTTCTTAGAAGAATCCATGGATGGGAAATTCTATAGCCAGAGGTCTATTCTGGTCTGCAGACATACCTCTCCTTGAAAGATCAATACTTAATATCTCTGTTATGATGCAACGAGGATGGAAGGAAACTGTAGGGGCCATAGAGGCACGACAGCAATCTATAGTCTCTTTAGCCTCAGTAGTAACACAAAATAGACAGGCCTTCCATGTCCTTATGGCTGGAGTAGGAGGTACCTGTGCACTTTCAAATGAAACATGTTGCTTCTAGATTAACACCTCTAGTAAAGAAGAGGAAAATCTACAGGTGCTTAAAAGATCAAATCAAAATTTTTGACAGGCTCAGAGAAAATGCCGGCTTCAGCCCCCGGTGGCTACAATCCTTATTTAACGAATTCCAGTCTTCTTCATGGAATTGGTTGACCCCTTTATTAATCCCTCTCTTGCTTGTATATCTTGTATTAATATTTGGACCCTGTATACTCAATACTGTAACTCGATTGTTTCTTCTCACCTAGAATCAGTCAAACTCCAAATGGTGCTGCAAACTGAACCACACATGGACACGCCGTTCTGAGGACCTTTAGATCAACCCCAGGAGAAGTCTTAGATGCTGTTCCCCATTCAATGCCCCTTTTCAGCAGGAAGTAGCCAGATAGAGTTGTCACCCAGAACCCCCTAACAGCCGTTGGGGTGATATCTCCACAGGGAGAAATGAGGTAGGAGTTATTAAGAAATTATTTTAGACAGGTAGAGAGGAAAAAGGGGTCCTTGGAAAATTTTTTTACAGCTCTTCTCTAGCATGAAAGCCCTGGCTCTTAGACCCAGGCCAGCAACCTTTGATATGCAAATGCAAGCCGTTAGAAACTGGGTCCACCCAGCACGGCTGGGCTGGCAACCTTAATATGCAAATGCAAGTCATTAGAAACTGGGTAAACGGTCACACTCCCATTATTGTGAAGGTGCAATTCTACCCACGAGGCCTGCAGGCTCTCCTCCTGCAGCTCAGGCTTTCCTCTCTGATGTGACACTAGAGTGCTGCTGTGGGAAATGTGGTTCACATAAACTGAGCTGTGCTCAAGGCTGTGCCTCAGTGGCAGATGATAGAGGTCAAGAGAGGACACTAGCAACAGGAAAAAGCAAGCAGGAGTGCTGTAGCCCAATGCCACGGAGCACAGAGCCACTGCTCTAAAAGGTAAATAGCCAAGAGGATAGAATGCTTTTCAACCATTTTTGTAGCAGGTTCAAAGCCTACCTTCAGCAAGTACCTGGCTTCAAGCTGCTAAACTACCTCCTGTTATGAAGATGTGAAAAGTTTTTTTGTCATTGAATATAAACAATTAGCATACACAGATAGCCTCTTCAATCTCCATGTGAATTTAGGATTAACTATGTATGACATGGTACTGTAAATTCTTCTACTTGTGGACTAATTTTGGTGACCATCTTTCTGTCTCTGCAGTCTCTTAAGCAGATTGACTATGATGCATGTCACATTCAAGTTTGTGTAATAAAACAGTTTTCTTTCTGTTCTAAAAAAAAAAAAAAAGAAAGAAAAGAAACTGGGTCCACTCAACATGGCGATTCCCACAGCTGTCCTCTTGCCCTTCCCCCACATGTGTCTGGCAGCATGACCACCCCCACATATCCCCACGTGTGTGGAACATCATGGTGCCCTACATTTGCATATTAAAAGGCTAGGGTAGGAGGGCCAGTTTTTTCCGCCGGTTACGTGAATGACATGCCTAGTCAAACCAATCCCCTGAGTCCTATGCAAATCAGACCCAGCCTCCTCCAGCCATTGAATATAGCTGGCTGATATTAGCTAAGTGTGGAGTTCTGTCTCTCAGCTTTGGAGCCCCGCTCCCTCTGTCTCTGTACAAGGGAGCTTCTTCTTTCTTTCTTCCCGTTTCTTTCTTGCCTATTAAACTCTGCGCTCCTTAAAACCACACACACACGTGTGTGATAGCAGTTACTTTAAGTATCATTTAGAACACACTGGCCTAGAATTGAGGAGGTATCATTTCAGCAAGGTCACAGTAAGGTAAATAACCATATGATGAATCTCATGAACAAGAGTAAAAACATCAGTCAGAATGGCTATTATTTAAAAGTCGAAAAATAGCAGATGCTGGTGAGACTGCAGAGAAAAGGGAACGCTTATACACTGTTGGTGGGAATGTAAATTCGTTCAGCCATTGTGGAAAGCAGTTTGGAGATTTCTCAAAGAACTTAAAACAGAACTATCATTTGACCCAGTGATCCCATTACTGGATATATACACAAAAGAAAATAAATAATTCTACAAAAAAGACACATGCACCTGTACATTCATTGCAGCACTATGCACAATAGCAAAGACATGGAATCAACCTAGGTGCTCATCAATGTGGATTGGATGAAGGAAGATGTGGTACATATACACACGGAATATTACACAGCCATAAAAAGAATGAAATCATGTTCTTTGTAGCAACATGGATGCAGCTGGAGGCCATTATCTTTAGTAAACAAATGCAAGAACAGAAAACTCAATATTGCATGTTCACACTTACAAGTGGGAGCTAAACGGTGGGTACACATGGACATAAAGATAGAAATAATGACACTGGGGACTACTGGAGGTGGGGAAAGAGGGGAACAGGGGTCAAAAGACTACCTATCGAGTGCTGTGCTCACTACCTGGGTGACAGGATCATTCATACCCCAAACCTCACGCAATAAACCCATGTAAAAAACCTGCACATGTATCCCCTAAATCTAAAATAAAAGTTGAGATAAATAAATAAATAAATAAATAAGAGTGAAAAAAATGAGCATAACTCTTAGTTTTTTCCTGGCACTTTCTGATTTCCTTGACCAATATGGTTTCATGCTGGAGCTTTTATAGAGATTAGAAATGAATATGCAAATTTAGAAGCCAGGCTCAAATCCTCAGAATTTAGCTTAAGTTCATTCCAATATTTCAGTGTTGTAGTTTAATTTCATTTTCCAAAAACGATGTTTTTCTCCTTATCCAAAATCTAAGCAATTTTTTTTTTAAATTTTTACCAGCTTAGTCATTGTATAGCTTTATCATTTGCTTCCTTCTGCTTGCTTTGGGTTTTTCTAGGGTTTTCCCCTTTTTCTAGGTTCTTGAGATTTTTCTTCTTTTCTAAGGTAGGCATTTGGTGCTGCAAATTTCCCTTTCAGCACTGCTTTAGCTGTGTCCCACAAATTTTTATATGTTGTATTTTCACTTTCATTCAGGTCAATGTAATTTTAAAATTACCATTAAAACTTCTTCCTTGACCCACGGATTATCTAGAAATATGTTGCTTAGTTTCCAAATGTTTAGAGATTTTCCCCTTATCTTCTTGTATTGGTCACTAGTTTGGTACCACTGTGGACAGAGAATACACTCTGTATTATTTCAATCCTTTTAAATATGTTGAGGTGTGTTGTTTGACTCAGGATGGGCCTGAGCATATTGATGGGACTTGTTCACTGTGCTCCAGCTTAGTATACATTCTGTTGGCACATGAAAAGAATGGGTATTTTTTTGTTGCTAGTTGGCATGTTCTATAAATGTTGATTAGATTCTGTTGCAGCTCTTTTTTTGGGTACATACACATTTAGGATTGATATGTCTTCTTGGTGGATTACTCTAAATGTCCTTCTTTGTTTCTGATAATAATGTTCTTTGCTCTGAAGTCTACTTTATTTGATGTTAATATAGTCACTTCTGCTTCCTTTTGACTAATGTTCAAATGATGTATCTTTCTCAGTGATACTTTTTTTTAACTTTCAATCTGCTATATTGTTATTGAAGTAAACTTCTTGTAGACAGTATATAGTTGAGTCATGTTTTTAAATCCATTCTGCCAGTCTTTTAAGTGACATATTTAGACTATTTACATTTAATGTAATTATTGATATCTTAAGACCTAAGTCTGCCATTCTATATTTTATTTCCTCTTTGTTCTCTTTTTTTTTGTTTGGTTTGTTTCCATTTTCCTTTTCCTATATTCCTGTGGATTACTTGAAAAATTTTTAGAATTCCATTTTGATATTTGCAGTGTTTTTTAGTGTTTTGAGCCTATGTCTATAGCTTTTTTGGTCATTGCTGTAAGTAGTAACATTACTTATATAACTTATCACAGTCTATTGGTACTGTCATTTTACTAGATTGAGTGAAATGTAGAAACCTTACATGACTTTATCCTTCCTCATTTATAATTGTTTGAAGTATTTCCTTTTTACACATTTAGAATCATACCAGACAATGTTATAATTTTTGCTTCAATCTTCAAACATGATTTAGAAAACTAAAGAGGAGAAGGCTCTGCTCATTTTTTTTTCAAATTGATATAAAATTATTGTACAGATATCTGGGATACCTGAGGTATTTTGATATAAATACACAATATGTAATGATCAAATTAGGATAATTGGGATATTCATCTACTCAAATATCATTTTAAAGTCCATTTTCTCTGCTGTTGTTCAGATTAGCTAATTTCTATTTTCCAGTCGACCAATTCTTTCTTCTTTTTCCTCTGTTCTGCTGTTGAGCTGATTCACTGAGGGTTTTTTTTGTTTTTTTTTTACTTAGGTTGTTGTACATTTCAGTTTTAAAAATTTCTATTTTTTTAACATTGTCTATTTCGTTGCTTCACTTCCTTTGTTTTTTTTTTCTTTAGACAGAGTTTTGCTTTTGTTGCCCAGGCTGGAGTGCAATGGCGCCATCTCAGCTCACCACAACCTCTGCCTCCAGGTTCAAGCGATTCTCCTGCCTCAGCCTCCCGAGTAGCTGGGATTACAGGTGCCTGCCACCATGCCCGGGTAATTTTGTATTTTTAGTAGAGATGGGGTTTCTCCATGTTGGTCAGGCTGTTCTCAAACTCCCGACCTCAGGTGATCCACCCACCTCAGCCTCCCAAAGTGCTGAGATTACAGGCCTGAGCCACCACACCCGGACTTCTTTGCTTCACTTTCTAAGTTTCTGTTTGTTTCATGCATGTTTGTAATTGCTTGCTGAGACATTTTTTATGGTGGCTGCTTTAAAATGTAATCAGCTAATTCTAACATCTCTGTCATCTTAATGTTGGCTTTTTTTTCCATTGAATTTGAACTCTTTTTGGTACAATTGACATTTGGACATTTGAGGTATTTTGTTACAAGGCTCTGGATCTTATTTAAGCCTTCTGTTTTATCTGGATTTCCAGACACTGCTCCAAAAGTGAAAGGGGGTTGCTACCTTATTACTGCTGGGTGGGGTAATTCAGGTTCTTCTCTTGGCCTTTGTTGACACCTTCTAATTTGTGCTCCTCATTACTGCTACATAGGGGTGGAAGTTCTGACTCCCATGAGGCCTCTATTGATGCCTCTGTGGCTGCAGGGGGTAGAAGTTCCCTTGATACTGTGCCACTTAAGGAGGTATAAAGGGTTAGCCTCAAAACCACTGGGTGGTGTTGAAAGTGCTGACTCTCCACTAGGCCTCTTCTGACACTAGCCCAGCGGGGAGGAGGAGGATGTCTTGCTACCATCCACTGAGTGTAGAATTACAGGCTTCCCACATGGCCTCAACTGACACCATGGTGGGAGAGGCTTGTTATATTCTGGCAGGGATGAAAGTCTCAGCTTCCTTCTTGGACTTTTTTGACACAACCTCACTATAGCCTGGGGAAGGTGGAAGACTGGGCACCCCACTCAATATTTGCTGGTATGGGTGAGGGAGCCACAGTTTTTTCTGCGCAGTTAGGCTGGAGGGGAGCAGTTTTTTGCCTTGCTATGTTGTCCTTTTCCTGGTCCTTTGGTAGAGAGAACAGGCTTTTGTTGGGCCTTTTTTTGTCTGTATACATTGACTTTTCTGGGTGGCTGGCTTCTTCAGTTCCAAGTCTGGGAAACAAAAGGAAAACCCAAGGAGTTCAACACTAAATTTCTTCTTGTGTTCCTATTGTTCCTAGACGATCTGCCTTTTCTCTACATTTCAGAGTCTTTTTATTTTCCTTTTATACATAATGTCCAAAGTTTTTAGTTATACTTAATGAGAGGAATAGGGAAAAATGTGTCTACTTCAGCTTCCTGGAAAGGGAAGTCTACCTTTTCCTTTTAAAATGTTCTCTATTTTTATTTAATTTAGAAAACAATGCATGCTACTTTAACAGGTGAAATAATAAAAAGATACATAAATAAAACCTAAATAATAAAAGTACTATCATTGCTACCCCTCTGTTCTCAAGCTTCTTTCTGAGACAACAAATGTTTATGGCCTGGGGTATATACTTATCATCTTTCTTTGTCATGTTGATATGAACATACTTAAATATAAATATGCACTTTTTGTTTGATTTTATCTCTGCAAAAATGATTTTCTACTTGTCCAACATAAGCAAAATTTGCGTTGTATTTAAGTTTAAAAATTATCAGAGGAACTATTATTAAGACACTGGAGGAGAGACAAGCAAAATAAATTGCTATCTCAAATAGCAGAAGTTACCGTGAGTCTTCATTATGTGGGAGAAAGACAGAGATGGGAAAGGAAAAGTAGAAAAAAAGCATCAGCGATACATTTTTTTCTGAGTATATACATATACATATATATACACACTTTTGATCATATATATGATTAAAACAGTTTAACTTATAGCCTATCACACTTTTCTACACTTGGAATCTGATCCTAGGATATATTTAAAAAGGGGAACCTGTGGTCCAGAAGGTGTCCAGAGAATGGACTGCAGGAAAGACGATTATGTCACTTGGTGAGTACCCAAGAGCCATTTGGACCAGGTCCCAACAGAAGTGTGTCTTCTTACTCTCTGGTGAACACCTCTCATTGCCACAACTAGGGTCTTGAGGATCCTGTTTGCGCAGAGGAAAAAAATCTCCATCTGCATCAAGTCCTCAAAGTTCAGAAAGACTCCTGCCCAACCAGAGGGATGAGGGAGGTGGATCTTTGGCACCTCAGCTTTAGGGACTGAAGGCTCAAGACCAAGGAGCCAAGACAGAAGATAGTGACCCCCTCCCCCACCCGGACATACATGGTGGGGGTCTTGACACCTAAGAAGGCAATGAAGCATCCTCTTAGAGGCATTTCTGCTCAGCGTGGTGACAATTGCTCTTTTAGAGCTCTGTGGTTTCAGGAAAGAATGAGGCCTATTTTCCAGAGCCCAGGTCTGAGGAGACTCACCTAACATTTTGTCAGCTACTTCAGAGGGTTCTCAAGTGGAGGTGAAGCTGGGTCTCCTGAGTAACAGCAGCACTGCTCTATGCTTCCCCACTTCTATTCATCATAGTCCATTTAAGGTCTTAACTGTTTGGTTCATCTTGTTTAAATAGTGGCTAGAAGCACAGACTCTATAACCATACTTCTGGGTTCCAATCCTAGCTCCAAGCCTTGCAATTGTGGCCTTGGAAAAGTTACTTATCCTTCTTTCTCCTTGATTTACTTCTCTGTAAAATCAGTATGATAAACATAGGTCTGATATGGGGATTAAATAAGTTAGAACAAGGCTAGTCACATGATAAGCACTCCTAAAGTACCAGCTGCTTATTCTTCTAGTCTTTTCAAATCCAATGCTTTTCATGAGTTCACAGAGTAATTGTGGTGCATCTTGAAGCTGTGTTACAGCTTTCTGAGTTTCATCATTCTCCTTTGATAATTTTTGAACAGAGGGAGTAGGAAGTTAAATGTGTACGTGACCGCAGTGGAAAGGGTTGAAAGTGTAACCTCTTCTTGTTCAAAGAAGTCTGAGGGTGGGAGGCAAAAGATGGACAGATAGCTGGACGGCATATCTATGTGAAGGCAAAGAAGAGGTATGCATGGAAATTCAGTTATTTTATAGATTGAAAACAATTGGCAAAAAGATTTCTTCATTTAAAATATTGTAGGAAACTTTCTGAATTTCATCATGTACAAACTGTCCCTGTGATGGCATTTGGGAAGGTTGTGGAGGAAGGCATGGGAAGTGTGATATTGTCTATTTTGGAGACAGAGTAGAAAGGCTCTTGTTCCCTCTCTGGGCTGCAGATCAGCTTCCCTCCGCCTGGTTCCAGAAGTCATTCGTTCTATTTTACTGTTTTCATGTTCACTTTCGAATGTAAGATGGCCTGGAGATGTCAGGCCTCCAGGTCACTTCTCTTGAAAGATGACTTCAGAAAGAATAACATTGCTTTCAGTCTTGTGTTTCTGAATGTTTTCTCCTTAAGTGATTTAATGATCCCCCCACCTCCTTTAAATATAGCCAGGTTAAATGGGTGTGCTGTTTGAAGCCAGGCTCAAAATAGGAGCAATTAAATTCATTCGACCTTTGAGGGATGAATTAGTTAAAGAAGTATACTCTTTATTTCCAATAAATGGTACAACAACTTGAAACCTGATTCACAGCTACATTGCAACATTCTCAATATTATGAGATGATCTTGGTGTTCAACCTTACACAACTATTTATATCTCACCATCTTAAAGCATGGAAACTTCTGTTGCTGAACCTGTTCCAGGGATGTGCATGGATCTGAATAATGAATAGGGAACTTCCTTTAAGAACACAGAGTCTCTGTCATACAAATACTTCATTTCTTAGAAATAGCCAGCTGGGCATTTGCAACAATGCCAAAGTTGTTCCCAAACTTACATTGTAGAAAAGAACTGACAGTCATCCCCTACTTCCATATGCATTAATTACATCATGGAAGAGGGTAAGGCATTATTAATTTTATCTGCACATGATTTTTCTCTTCCCAAATCCAGGAAATATTGATGTTGTGGTTTAACATAATTAGAACCTTGGAGTCAATTTTCATTCCTGAAAACATATAAAAATTACTCGTATAATTACTTGAGTCCTCACTGACCACATTAATGAACCATATTCTTTTTGTTTAGTAAAAATCCTTTTAATTATTCTTTGACAAACCTTTTCTTTCATGTATTTCTGTGTCCTTAAAGTCAGAAAATTCCTCCATTCATCTTCTCTAAAACCAAGACAGAGTCTCCTAATCATTGGAAAATTCATCTTTTATTTATATGTCAGCTGATAACTAAGTAAGGATTCTGAAGTGAAAACAGAAGAGTTGCGCTCCACTCCCCTGGCCATGACCCTCTCTGCCATTTTTCTATATCTTATTTTTAAAAGCAATTTTTTATTGTGTAATTTGGTAAAAAGAAAATAGAAATAAGTAATATGAGGTAGATAGCTCAGCCTAAAATAGCACTGGACACAAACAGCATTTCTCAATTTGTGATGACAACATCACCTACATCAGAAGACTCTCCTAGAGAGCTTGTTAAAAATACAGATTACTGGGCACTACCCCAGATTTATTTAGTCAAAATGTTTATGGGTGGGGCCAATCTTGCATTTTTAACAAGCTCCCTGAGTGATCCTTATGCCCACTGAAGTTCAAAATGTTTAAAGTTTGCTGAAGTTGTTCCTCTTGCCTAGCCCCTCAAAAGTGACAGCTTCGTAATAACTTAGAGACAACATCTGTTCCACCTTAATACAATAGGGATGGAAAGTAAGGAATAAATAATTATCAAATGTATAACGTGCAAGAAACTGTGCTAAGTAGGAAATTTATAGACATGCTTTCCTTAAATATTACAACAACTCTTTGTTGAGGTATTGATGAAATGTAAAGTCAGCCTCATAAGAGGTGGAACCAGAATGAATATCCAACTTTCTGTAATTTGATTATCGCACCCTACACCTATCTCCTGGAGCTGGGAACCGTCTCTATGGCTGTACAAAGTCTGGGAAATGGATTGATGCATTACCCCGGGAGATCTTAGTTGGCCCAGGGGTGGCACTTGGTCTTGGGGATGGCTCATTATTCTGATGATCAGTTGAAAGCTCACAGATGGTTTATGGAGTGACCCTTTGTCCTACATGTGTCTGGCAAGAAATATAGATAGGACGACAGGGCAAGTTTTTCCCCAATATATCATTAAGTCAATCATTACTAAAGTTTTTTAAACAAGTGTATCAGCTACCATTTACTGATGATGCGTACTAGACTCTATGGTATGCACTTTTCAGAATTTACTCTTCATAATGACCCTATGCAGTAGGTGCTATTATTATCCCTATCTTCTCAGTTAAGTAAGAAAAATGTTGTGAAACTTGCTTACACTCATAGCCTGTAAGCAGCAGAGGCTGAAATATCTGTTTGGCTCTAAAGTTCATTGGAGTCCCATATACAGGAACTGATGGTGCAAAGTTCAACTCATGCCATGGTACTTGAGTAGAGATCCATTCCTGTCATACATTCACAGAAAACTTTATATCTCTTCATTTATTATTAAGTAAATAGGATTCAGTAACTGTGGGCCTACCTGTTGTACAGTCTCTTTCTCTCTTCCTGGATATCCCCAATCCTCCCTTCTTCTTACTCTTTCAAGTCTTAAGTGTCCATTTAATTTAAGGTGAGGACACATTATCTTGTTCCATTTGAGAGCTGTCTTGGGTTTTACATGCATATGATAGAACCGATGCTAACCTTCAGCAGCCTAAACAGAGTAATTTTCTTCAGACATTCCAGATGGAGCTGTGCCAATTATTGGTGAACACTTAACTGTGAGTGGGACCTGGATAATGACTATACATAATAAGTTTCACATCATCTATTAAGACGTTGCTTATGTGGATGTGGGTACAGGAACATTTGGTCCCCCACCAACACATCATACACACTGTATATCTTACATTAAGAGAGAATTAGTCAAATGCTACAAGTAAGAAGATTTAAACTTGCCTTCCATCTTAGTCTGTTCTTGCTGCTATAATAAAATGCCATAAACTAGGTGACTTATAAACAATAGAAATTTATTTCTCACAGTTCTGGAGGCTGGGAATTCCAAGATCAAGGCACCAGCAGACCCAGTGTTTGGAGGGCTCACTTCTTCATTGTCTTTTCATCATAGCCTCACGTGGAAGAAAAGGTAAGGGATTTCTCTGGGATCACTTTTACAAGTACAAGGGTACTCATTCCATTCTAATCAGCTCCCGAAGAATCACCTCCAAAGGCTCCACCTCCTGATACCATGACCTTATGGGGTAGGATTCCAACAAACGAATTTTGAAGGGACATAAACTCAGTCTATTGCAGTGTTCTTCTCCTGTAATACAGCTCACTGCATATGCAGATGTCACCTGACGGTCTGTGAATCACCCTGTGGAAAATGGGGCTCAAGGAACTGGTGGGAAAAAGAGGCTGATACTCTGGCTATTGCTAGTGCTGTGTATGAGCAATAAAGTTCTTTATCTCTAACCCAGGTGTGTTGTGTCTTTTTCTAGGATCTGTTAAACCATGGCAGGCTGACTTGTTATGGTAGTGAAAGGTATAAAATCTCAGACATTTCCTTCACAGTTCTTCACAACAGCAATATTATTATTATTGTGCTTATTGTTGTTAACCAGAAATTATTGAGCACCTATTATAAAATAAATGAACCAAACTCTGTTCTAAGTAATGTACTATATTATCTCATTTAATTTTTATAACAGTGTTGTGAATTATACAACATTATTATCATCTTATAGATGATAATACTGAGATTCAAAAAATGGACATTGTTGGTTGGCTTCTTAGTATCCATTTCCCTCTGTTCAGTTGCATTCTGTTTCATTTACTCTCACCTAGCAAAGACGTTGTTCCTTCCTTTAGCTTTAAGAGTGAGCCTAAGGGAATGACATTCTTCTGGCCATAGGACTTGGTCAGGAAATGAAACATTATCCAGTTTGGACAAAGGAAATTGGGAGACAGTGTACTAGGGACTTTGGGGAAAGTTTTCTTGCTGTTTCATAGAGCCATAGAGAAATACAGGCTCTCACTTAGCAAAGAAGTTGTCCCCTCCTCTAGATTAAGGGGTGAGCCTAAGGGAATGACATTCTTCTTCCCATAGGACTTGTTCAGGAAATGAAACATTATCTAGTTTGGGCAAAGGAAATTGGGAGACAGTGTACTAGAGACATTGGGGAAAGTTTTCTTACTCTTTTATAGGGCCATAAGGAAAGATAGGCTCTCTTGTTCCATCTGAATGTTGATATGTGTCAGCAGGGTGATAGCAATAATATTTGATACATACTTACCAGAATAAGTGCTGAACATAATACTGAAGCAGGGTCTGAAATTCCTGCTTCCATATATTACCCGGATTCCTGAATTTCATATATTGCCTCTTTATGTACTAGATTGTGAGGAAGTCCTGGGGGGAAGCTACAGTGGCTGGACATTGGGAACCCTCATCAGGTTCAGGGCAATGGGTAATTATCAACTAGTACCAAAGTATTTTAATATGTTAGTAACTAGTACTGTTATACTCAGTGTGCAGCTGTGATGCCTGAAACTACTATATCCGTCTCATTCCCAGTCAGAGGAAGAAGTTTACACACATAGGAGGGCAGAATCAAGGCGGTCACAGAAAGATGGAGAGAGCCTTTAGATTGAGATGACCAAACAGCGGTCCTCTCTCTCTGGGCTTTTTCAATTAACAGACAACAAATTCCCTTTTCATTTAAGCTGGTTTGGGACTGGATTTCAGCTACTTACAGTCAAAAATATTCACTGAAGCATTAAGTAACTAGTCCAAGGACTCAGAGCAAGTACATAGCCACAGTAGAATTGAAAGTCAAGTCTTCCTGGCTTAAACATCTCGATTTTTCTGATGCATCATAGTGTTCCCAAGCACCAAATAAATATGAGAAGAATTATTTGCAAACTGTGAAAGGCTGCATTTAAATTTTTGGTCATTTTTATCAGAAATAATAAATAAGACTAAAAATGCCAAGAAAAAATCCAAAGAGACTGGTGTTTCTTTATTGTATGCATTGAGAATTCTCCCCACTCCTACTAAAAACATACTCATCTAGCTGAAGAATAATATTAATATAGGGAAAGGAAAATATAATAGAATATATGTGATGTTCAGATTATTTACTGAGATGACTGGTGGTAGATATGACTGCTGAAGTCAGATTAGATGACCAGAAATCTGTTCCAGGAAAAGCCTCTCACGTTTACACCATCTTGAGAGCATACATGACCCAGTTCTGAGTTCATCCCAGGAATATTTTAAACATCATCATCAGCATGTTCACATGATCACAGTACCTTCTAGATGCCTGTACAGGGAAAAGTTACTTTTTCATCCCTCAGTCACCTCAAAGTTCAAGCATTTGTCACTGCTTCAGAAAAAAAATGACATGGACTCTTCTTTTTTTTTTCTTAACCAAGGATCAATGTAAATGAAGATTTTACATTTGCCTCTAGTTAAATTGATGGTTTTGACAGGTAACATATTATAATACAAACAGAGTTGGCCCTTGAACAACACAGGGATTGGGGTGGCAACACCCCACACAGTCAAAAATCTGCATATAGCTTATGATTTCCCCAAAATTTAACTACTAATAACCTACTGTGGACTAGAAGGCTTATCAATAACTTAAACAGTTTAGTAACACATATTTTATATGTTATTTATATTGTATATTGTATTCTTACAATAAAATAAGCTATAGTGAAAGAAAATGTTATTAAGAAAATCATAAGGAAGAGAAAATATGTTCCTTATTCATTAAGTAGAAGTGGATTATCATAAAGGTCTCCATCCTCATCATCTTCATGTTGAGTAGGCTGAGGAGGAGGAGGAAGTGGAAGAGTTGGTCTTGCTGTCTCAGGGATAGCAAATCTGCATGTATTTCCCATGCTGTTCAAACTTGTGTTGTTCAGGGGTCAACGTGCTTATTAAAATAGAATATTTGCACACAGAGTTCATCCACTCATACAATCTTAAGGGTTAGAAAGCCCTTAGCAACTTCCAATTCAACCCCTCTTATTTTGTATGTGAGAACACTGAGGTATAGAGGGGCCAGATGGAGAAAGCAGAGCATTTAAAAAATATCCTTAACGTTACCAAACGGTCATACTTTAGGTGTGTATTTCATTTTTGGAAATATGCAAAAGTCACTCTGTTAAATATTGTGATTAAGGGCCAGGGGTGGGGCATAGATCTAGTTGAATAATATCTGACATTGCAAAAAAGTAACAAGTTATGAGTAATCAGTCTGTGTTTTTAGTATGGGTGAGTCCACCAATACATCCAAAGATAGTTTCAGTGCAAATGTTTTTGAACTACACTAAACAAAAGCAGCATTATTTAGAATAAGCCCCAACCCTCACAAGTTTAACCCTAATTTGGAATAGCATTGCTGATTTTCAAAATATTATTTTCTCATCATCTTTATTTGTTAATTATCTTTTTGTGATTGATTTCTAGCTTATTTCTACTATGGTCAGAAAGCATACTATAAGTGACTTCAATCCTTTAAAATTTTAAAAATTTGTTGAAGTGTCTTTTATGGCCTAACATATTATCAATTTAAATAAATGTTCCATGTTTCCCTGAAAAGAATGCACACTCTATTGTCTTTATGTGGACTATTTATGTATGTCAATTAGGTCAAGTATGTTAATTATGTTGTTTAGATGTTCTGTATCCTTATTGATATTACTTTCTGCTTCATTCTATCAATTATTGAGAGGTATGTTAAATTTCCCACTATAATTATAGATTAGTTAATTTCTTTTTTTAGTGCAATTTTTGCTTGGTATAATTTGAAGTTATGTTATTACCTGAATACAAAATTAGGATTGTTCTATCTCCCGATCTTTCATCACTTTGACATAATCCTTTGTATTAGTCTGAGTCCAATCAGTGGGTTAAGCAGTGGAAGTTTAATAAAGTGAATGGACTTAATAAAGACTTTCATGCTCTGATAAGAGCGACTGTAAAATGTGCGGAAACTCTGTAAGGCACCCTAGGGCTTAGAGAATATCCAAGAAAGGTCAAACTTGGAAGGAGTCCAGATTTCACTGGATAAAACAGGGAGCAACTCTTCGGAATGCAGGGCAGGGCAGGGGATCAGCAACTGGATGTGTGGATATGCAGAAGGAGTGGGGCCTTGAAAGAAACCCTCTAGTGGGAGCAAACATGACTATTATTCTTTTTCATACTATCGTCTTCTAGCATACTTGAGATAGGCTGTTTTAATTATCTGATTTTACATAGAAAAAAATAAATACTAAGGCTGAAAATCTATAATGGTCAATTGTTCATTAAAAGTTTTCCTACAAGGAAATAAAAAAGAAAAAGGAAACCTTCCAGGCCACAGGTGAGCCGCCTGGTGGCTCAGGTTATCCCCAGGCCAAGCTGAGGCTGCAAGGTCACCAGGGGACTGGGAATTCTGGGCACATAGCTGGGGCAGAGCTCTACCAAATATCCTCACCATAATACCACCGACCTGCCATGGAGCAGCCAGAAGCAGCAGGAGAGGCCCTTCCTCCTGCAGTGTTCCTCTAGGATTGCCCACTGAGAAAGCTTAGTTAACATCATGCTCTTTAAAAAGGAGAGATGTCTTCACAATAAATAGCTAATGCATGTGAGTCTTAATGCCTAGGTGATGACTTGATAGGTACAGCAAACCACCACGGCACACGTTTACCTATGTAACAAACCTGCATGTCCTGTACATGTATCCTGGAACTTAAAATAAAATTAAATTTTAAAAAAAGGAGAGATGCTTAAAGAAATTCTGTCCATTGTGGCAAAACATATCTCAGGGTGACTTTGGAGCTGAGAGGCAATAAATTGATAACGGGCTTGCTTTAATGTTGGCTTTGTTGAATATTAATATAGCTATATTAGCTTTTAGTTAGTGTGTACATGGTAAATCCCTTTTCATTCTTTTACTGCCAACCTTTCTGGCTCTTTATATTTAAGGTATGTCTCTTATAAGTAGTATATGACTGATCAGGAATTTAAAATAATTATTGATATGTTTTCATCAAATCTGCTAACTTACACTTTTTTGGTAATTGTCTCATTTGTTCAGTGTTTCATTTTCTCCCCCTTCATGCCTTGTTTTGAACAGAGTAAAAATTTATTTTTCTATTTTTTCCCCTCTACTTCCTGGCGTGTGTGTGTGTGTTTTAAAAATATTACTCATTTAGTGGTTACTCCAGTGATTATACTATGCATCATTGACTTACTACAGTCTCATATAAATTACAGTGGTCCCTCCTCTTCCAGGGTTTCACTTTCTGTGATTTCAGTTACCTTCAGTCAACCAAAGTCCAAAAATATTAAAAGAAAAATTCCAGAAATAAACAATTCCTAAGTTTCACACTGTGTGTGCTGTCCAGAGTAGCATGATGAAATTTTGCACTGTCTCACTCTAATCTGCCCAGTACATGAATCATCTATTTGTCCAGCATGTTCACAATATAGAGGCTCCCACCCATTTGTCACTTAGGAGCCATCTGGGTTATCTTACCCAATGTTGAGCATCACAGTGCTTGTGTTCAAGTCACACTTATTTTACTTAATAGTGGCCCCAACATGCAAAAATAGTGATGTTGGCAATTCAGCTATGCCGAAGAGAAACCAGAAAATGCTTCCTTCAAGTGAAAAGGTGAAAGTTCTCAATTGAATAGGAAAAAAAAAAAAAAAACAAAACAGTACATTAAAGTTACTAAGATCTATGTGAAGAAAAAATCTTCTATTTGTGAAATTATAAATAAGGAAATTTACAGGCTAGTTTTACAAGTCAAATAAGGAAATTATGTGCTAGTTTTGCTCCTGTACTTCAAACTGCAAAAGTTACAGTCACAGTGCATGATATGTGCCTTGTTAAAATGGAAAAAGTATTAAATTTGTGGGCAGACATTCCAAATTTTGGCAGTGGGGTTTGGTACTACCCGTGGTTTCAGGCATCCCCTAGGGGTCTTGGAACATATGATAAGGAAACATATAATAACATGGATTAAGGGGAGACTACTGAAATTATTTTACTACTTCCCAGATGTTGATAAGCTATTAGAACACTTTAAGTCCATTTATCCTCTCCCACTTTTGTGTTATCATTGTTAACTTTTCACTCCTTCTTATTTATTTATATTAATACAAATACTTATTGTATTTTCAGTAGAGACAGGGTTTCACCATGTTGACCAGGCTGGTCTCAAACTCCTAACCTTAAGTAATCCACCTGCCTCAGTCTCCCAAAAAGCTGGGATTACAGGACTGAGCCACCATGCCCAGCTTCCTTCATATATTTTAGATGCCACAAGACATTATTACTTCTTAGTAGAGATGATATTCATTTACACATACCCTCGCCATTGTTCATCATCCCTTTCTTCATTTCTGTGGACATGTCTGAAGTAACTTTCCCTTTGCCTAATAATTTTATTTAACATTTCTTTTAGTGCAGACCTCTGGGTGAAACATTCTGTCATATTTTATTTGTCTGGAAACTACTCTGTTTTGCCTTCATTTTTGAGGAATATGTGTGTTAGGTATAGATTTCTAGGTTGGCAATTGTTTTCTTTTAGCACTTTAATGATGCCATTATATTGCCTTCTGACTTTCAATGAATCTCTTTACAATTCATCTGCCTGTCTTGTTCTTTCCTGACTTTCTCTTTCTTTTAAAAGATTTATTTTTGTCATTTTTTTAGCAGTCACTATGATGTCACTTTGATGTGCTTATTTGTAGTTTTCTTTGTATTTATCCCACTTAGGGTTTGGAGAACTTATTGAATTAGTAGTTTAATGTCTTTCATCATTTTTGGAAAACTCTTGGCCATTATTTCTTCAAGTATTGTTTTGACCCAATTCCTTCTCTCTTCCCTTTTTTGAAGTCCAGTGGTACTTATTCAGGCCTTTTTACCACATCACATATGTATCTGCATCATGTCCTATATGTTTACCCTATTTTGTATTTTCTACCTCTTTTGTTTTTCATGCCTCAGCCTCTATATTTTCTACCATTATTGTTCTCAGTTTCGTAATCATGTCTTTTGCTGAATCTAATATACTATAAATAATCTACTTCTTAATTTCAGTACTGATTTTTTTGGTTCTAGAATCTCTATTGCATTTCTTGTATAGATACAAGTTCTTTGATTACATTCTCTATCTTGTCATATGCTTTCTTAAATATATGAATTACAGTTAATACAGAGTTTGTGTCTGATAATTCTCAATAACTGGGTCATCTGTGGGTCTATTTTTATTGTTAGTTTCTCTTTTTTTGGTCTTGTTTCTTCACATGCCTGGAATTTTTTTTGTTTAATCAAATGCTGTACATTGTGTTTGAAAAATCATAGAGGCCTTGGAGGATGTCATATTCCTCCAGAGAAGGGTTATATTGTTCTCTGTGCTAGGTCCTATGCTATTCTTTGGGAAAACAGAAGGGAATAAAATAGACAAAATCCCTACCTTCATGGAGTTTACATTCTGCTAGGGGAAATAGGCAACACCAAATGAGTAAATAATAGTAAAGTAAGTAGTGGTAAATAAAAAATAATAAATCAAGTAAGGAAATAGAGGTTAAAGTAGTGCATTTGGATTGGGTGATTTGAAGGTAACATGTGAGCTAAGCCTGAATAAAGTAAGGGGGGAGAGTCATCAAAGTATTCTGGGCAAAGGTGTTCTAGGCAGAGAAAACAATAAATGCAAAGACCCCAAGGCCTTGATAAAGGAATGGCAAGGAAGCCAACCAACGTGGCTACAGTGGAGTGATCAGCAGGAAGAGTGGCAGAAAATGTCTGAGAAGTGAGCAGATGCTGCATATTAGGGCCTTGGAGCCCATAAGTGTGGAGAAAAGAAAGAGAGATCAGATTGTTACTGTGTCTATGTAGTAAAGGAAGATATAAGACACTCCATTTTGATCTGTACTAAGAAAAATTGTTTCTGCTTTGAGATGCTGTTAACCTGTAACTTTAGCCCCAACCCTGTGCTTACAGAAACATGTGCTGTAATGAATCAAAGTTTAATGGATTTAGGGCTGTGCAGGATGTGCCTTGTTAATAGTATGTTTGCAGGCAGTATGCTTGGTAAAAGTCATTGCCATCCTCCATTCTCGATTAACCAGGGACATAATGCACTGCAGAAAGCCACAGGGACCTCTGCCCAAGAAAGCCTGGGTATTGTCCAAGGTTTCCCCTCACTAAGACAGCCTGAGACATGGCCTCATGGGAAGGGAAAGACCTGACCGTCCACCAGCCCGACACCCATAAAGGGTCTGTGCTGAGGAGAAGTAGTGAAAGAGGGAGGCCTCTTTGCAGTTGAGGTAAGAGGAAGGCTTCTGTCTCCTGCTCGTCCTTGGGAATGGAATGTCTCAGTGTAAAGCTGACCATTCCCATTCGTTCTATTCTGAGATAGAAGAAAACTGCCCTGTGGCTGGAGGTGAGATACGCTGGCAGCAATACTGCTCTGTTACTCTTTGCTACACTGAGATGTTTGGGTAAAGAGAAACATAAATCTAGCCTACGTGCACATCCAGGCACAGTACCTTTCCTTGAACTTATTCATGATACAGATTCCTTTGCTCACGTTTCCCTGCTGACCTTCTCCCCACCTGTTGCCCCACTACACTCCCCTCGCTAAGATAGTTAAAATAATGATCAATAAATACTGAGGGAACTCAGAGGCTGGCACCGGTGTGGGTCCTCCGTATGCTGAGTGCCGGTCCCCTGGGCCCACTGTTCTTTCTCTATACTTTGTCTCTGTGTCTTATTTCTTTTCTCAGTCTCTCACCCCACCTGATGAGAAATATCCACAGGTGTGGAGGGGCTGGCCCCCTTCAATAGGAGTCCATAGGAATAACTTTAGATTTTATCCTATGTGTGATGGGTAGCCATTGAAGAATTTTGAGGAAAGGAATGATGTGATCCAATTTAGATTTAAAAAGAATCATTCCTCCTGATGTGTTTGGAATACACTGCAGCAAAGCAAGAGTGTCAGTAGAGGACAAGTCAGGGGGCTGGAACTGCCGGAATCTATGCCATAGCTAATGGTGCTTTCATCTAGTGGGTTAGTAGCGAATGTCAGGAGGAACAGTTGGATTTGGGATATATTTTTGAAGGCAGAGGCATCAGATTCCGGGGGGGTTCATGTAGGGTTTGCAGAGGTGAGTTTCCATGAAACTTAGGCTTCAGGGCCTGCCATTTGCACCAGCCCATCCAAATATGCATCTTTGTATCTAGTTTTGTAGTCTTTTACTTAATGAGAACCCCTCCCTCCCCACTAATGCATACAATTCAATTTCCACAAAATGGGACTCTTTCTCTAGGGTCTGAGAGTAAAGAGGATTAAGAATTATGGTTCTTAGGTTTTGGCCAGAAGGACAGGAGGAATAGTAGTGTCATTTCTAAGCCATAGTACTCTGGAAAAAGAACAGGTTGAAGGGGATGTAGAATTCCATTCACACCAAAAGAAAAAATTCTGTTCTGTTTGTACTAAAGTCTCAACCTCTCACACTGAAAGCCCAGAACTTATCCTACTCACCCAGGCTCTTCTCTCCCTGAAGCCCGGACTTCTGTTTGTAAAATTGTCTCAAGTTATAATATCCTTTCCTGCTCTTTCTCTTTTATTGACAGTCTACTCACTCTTCAAGCCTTACCCTTCCATAATAGTTAACTTCCTCCTCTATGTTCCAGGGATTGAAAACTGGAAGCAGGTTTTGTTGATTTTTAAAATTAAATGTGAATGCTTTAAATGGGGCGAGGATTCTCCTGTTTGCTTCGTCACAATCACAGATTCACGGTAGTTGTTTCAGTCCTAGAGCCATCTGAGTTTATGACCCATGACCTCAAATCATTTTGCTTACATTTCTCCTATAGCAGCTGCACACTGGGTATGTAATACATATTTAGCAAATCAATGAAGGAACAAATGCTGTATTTCCCACACACAGATACATTTGCCACAACAATAGTTTGGTCAAGGAAAGTTTTACATATTTTCATACAATTCTTTTCTTTTTAAAAATCATGTTCTAATGGGAGCAGTGGCTCATGCTCATAATCCCAGCACTTTGGGAGGCCGCGGCAGGCGGAGTGCTTGAGCTCAGGAGTTCGAGACTAGCTTAGGCAACACGGTGAAACCTCACCTCTACAAAAAATACAAAAATTAGCCGGGCATGGTGGCATGTGTCTGTAGTCCCAGATACTTTGGAGGCTGAGGTGGGAGGATGGCTTGAACCTAGGAGCCAGAAGTTGCAGGGAGCTGAGATTGTGCCACTGCACTCCTGCGTATAAGAGCTGTCTCAAAAAAAAGAAATTGTTTCCTCTTGTTCTTTTTCTCTGTTGTTGCATTTTTTTCTTTATGGAAAATGTAAGGCAGGAGAAAAAGGATGCAAGGGTAGAGAAAAAGACTATTACTCACCTGCCTGGTGATGTAATTTGACCTAATTTCAAAATGCCCTCTGAGTTTATTTTGTGATGAAGCAAATATTTCACACTAATACCATCAGAATAGAAGGTACGTTTTATCTTTCCCTAGGCCAGGGCTATGTGATATAGGTCAGTTTCATTTTAGCTAAAAAGGAAGAAGAATTAAATAAATATTTTAACTGTGGAATATTTGAACAATTTTTATTAATAAAATCCATCCCCAAGTTCAACTCATAGGTTAGATCTTAGTTACACAGAACAAGAATAAAGTGAATTTATTGTTTATTAGATAATGTTTCTAAACCTATTTGCTGTTCACAAATACAAACACGTGGCAAAGTCCATGGGCAGCTTCCACAGAGAAGGGCTGTGGTGAGACCAGATGACTCATTGTTTGTCTGATTTAGCAGCTGTAATACATATTCTTGCCAGTGTGTTTTGTTCCCACTTAATTCCCAACTTCCCATCTTCTTTCTAATGAAAAATCAGCTTTGAAAAATTACTCACCAAACTGCCTTCAGTGAGTCGAAATCTCACAAAGTAGCCCTGAATGATTAAGTCCTTTGAATGCTAGATTTTGCTAAGTTACCCCTGGGAGGCAGTCGTGGTGAGAAAAGAAACAAATGCCCAGAAATATGAACTGACATGCTAGACCATTTCTCCTCAGTGTATAATAAAATCAGGGTGGGGCTCCAGAACCACACTTTGATTTCCCACTTATCTCTCTGACCCTTCTTTTCAGAAATTATCTTCAAGAAAGTGTTTTGAGGTATCCAGACAAAAGGCATTGTGTAAACTCATGGTGCCCAACTCATCTTTGGTCTGTGTGTAGAGGAAAGGAAGAGTTATTCTGTGAGCTTCATGAAAGAAAGAAGAGAATCCTTCTACTCCTACTCCACTTGCTTATCTGTGGAGTTACAGCATATCTGACTTTTAATTAGTTTCTAGACCCTTTACTGCTCTGGGGCTATGGCCAAGTGCGGAGAAGGTACCATCTATCTCTGTCCAGTGGCTCTGACACCTCCTATAACTTTGTCAGAAGCCTGCTTGGCTCTATTCTCTTCTCTACAGCTCTCATTCCAGGGATGTGAAAATAGATACATAGAAGTAAGCTCTTCAGGTACCTCATGGTCAAAAGGCAAGACAGTAGAAACGACAAAGCCATTGCTTGTGTTCAGCCTCTTATGGAACGGAGGGAGTCTCTTCCCAGCTACCAGGGCTGCCATCATGGGCAGGAACGAGGCAGATAAGGTGCCTCTCCAAGAGATCCACCTGGCTTTCCTCCCTAAGGTGTGGAGACCCTGCCACAGCCACCAAGGAGAGGCACCCACAGATGCTCTCCTCAGGGAAAGCAGCACCTCCTCTTCTTTGTACAGACCTAAATAGTTCAATGATGGGGCAGGGCATATGGTTGGAGCTGACTGCACTGCCATTCCCTGCTCACGTTGGACTGCTCTGAGGCTCCTCAGTGGCGATTTCTGCCATCTCCAAGGGGTAGTCTATGAGTAATAAGGAGTTTTCTCTCCTTCTTACTTGGGAGGCAGCACTTCTTATTTCTTCCTGAAGTAAAAAAAAATTATACGTATGTGTATATATATGAGTATTTCTATATATATGTATGTATGTATGAGTCTGTTCTCATATTGCTACAAAGAAATAACCTGAGACTGGTAATTTATGAAGAAAAGAGGTTTGGTTGGCTCACAGTTCTGCAGGCTGTACAGGAAGCATAGTGGCTTCTGCTTCTGGGGAGGCTTCAGGAAACTTACAATCATGACAGAAAGTGAAGGGGAAAGCAGACACATCTTACATGGCCAGAGCAAGAGAAAGAGAGAGAGGGAGGTGCTACACATCTTTAAGCAACCAGATCTCATGAGAACTCTATCACTATACAGTACTCGTGGGATGGTGCTAAGTCATTCATGAGAAACTGCCCCCATGATCCGATTACCTCCCACCAGTCCCCACCTCCAGAGTCAGGGATTACATTTCTACATGAAATTTGGTTGGGGATGCAGATCCAAGCCATATCAATGTACGTTTATGTATATATGTATATTTATGTAAAAATTACACATATATATGTATATACATATATATTTATGTATACATGTATGTTGAAATATATAATAGGAATTGGATATTGAATTTATATATTATATATAAAATATATATTGAACATAATATATATTGTATAGATGAAATGTCATACACACATTTATACATTTGTGTGTGTGTGTGTGTGTGTGTGTATGTGTGTGTGTGTGTGTGTGTATGTTTGGTGGATTTTGATTTGCATTCTTGTCTATGGCCAGATAAATAAATACCTTTTTTCTTCAATAGAGAATAATACACTCAGATCAACAAGATGACTAAGCACCAAGGTCTGACTCAGCCTTTCTTAACTGCAGTTCTGTGAGAGAATTGTTTTCTAATACCCTAATGCATTTATTGTATGTAATGAATTAACTCTATGCATCTATAATGGTACTAGTTATGAATTAACTTGCATGTATGCATCCAGAATGGTACTAGTTATGTGCCATTCTTAGTACCATCCTTGGGAGAATTTAGATATAGCCACTCACATAATTTTCTATGCCCTGACCTCTATCAAAAACATGGCCCTGGATAGTGATGAGCTGTTCTCTCCATTCAGAAGGCTAAAAAAAGGTAAGCAATAGGATTGAAAAAAACAAAAGAAAGATTGCCTAGCTTCTGCACTGCTGATACTGACTTGACAGTTTCTTCTCCTCTCCCTTCTCTCTCTCACTTCCACCCTTTCCCCCAGGGAGAGGAAGGCTTTCTGCATAGACAGTGAAGCACCAGAAGTGAGGTGCATTTGCAGCATCTGAAAGTGTGCTTTGGAAGCATTCCAGTTCAGCTCAAAGTGAAATGTGTCAGATTCACTTGCCTAGAAAGAGACTTAAAACTATCCATGTACATAGAAATATAAAATGTACTTCATTTATGACATGTGCAAATGCTGCCTGTATAATCCAAACAAATAATAAAGGTCTGAAGAAGAACTGCTTTAAAATCTGATGGATAACGTATGTTTCAAGGAAGTAATGTATGCTTTCCTTTATGCACCTGACTCTTGGCAGCCCTGTCTGGCAGTTTCGTTGAACAAACGTTTATCATCAGTAAAATACCCATTCCTTCAATATGTATTATGTAGCTACTATGTGCCAGGCAGCAGGGATTAAATGGTATCATATATATAATGGTAGCTAAAAAATGATTATGATGGTAATAATAATAATATAAATAGTTGTTATTTGCCTCCCTAGAATTCCTTTTCCTTTCCTTTTTTTTGAGACAGAGTCTCGCTCTTTTACCCAGGCTGAAGTGCAGTGGCGCGATCTCGGCTCACTGCAACCTCCATCTCCCTGGTTCAAGCAATTCCCCTGCCTCAGCCTCTTGAGTAGCTGGGATTACAGGTGCATGCCACCATGCCCAGCTAATTTTTTTGCATTTTTGTAGAGATGGGGTTTCACCATGTTTGCCAGACTGGTCTCGAATTCGTGACCTCAGGCCATCTGCTGGCCTTGGCCTCCCAAAGTTCTGGGATTACAGGCATGAGCCACCATGCTCAGCCTGCTTTTCATTTCTTTAACAACAGATCCTGATTCTGATTGCAGATTCAGCCCTTGCCCAGGGGTTTCATTCACCTGGTTCTAAGGACACATGACTCAGGCCTAACCCATAGAATATGTTGCATATTCCTCTGTCTACAATCATTGATTCAGAGATGGCACACTACCTAATCTGGTCTAATCAGCATAAATCTCAGGACTTGTTTACAAGCTACTGGAAGAGATTCTCTCTTTTCACCCAAACAGTAGCCTGAGAACATACAGGGTGAAAGCTGTCCCAGCAATCTTGTCACTGTGAAGAGAGAGCCTGGAGCTTCCAGAGAAACTAAATGGAGACTGAAAATGAAGTCAAAACAGTGGGCAGCAAATTGAAGAGGGAGAGAGAAATTGAGTCCTAATGACATAGCCATGTCTGAAGCCAGCCTAGTCCCTGGGCCTTACAGCTTCCTGAGCCGATGAATTTGCTTTCTGTCCTAAGTCAATTTGAGTTTGGTTCTATGTCGCTTGAAACTAAGGAAGAACTAATTTATATAAATGATAATGCTGATAATAATAACACAAATATAGTAGAGGGGAAGCCAGTGAAAACATTATGTGAAGGGAAAAGTCATATCAGATACTAAGACCTTACAGTTTTTATAGGAACCTTGTCTTGACAAAAGCAAAGCACAAGCAAATAAGCCAGAGTGCAGGGAAATATTATTTAGAACTTCTGGCTCACTCTGTTAGCCAAATGGAATTAACCTTGGCCCCAGTGGGGTATATGAAACAAAAACTACACACAAAATACTACTGAGGAAAAGAGTCAATCTATAAAATATTTGAAGAGGTTTATTCTGAGCCAAATATGAGTGACCGTGGCTTGTGACACAGGCCTCAGGAGGTCCTGAGAACATTTGCCCAGGGTGCTTGGGGCACAGCTTGGTTTTTATACATTTTAGGGAGACATGAGACTTTAATCAAATACATTAAAGAAATATATTGGTTTGATCCAGAATGGTGGGTCAAAGCGGGTGAGGCAAGGGGGTGAGATTTCAGCTTATAGGTAGATTTAAACATTTTCTGGTTGACAATTGGTTGAGTTTACTTAAAGACCTGGGATCAATGGAAAGGAACATCTGGGTTAATATAAAGCATTGTGGAGACCCAAGTTTTTATTTGCTGAGGAAACCTTTGGCTACTAGGCTTCAGAGAGAATAGGCTGTAAAATGCTTCTTACCAGTCTGTGTTGATGTTAATGCCAGAGAGATATAATGAGGCATGTCTGATCCCACTTCCCATCATGGTCTGAAACAGTCTCTCAGGATCAATTTTAAAAGAGCCATGGCTGAGGAGGAAGTCCATTCAGATGGTTGGAGGTGAAACAGGAAATTTTCCTTGACCCTTTTGTGGGCCTTGAGACACGGGTGCCTTGCTTACTCAGCCCACAGCTCTCAACCCCTCATGGGAGGGGAAGCACACAGGTGAGCAGGTGCAAGAGCCAGAGTGAGTGCTTTTGCGCACTGGGAGGAGCAAAATTCCATGCTGGTCTCATGGCAGGGTCTAGTGGGTAGTACCTGCGACCCTGAAAGCCCCAGAAGGAGTGTTACAGGCAGCACTCTTTTAGCTTTGCCATCCATGGATAGGTTAAGTGTTTAACTGCTCAGTGAACCCTCTGTCTTTTCGTGAGGGTAGAGGGTCAGTGTGACAGCCTTTTGTATCCCGAGCTCTTGGACAGCATCCAGGAAAAACCAGGTCACACAAATGAATTGAAAGATAGTAAATGTGGAGGATCTTATTGCTAATGGAAGTGGCTCTCATTGGGTAGGGGAGCTGAAAAGGGGATGGAGTGGAAATGTCTTCTTCCCCTAAAGTCCAGCCTTCTCCAGCCTGCGGTTTTTATGGATGCAGGACGGGGGTCAGGGTGGGCCATGGGTAATTTTGCAAAAGGCAACATTCGAGCAGGAAAACAGAAATGCATGTTCTCACTTTGGGCTGCAGTTCCAGGCTTAAGGGTGGGGCTTCACCAGGGACCTCGCCCTTCTGCCTAGAATTTCTGTGCCTTCTGTCCCTATCAGGGAGGCCTTAGAATTTTATTTTTGGTTCATAATACTAAACCCCTCAGGTTCCAGAACAGTAGAGCACTTTCCTGGTCAAGCTTGCAAGTGCCTCAGGAAGAACAGATTTTTTAAAAAGCTAGATTCAGACTAGCTTTGTGCAACCAGTATAGGTAATTCTGTCAGGTACTTGCCTTAAAGCAGTAATGTCAAAATGATAAGAAAAACAAACTTTGAGTCAGAAATATTGGATATCAGAGACAAAGTTATACTCTCTTGCATCCCTGAAGTATACCCAAATAAATGATTGCTTGGTATCCCTGAAGTATACCCAAATAAATGATTGCTTGGTATGAAGGCAAACAGACCATTATTTGGACAGCCACTGTGTTCAATCAAGTTATGTTTAGACATAGTCCCAGTTTTTAACCACTAAAATGAATTCAGAAGTGCTGTTCCTCTTCCTATATGGCACTCTTACATATCATATAACTCGGGGAACAGCCTGGAGTGCAGCAGTTTATTTACTGTCTTTTTTATTTCCTTATTTTCAAATACTCAGGTCCAAGGCTTGGCTGGCTAGGACAGTGCTTATCAATTTCTTCACTTGGTAGATTTTCCCAAGTAATGAAAAAAGCCAATAACAGGGAGAGAACTTTCCTCTTGGTATTTTAAACTTTTAGGGGGTCCCCAAATTGCACTGGATTATCTGCCACTAATTAGAGATTAGGAATTGGTGTGAAGGGAGAGAGGGAGTGTCTCCACAGAGAGGTTACACCTTCCTTTAAAAGCCATACCACTGTAGATTTTGTGTATCACTTCATGGATGCCTAAGGATGGGCACTTTTCCTTTTAAAATCAACATTGTTGAATGTTTTCTATATTATTCTGTTGGTACCTACCCTCTAGAGCACAGTGTGGCAGACTCTATTTTCCAAAGATGGCCACAAAACTTTCTCTGGCAGTGGCAGCATAACCTTGCTACTCCCGCTTTAAGAACTGAAGTCTATTTCTCCAACTCCAGCCCTTCTCCCCTTGAACCCAAGTAGACCCTTTGACTGCTTTGACCAAAAGAATGTGGAAGTTACATTGTGTTAATTCCAGGTGTGGCTCTTAAGTGTTAATTTCCTGCATCTTAGAATCCAGCTGCCTGTGTGACTACTCTGAAATCCCCTTGCTGTAAAAAGCCTCAGGTCATGTGGAGAGGCCGTGAAAGATAAGACACTGTGTGTAAACAGAGAGGGTAAGGAGCCAGGCCTGTAGGTGAAGGAACCATTTTGGAACACCAGCCCAGTCCAGTCTTCAGATGGTTCCAGAGCCACCCACCATGTGACTGCAACTGTGTAAGAAAGCCCAAGAGGGAACCACCCAGCTGAGCCCAGTCAACCCCAGAATGATGAAATATAATAGTACGTTACTGTGTTAAGCTTCTGAGATTTGGGGGGTAGTTTGTTAGATGCACCAACAGACCAACAGATACCTAGAAATATAGGTATCATCATAAGCAACAGAAGCTAATTCTGGCTGAATGAAGCAGAAAAGTTTTCTGAAAGGACAGTGGGTAGCTCTTGAATCATCGTGAGGCCTGAAGATCTAGCTCTAGACTTTGCAGGAAAGAATGCTCAAAGCTATGACCCCAACCATCTGGGGAGCAAAGCACTGACATCGCCATGACAGATATGACCGAGAGCTCCTGGCCCCTTGGTTTTGGTGTTACTAGCTCCCATGCCAGACTCTTGGCATGGGAAACTGATTTACATTCAGTAGAAACCATACTTCGAGTAGGCATAAAATACTACAAATTTTCACTTTCAGTATAATTCAGTAAATCACAGAAGATATTCAATGCTTTATTATAAAACAGACTTTGTGTTAGATGATTTTGCCCAACTGCAGGTTAATGTCAGTGTTATGAGCATATTTAAGGTAGGTTAGGCTAAGCTATGATGTTCAGTAGTTTAGGTGTATTACATGAATTTTTTACTTATGATATTTTCAACTTACAATGGGTTTATCAGGATGTAACTCCATCATAAGTCAAGGAACATTTGTATACATAAAGGAATATTTATTTTGCATTATGCCATTTCTGCA
Source organism: Homo sapiens (assembly GCF_000001405.40). Taxonomy (NCBI): domain Eukaryota; kingdom Metazoa; phylum Chordata; class Mammalia; order Primates; family Hominidae; genus Homo; species Homo sapiens. The sequence goes on from NC_000005.10 coordinate 115,356,884, forward strand.
TTGTTATAATATTTGTCTCTCTGATACATCTAGTGTTCTAAAAAATTAACATAAAATTATCATTCACACTAAAATTAACAGGGCTTATGGGAAAAATAATATTAGAATCACATCTCTTAAAATCTATGCATATTTGTAACCAGGGCATCAACAAAAATGGGAACAATACTAATAAGAATATTAGCACAGTAAAAAAAAAGTGAAATTCCTAATTAAAAAAAAATCACAGTGTAGAGGCTGCTGAGCTATGGTGGCAAGGGCAAAATGCCCAAAGATTGGGAAAAACCATGTAATGAACACTTTCCAGACAGAACAGTGGGTAGAACTGAGCCAAAAATAAAAACAAGGGGTGAATGGACATCACAGGCACTACTATATTCCTCACTTGCCATGTTCAGCTGTGGGGGTACACTCTGGGACCAGCTACTGTTACTCATGGAGGAGAACACTAATAGGCTGGCAGAGTCCAACATGACTTCCATGTTGTACTACCATTATTCCACTCTTTAGCAATCCCATAGGAGCTAATATTTACAAAAACAGGACTGTAGCAGTCGCTCATGCCTGTAATCCCAGCACTTTGGGATGCCGAGGCAGGCAGATAACCTGAGGCCAGGAGTTCAAGACCAGCCTGCCCAACATGGCAAAACTCGTCTCTACTAAACATCCAAAAAATTAGCCGGGCGTGGTGGCAGGCGCCTGTAATCTCAGCTACTTGGGAGGCTGAGGCAGGAAAATAGCTTGAACCTGGGAGGCAGAGCTTGCAGTGAGCTGAGATTGTGCTACTGCACTCCAGCCCGGGCAACAAGAGCGAAACTCCATCTCAAAAAACAAAACAAAACAAACAAACAAAAAAATATATATATAGGACTGTAGCAGAACAAAATGTATGTCTGTATGTGTGTATAATTTCACATAACCTCTGCCAACTAGGTGTTATTATATTATTCTCATTTTATAAATGAGAAAATGGAAGCTCAGAGAATAAGAAATCACGCCTATTGCAAACAGATCTAAGTGTTAAGCTGAGACTTGAAGCTTGTACCGTCAGGTTTTAAGATCAACATTCTTTTTACCCCATCATGTGAAATGTTACTAAAAATCCAGCTTCCACTTTTAGAAATTTAGACCTACCTCTCTCCAGCCTCCTCTTGGCAAGCAGATATGGCCCTAATGAGACTGGACTTACATAGTCAATGGGGACTAAACTCTGATTTTTTTTTATCTTGCCCAAATTCCTATCTAAGGGGTCTGGGGAGTCATGCCCTACAAATAATAAATTCTCATCAGATGGGCTTTATTTAACCCTATATATCATGACTTACTTTCCAACCTGACTCTGGCATAACATTGCAAGACAAGGAAGAAAATCAAAATATTTTACACCAAAACGTGTTTCTTTGCCATGTTTTGAAATGGCCCTGCAAAGCTGTTCTTTGTGGGGAAAAATCTGTATCTGTAAAGAATCTCTATTAACATAGCTGGAAGATCTTTTTCTTCCAGACCTTCCCAATACTGAAGAGATTAACTAAGATCTCAATAGGAGACATTTGTCATCTATTGTTTCTAAGGGCAGCCACTATAAGACTTCAAAAGAACTTTGGTCTCCACAGTCTTTATCTTAACCTGAACATTCCCTTTCTATCAATCCCAGGTCCTTAGACAAACTCAACCAATTGTCAAACAGAAAATGTTTAAATTCACCTATAGCCTGGAAGCCCCCTGGCTTTGAGTTGCCCTGCCTTTCTAGATCAAACCAATGTATTTCTTACATGTATTTGATTGATGTCTCATGCCTCTCTAAAATGTATAAAACCAAGCTGAGTCGTGACCACCTTGGGCACATGTTCTCAGGACCTCCTGAGGGCTGTGTAACAGGCCATGGTCACTCATATTTGGCTCAGAATAAATCTCTTCAAATGTTTTACAGAGTTCAATTCTTTTCATCAACATCAACAATGTCTTTGAACCTGTAAACCAAAAATAAAATTCTAAGCCCCACCCCAAACCATCTGAATGCACTCCCTCCTCTCAGATAGGGCACTCCAAAGTTACCTGAAAAACTGGTTCAGGCAAGGGTGGAAAATTGGTGGGGGATTGGGAGTGGGGGTTGAACATGCTTCATTTTACCCTTCTATCTTTTGGCATTTGGGAAGAGATGACCTGCATTTAACATCAACACAGATTTTTTTTTTTTTTTTTTGCAGTTGCAAGATTTAATAGAGTGAAAACAGGGCTCCCATACAAAGGGAGGGGACCGAAAGAGGGTAGCCCTTGCTGGCTAGAATGCCTGGGTTTATATTCCGATCATTGTCCCTCCCGCTGTGCTCTCAGGCAATAAATGATTGGATATTTCCTTAGCTCCTGTTTTTGCCTAATTAGCATTTTAGTGAGCTGTCTTTACTACCTGATTGGTTGGGTGTGAGCTAAGTTGCAAGCCCCGTGTTTAAAGGTGGATGCGGTCACCTTCCCAGCTAGGCTTAGGGATTCTTAGACACAGATCTTAAGCCTGATAAGAAACATTTATAATCTATTATCTCTGAAGCCTGCTACCTGGAGGCTTCATCTGCATGATAAAACCTGGGACTCCACAACCCCTTATCATAACTCAGATATTCCTTTCTACTGATAATAACTCAACCAACTGCCAATCAAAAAATATTTAACTCTACCTACCTCTAATTGGAAGCCTTCCCCGATCCTTCAAGTTGTCCTGCCCTTCCCGGTAGAACAAATGTCAATCTTACATGTACTTATTGATATATTATGTCTCCCTAAAAATGTGTAAAAGCAAGGTGTATCCTGACTACCTTGGGTACATGTCATCAGGACCTCCTGAGGCTGTGCCATGGGTGTGTCCTTAACCTTGGCAAAATAAACTTTCTAAATTGATTGAGACCTGTCTCAGATACTTTTGGATTCACAAACCTAAAGATTGTTTCACATTGATTTCCTCCAAGGTAAAGACTTGGTTTCTTGGTTCCTTGCACCCTCCAGTGACAGCCTCAGCCTGCTCAGACCTGACTTCATAAGTCCATGAAACCAGCAGGTGACTTTTTTCTGCTTTGGTAGTTAGCAATTAAATGATTGCTGCTTTAGAAGTATAACTCTATTTTCCAAAGGGAGTTTCTAATCCCTTTGCATAATGTGATATTTTTCTTGTAGAATAAACATTTCCCACTTCTCAAAGATATCAAGAGAAAGAAAATTTTTCTATTGTAAGCATAGATCTCTTCTAATTTTCCTCCAATTTATGCCTAAACCAACTAGTTGAATAAATAAAAATGCCTGAGTGGAGGCCTGCCAAGGAGTGGATAAAGTTCAGTCTTCTGAGTCTAAAAGCACCCACCAAATACTCTACAGCTGATAACACTCAGTAACACTTAGAAGATGATGTTCACAGTCCAGCCAGTCAAATCAGGAGCTGCGATGGGCATAATGAATGAAATGGCTCCATGTTAAATGGACACAAGTTGGCAGCCAGATTTAAAACCCTTTGAAAACATTAACCTCCTGGCCAGGCCTGGATTAAAAGAGGATTGTTAACCATACTTTCTAACAAAGCTATGCAGCTGAGATATATTCACGGGAAGGGATCCGAGACTGTTACCACTGGATAAACTCCTACCACTTAGCAAACAAGAGTGATGAGTCATTTAGTGCATTACTTTTGCATTGCCCTAAATGATCCTCTCAGGGATTTGGATAATTGATGTCCTTCTTAACACTTGCCTTTGCTTAGGGCAGTGGCTCTCATTGTAAGTACGCACAGAATCACTCGGAGGGTTTGTTAAAACAAGATTGCTGGCTTTGCTACCAAGAATTTCTGATTCTATACATCTGGGGTAGGCCTGGCGAATTTGCATTCCTAAAAGTGCCCAAGCGATGTTTTGAGGACTACAGGTATATCTCAGAGATACTGTGTGTTTGGTTCTAGATAATAAGAGAATTATCACAATAAAGTGAGTCATACAACATTTGGTGTTTCCTAGCGCACACAAAAGTGATGATTACTATATTGTAGTCTGTTAAGTGTGCAATATAGCATTATGTCTAAAAAATGTACATACCTTAATTAGGAAATGCTTTATTGTTAAAAAAAATGCTAGTGATTATCTGAGCCTGCAATGCGTTGTAATCTTTTTATTGGGGGAGGGTCTTGCCTCAGTGAGGCTGCTAACTGATCAGGGTGGTGGCTGCTGAAGGTTGAGGTGGCTGTGGCAATTTCTTAAAATAAGACAACGTGAAGTTTGCCACATCACTTGACTGTTTCTTTCCTGAAAGATTTCTCTGTAGCACGCAATCCTGTTTGATAACATTTTACCCACAGTAGAACTTCTTTCAAATATGGAGTCAATCTTGTACATCTGCATCAGAGCTCTCGGGTGACCAGGTGCATTGTCAATCAGCAACAATATTTTGAAAGGAATCTTTTTCTTCTGAGCAGTAGGTCTCCACAGGAATAGGGCTATTACACTTCCTCATCCTACATGTTTTCACAGGAGTAGCACTTTTAATTTCCTTCAAGAACTTTTCCTTTGCATTCACAACTTGGCTAACTGTTTGGCACAAGAGGGTTAACTTTCAGCCTGTCTCATTTTAAACATGCCTGCCTCACTAAATGTAATCATTTCTAGCTTTTCATTCAAGAAATTCATTAAGAATTTCATTAATTCCCTGGAACACTTAGCAGCCATTATGGCTTTATTTCTTAGCCTAATTTAAACACTATTGTATCTCACAGGATAGGGAGGCCCAAGGAGAGGGAAAGAGATGGGGGAACAGCCAGTTGGTAGAGCAGTTAGAACATACACAACATTTTATCAATCAAGTTCACCATCTTATATGGTGATGGTTCATGGCATCCCAAGACAATTATAATAGTAACAGCAAAGGTCACTGATCACAGATCACATGACAGATATAATAGTGAAAGTTTGAAATATTGTGAGAATTACCAAAATGTGACACAGAGACATGAAGTGAGTGCATGTGGTTGGAAAAAATGGCACTGATAGATTTGCTTGATGCAGGGTTGCCACAAACCTTCAGTTTGTAAAAAAAAAAAAAAAAAAAAAAAGCGCTATCTGCAACATACAATAAAGTGAAGCTCAATAAGACAAGTAGGTTGTATTGTCCTGGAGAAAGCCAGAGCACCAGGAAGACTCCAGCTCCATTTTGTTCCAAGTGGCCAATCTGAGATAAATATTCTTTAAGCTTCTTTGAAATCAGTGGGTTTTCAAAGAAATCATCATTTTTTAAAAGCCATACATATTTCTTCGTATATGAGCTGCCTGTCTCTGTCCTAAAAACATTCTGTTTTCGTTATTTTAAAAGATGGAGAAAGAACAGACCCATTTCTGGCTACTAGAAGAATGCTTACTCTCCTCTCGTGAGTGCTAGCAGGCCTAATGTGTTTCCAGTTGTGTGTGGGAGTATGTGTGTGTCACAGAACAAAGTTGTTTTACTCGTGCACGATGTATATTCATATAGGAACAATTTGATAAAAGCATCTGTCATAAGAATTCTAAAGAATAGGCCGGGCATAGTGGCTTATACCTATAATCCCAGCACTTTGGGAGGCCGAGGTGGGTGGATCATGAGGTCAAGAGATTGAGACCATCCTGGCCCACATGGTGAAATCCCATCTCTACTAAAAATACAAAAAATTAGCTGGGCATGGTGGTGCGCACCTGTGGTCCCAGCTACGCAGGAGGCTGAGGCAGGAGAGTGGCTTGAACCCGGGAGGCAGAGGTTGCAGTGATCTGAGATTATGCCATTGCACTCCAGCCTGGTGACAGAGTGAGACTCTGTCTCAAAAAAAAAAAGAATTCTAAAGAGTATTCTTGCTTAATCTATCCTTTTTTTGTTAATTTCCCTGAAGTACTTTAAAGCAAATATCAGGTGTCTTCTCATTTCATCCTGCAAACTTTGGAATATCTCTTTGAAAACTATGGACATTTTCTTATATGACTGCAATGCCAATATCTTAATCAATGAAATTAACAATTCCTTGGTATCATTTGATAGCAGTTTATGTATAAGTTTCCCTGATTGCCTCAGTTCAACTACAACCCTTCCACCCCATCAGTTTGGAGTAGTCAGAATTTAAATAAGGTCTGTGCATCGCATTTGGGTATTATGTCTCTTAAGTATCTTTTAATATGGAATAAACCCTTCTCTTTCATCTTTTTCTTCTTTTCCTCCTCCTCCTACTTCTTTTTCTTACTTTTTAATCCCAATGATGTATTGGAAAAACAAGGTCAATTGTCTTGCAGAATGTTCTGTTGCATGGCTTTGACTACTTCTTGGTGGAATCGTTCCTCTACCCATGTATTTCATATAAACTGGAAGTTAGATCTACAAGATTGATTAAATTTAGGTTAAACTGTTTTGGCAAGAATATCTGATCGGTGATGCGGCACCGCACCAGGAGATCCATGTCTAGTGGTCTTGCTCTTAGAGATGTTGAGTTTCCAGTGAGTTCAGGTAAGGCCATCTTGATCCCCACTTTGTGCAATTTCCTGTCAACATATTGTCTCATGGTTTCACCTGTTGGTGATCATTCAGCAGAGCTCGTGGGTTCCTAGATAGATATCATGAAGGAAATCAGAATTTCCTTCATGGCTAGTGTCACCCCCTTTCCTCTCCCTTGCCTCAGCAGACTGCAGTGTGGGGGCATTGATGTCAATTAGTGCAGGGCAGTGGGAGTAGTCTAGGACTGGAGTGCTCCTATTTTGGAAGGTGACTTTCCAGCTCATTCCGAACTTCCCACCAGCACTGCTTTAAATGTTCCAAGATGGTGGGCAGTGTCACTTAAGGGTGCTTATGCTCAGAACATTATCTCATAGTATTTACTAGAACAATGAGTAATTGGGGGAGGTCTCCATGGCTTCCTGGTCACTTCATTTTCAGGATACTTTCTGAAGCAGGATATTTCTCTGGCCCCTTTGTGGGACTCACGACAGGAGTGCCTCATTTACTCAGTGTGTCGCTCTCAACTCCCCCCAGGAGGGAGCATGCAAGCGAATGAGTGTGGGAACTGGACCAAATGAGCACTGGAACCAGCCACTGCTTCAGCACCCATGAGATAAAACTCTACTCACTCAGACCCACTGTGTTCCACCCTTCGTGGGAGGGAGTGCAAGGTGAGCAGGTGCAGGAACTGGCCAGATGCTTTAGCACTGGCAGGAGCAAACTCTGTGCAGGCCCCATGGAGGGCAGAGTGCCAGTGCAACCGCCTTTTGTATGCACAATTGTGGCTTCCGAGCTCTTGTCCAGCATCCAGGAAAAATGAGGTTGCATGAATGAACTGAAAGATGATAAATGCAGGGGACTTTATTGCCAATGAAAGTAGCTCTCAGTGGGAAGGGGAGCTGAAAAGGGGACAGAGTGGGTAGGTAATCTTCCTCTGAAGCCCAGCTGTCTCCGGCAGGATGCTTCTCCGAAGTTATATGCCATCAAGCTGTCCTTCTGAAGTCAAGCTGCTTCTCTCCAATGTCCAGCTGTAGTCCTGTCTACCAGCTGAATCTGGGGTTTTTATAGGCACAGGATAGGGTGGAGTGGGAGCCATGGGTGGTTTTAGGAAAAGACAACATTTGAGCAGGAAAACAGGGGTATAAGTTCTCACTTTGGACTGTGGTTTCAGGCTTTTCAGCATAAGGATGGGGTTTCCCTGGGGACCCATCTTTTTCTGCCTAGAATTTCTCTGCCCTGTCCCTATCACTTCTATTATGTGCTTTGCATGTGGCAAACATACTTCTGTGCTGAGAATCTCAGCCACATTTCCCTATGTTCAGGGAAGTATTACATGTTTCCCAGGATATATTTGGAAGCTCAATACTTTCCTCTTCAATGCATAGTGGTTCCTGCCCATTTCCTTCTTTTACTTAACAATAAAGGGACTAATATGTCTGTTATTATTTTTTAATGTCAGGAAATCCCAGTTATTTCTCACAGTGGCAACTCTTTTTCTTTGGGAAAAAAACCAAGGTTCTCTAACAGTTGCTCTGACTATAACTAAACTGTAAAGATAACTTTTAGAGCTCATCGAAGAATTAAAGAGGCACCTCATTTGCTTATAATGCCTTTTATGTGTGGGTCACTGTACCTATTTCTGGAGGACAGAATTTGGTCTATAGGAACATGGTCAGGCCCAGACCTAATTCTGAGTAGGAAAAACATATCTTGGCCATGACCTTGAGCCCCCTGCCTTTCCTCCCTTCTCTTGTTCCCTCACCATTAAATGCTTGTTAGCTGCCTATATTGCTGCTCTTGACTTTCTGCTCTCATCACCAAGGCAGACAACTGGTTTTCTTTTCTTTCCATTTTCACTGCAGACATTGAAGTTCTGCAGTTTCCAGCAAGCAAATCGGGCACAAAAATAGTCTCCTCCAGTTGAGTAGGTGATGGTTACCTGGATGGGAGTAATACATAGGAGGCTTGTCACAAGAAGAAAAGTACCATCTTATAGGGCAGACAGTTGATTTATAAGCAAAGAAAATAAAGAAGGAATGCTTGCATGATTTTAGATGGACCAAAGGAAAATATACCACCAGGGTGCAGGGTGTCATCTCCTCAATTCTTTTCCTGCTCAGTGGCCTCTTCTCCTTTTTGTAAAGAGTCGTAACTTTCCAATTCACCAAGTATACCCTCAGCCTAGGATGATGGTAAGAAAGAGGATGGTGGGTTTGGGTGGAGGAGGAGGTTCTTACTCTCAGGATACTGGGCCTCTTTTCCCTAATCTCATGTCTGGAGCTCTCCATTAAAGGTCTGATCTCCAACTTAAACTGGACTCTAGATCTCTGGGTCTGAAGGATCAGCCTGGCTCCAATTAATGCTAAAGACCTGCCCTTTCCTCTTCACCCCTGGGCTGTGCTCTCTCTCTCTCCATCCATCCATTATCTATCCATCCCTCTATCCATCCATCCATCCATTTTATTGGGGCTGTCACTCTGGAGAACCCTTACTAATACACCAGCCCTGAGCCTGTTCTGCAAGGTGGTGTATGCAGGAGGGCCTGAGAAGCAAAAAGACTGGTTCCTATGTAAGGCTCCGGAATCCCTTATCCTTTCCTTTTCTCCTCATTTTGGGCTCCTCTCTTTTGATTATTTTTCTCCTATCTGCTCCATGAAAGGACACAAAACTCCTCCAAGGAGTGCTGGTAAGTGTAGGCTGGTGGAGCCTCCCCAGAAATACACAGAGCTGAGCATTACCCTTGAGGGATTGGGGGAGACCCACCATCCCACCATGTGCTCCATGACTTCTTTATGATAGTACCAGGCCTTGGGCCCATTGATCAGCTTGAAATCTGATGACATTGAATTGCTCATTGGGCCTGAATTTGGAGTTGCATGGGGCACCTCCCACAGAGCCTGTAGCCTAGTGGCCAAGTGTCTGCTAAGCTATGAGGGCAGCTAATAGCCTTGCCAAGGCCTACCTCACTAGGGTAAATGAGTTTGTTGCTATGGCAAAGTGTAACTGTCTTTGTGCCTATGAACTGTTATGTGAGCCTATCAAGGAATGTCAAGCTGTTTCCAGTTGGCCAAGTTCTATTCTGTCTGCCCTGATGCTTCAAGGAGATAAAAGACCTCGGCATTCTCTACAGCTTGCTGGATATGAATCATCACATGCATCCTGCTTTCAAGCAGCTGCTGCATAATCCTCTGCAGGCACAGGGTGGAATGCAGGCTTAGGACAAGAGAAGGAGAGCCGTGGGCAAGTACTATACATGTTGTCCTATGTCCGAAATTGGTGGACCACTTTAGTACTAGAATGTTTAATTTTACTTTTCTCAAGAAATAAAACATCCTAAGGCAGTCCTAAACCATTCTGACTTTTAAAAAGGAATAATAATGAATCTAGAAGAAGTAAAACTTCCACTCAAGTCTATACTTTTCCCACTAGGTTGAGAAGGTGGACAGGGAGGGGCAGTGTAGGCATGGGTTGGAGACAAGTTGGAAGGATATCATAAGGAAGAGAGGAAAAAGTGCATTTTGTATTGTTCCAGAAGCCAAAACAAAGGAAGAAGAGTTAGAAAGCAGCAATTTTTTCTTGGTATAAACAAATGTGTGTTTGTAAAAAAGGGTTTTTTAGTGTGGTAAAATATATATAACATAAAACTTACAATTTTCACCATTTATAAGAGCACAATTCAGGAGCATTAAGTACCTTGATATTGTGGTGCAACCATTGTCACCATCCATGTCTACATGGGTTTTATCTTTCCAAACAGAAATTCTGTACCCTTTAAATGATAACTCCCCATTTCCCTTCCCCCAGCCCCTTGGAATCACCATTCTACTTTCTGTATCTCTGAATTTGACTGTTTCAGCTGCCTCATATAAATGGGATCATATGATATATATCCTTTTGTGTCTGGCTTTTTTTTACTTAAGAACATCAAACATTATGATGTTTTCAAGGTCCATCCACATTATAACATGTGTCAGAATTTCCTTCCTTTTTAAAGGCTGAATAATATGCTACTTTATGTATATACTCAATTTATCTATTCATTTATCAATGGACATTTGGATTGTTTTTACTTTTTGGCAATTATGAATAATGCTGCAATGAACATGGGTGTACAAATATCTGTCTGAGTCACTGCTTTTAATTATTTTATTTTGGGCATTAAATATATTTTCTAATGAACTTAACTAGAAGAAAGATCTGTCTGCCCTTGAAGTGTAGAAATTCTCCTTTACTGGGGCTAATAAAGTTTCTGGAAAATGCCCAGCCTTGAAAGACACCAGAGAAGAGAATGCCATCTCTAAATAGGATATTTGACTAACCTAGTGACTCTTAAACCAGGTTCTACTTCTAATCACATGAGTAGCACCTAGAAATTATAGCTGCCTAGGAATCTGATGGACACCACATTAACAAGGTAATTAAACGTAACATCACAAATTATGAGGCAAACTGACATCATGTGTCTCCTAGTATGACATAGATCATTATTATACTGTAGCATTCTTGCCCAAAATGCTCAATCTGAATCTAATCATGAGGAAACAAACCCAAATCGAGAGACGTTCGGCAAAATAACAAAAATGTCAAGGTCGTTAGAGAAAAAAAGAAAAGATTGGGTTCTGTCCTAGGTTAGAGGAGACTAAAAAGACATGAAAACTAAATGCATTGCAGATTCTTGATTGGACCCTGAGTGAAAAACCAACTACAAAGGATATTATTGGAAAACTGGGAAACTTTGAACATGGATTGCTAGATAGTAGTATTGTTACATTGTTAAATTTCCTGCATGATAATTATATTGTGGCTATGCAGGTGAATATCCTTGTTCTTAGAATAAAAATGTGTCAATATCCTTTTCTTAGAAAAAAATGTGTCAACATATAAGGGTGGAGTGAAATTACATTTGCAACTAATTATCAAAAGATTCAAAAATATAGATGTGCGTGTGTGTGTGTGTGTGTGTGTGTGTGTGTATAGGCACATAAATATATAAAGAGATATAAAACAAATGCGAGAAAATGTTAATGACAGTGAATCTAGGTAAAGTTTATACAGTTTTTTAATTGAACTTTTCATGATGATGGCAGTGGCGGGCCATCTGGACCAGCCACTACCATCATGCTGGCTGCAGTGGTGAGGTGTGGACAGTGGCAGCAGGAGTGGCTGTGGGAGCAGCATTGGCAGTGGTAGGAGCCCTGTGTCCTGCAAGTTGAGGCTGAGCCTGGGTGTTGTCACAACCTGGCCAGGTGTACAGACACTTGGGACAGCGCTGACATGCCAGCCCCCTTCTTCCTTGGCTCCCTTCAGACTTTGGGTGCCAACGAGCATGGGAGGGAAGCCGAGGAGGTGCTAAAGGCAGCTCGGTGCTGGCCTGCCAGCGCCCCTCAGCACAAACAGCCTGGGCACCATGGATGATGGAAGGAGGCAGACAGGCTCCTGGGCAGAAAGGGGCAGGTCCTCAGTGAAGCCCCATCTTCAATCTGGGGAAGGCCTGAAGCCTGGGGGCCAGGCTGCCAATCATGCAGACCAGAGTGGGAACTTCTGGTGCTTTTTCCGGGCCCACCCACGGCCATCCACGGACCAATCTGCACGCACTTCCTCCCCTCTGAGGCATATAAAAGCTCCAGACTCAGCCGGATTCGAAGAGATGAGAGGATGACCAGCTGCAGAGAGGAGCTACCCTCTTTGCTGAGAGTTGAAGAGATGATGGGATAACCTGTCTGCAGAGAGGAGCTACCCTCTCTGCTGAGGGCTGAACACTCATTGGGACGACCTGCCTAGCAGAGAGGAGCTGCTCACTGTGGGTCTCCTCTGAGCTATTCTATTGCTCAGTAAAGCTCCTGTTTGTCTTGCTCACCCTCCACTTGTCTGCATACCTCATTCTTTCTGGATGTAGGACAAGAACTCAGGACCCACCAAATGGCAGGGCTCAAAGAGCTATAACCAAACAGGGCTGAAACACAGTCCTTGCTCACCATGTTACCGGTGACAAGAAGGAGAGAAGAGCTGCAGCCCTTTGGGGAGCCCAGACCTAGGAGCTCCCGGAGCCAGGGCTGTGTCACCTTCTTTAGGGCTCTGTGGTTCCTGGCATCTCCAAGCTTCTGGGCACCACCATGTTGCCCGGTGTCAGCCATGGAAGCTGCTTGCTGTATGCCTAGCCCAGCTGCAGCCTCACAGGGAGCCTGTGCCTGTACCAGCGCCTGGAGCTGCCCGCCCCACTGCCGCCCACATGTGTGGCTGTGTGCAGTGGCTGGACCCCACCCTCGATCACACACTCCTCGCTGCTCTGTGCCTGGTTTGCCCTTGGCAGGTGTAGGATCCAGGCCGGTAGCATGAGCTGAGCACAGCCTGCTAGGCCAAGCGGGCAGAATGAACCCAGTGGGCCCGAGCAAAACTCGGACAGAGGAACCACTGGCCACAGAGGTTTCCAGCTGGCAAAGTGACACCCCAAGGATCCCGTAACAATGTTTCTGTTGGGTTAAAAATTTTAAAATAAACAGCTAGAGGCAAAAAGACAGTTTCCTGAACTCTCTCTGAGAATCTGAAGCTCCTGGGGCAGGAACTTGTATTTTTGGTGGGACCATTGTGAGACCCTGAAGAGACCCACAGAGCACCAATCTGCAAGTCAACGTGTGGGAATGACTAAGCTCAGTGTCTTCCTTGGGACCTTTCTGATGTAAATTCTGGAATTTTCTTGAAAGCAGTATTTCTAAACAGTGGGGAAAAGAGGGATTATTCAATATTTGATAGGCTAATGAGAAAAAAGAATCTGGATGCCTACCTTTTACTGCAAAATAAGTAGCAGATGGGTCAGATGTTTAAATAAAATTTTTTAAAAAGCACCAGTGAAAGTACCTGAAGAAAATATAAAATAATCTTGAAATTCAATCTTGGAATGAAGAAGGCCTTTCTAAGGAAGAAATAAAACATAGAAACACAAACAATGGATAAAATTGTCTACATAAGTGTAAAAAAATTTCTTCACAGCCTAAAATACTTCAAAGAAATACAAAAGACAAACTACAACTAGGAACTATTATTAACAAAACAGATGGCTAGGGCTAATCTACTCCATATATAGATAAGTTTTACAAATCAAAAAGAAATAGCAGTTACCGAAAACCAGTGGAAAAATGGGTGAAGGATGAGTGAAGAGAGTTCATAGAAAAATAGGTACAACTACCTCTTACACATACTAAAGAGTTGGTCCGTTGCTACTCATAATAAGACAAGTAGACATTAAAATTAAACTGAGACAGCATCTTTCAATGTCTAGATTGGCAGTGTTCCTAAAGTCTGACAGAGCACTATTTTACAGAGGCTATGGGGAAACAGGCGATTTCAGGCACTGTTGGTAGGCCTGCAAATGATGAAGCCTCTTTAGAGGTGATGTCGGCAACATCAATCGAAACATTAAATGCACATGCCTTTTCCGCTCAGAAATTTCACGTCTAGGAATCTACTCAACAGATATTCATGTATGTGTGGAAAGATATAAGATAGTAACTGAAGCATTATTTAAAATCAAAGTCTAGAATAGCCTACAAGTCCATTAACAGAACATTAAATCAATATTAGAACACCTGTATAATGGAACATCTATATACTGTACATCTCTTAAAAATTAGCTGAATATGTGCTGATATGGGATTTTCTATAAGATCCGTAATGGAGAGAAAAGCAAGGTGGAGAACAGTTTGTATAGTAAGTGCCCTTTTATGTTACAAATGCGTGTCTATATTTTATTGTTTTATAACAGCAAGATGCTATGGAAACTATATAATAAACCATTAATAGTAACTATCTCTGACTTGGATTCTGTGGGAGGATAGTCTTTTCAATTCTTCAAATAAGTAAACATTTTTTCAGTGATTGTATTTAGGGTTGGTGAGGGCATAAGAATATAGATATTCTCATAGACTGTTAGTGAATACACAAATTAATCCAGCCTTTTTAGGGGCTAATTTGACAATGCCTCTGAATTTTAAAAAACGCTTATACCCTATTACCCAACACTTGGAATCTATCCCACAGAAATAAACAAAATCATAAAATTATTAGTACCCAGTGATAATTTTGGAGCCAATTAAGAAATTAACCAATATGAATTTAAAAATTGAGAGGCCATGATACAAGGTCTGGTGGTCTATTTAGATGTGGGATTTAATGTCAGAAATTGTGGAAATTATGATTCCTAATAGACTGTAAATATTATGAATCCTGATCACGTATAATAAAATGACTAACAAAAAAACAGAGGATAAAGAGAAGCAATGTGAGTGGATAGGTGATAATTCTAATTATTATATGTCTCAGCAAAATGACTTAACTCAGCCTGTGAAATTTGAAGCATGTAGATAAAAAATAAATTTGCCAACTTAATGCTTTATATAATCTCTTGCCCTCCCTTGCTTTTCTTTTTTCTATAAACTACTTTTCTAATTTTATAGGGCTAATATAGGAAATAATATTTCTGTGGTAAAGAAACATTTATACAACTTTCATCAACCCTTCAGGTTACTCAGGGCCATGGCACACACTGGTGTACATTGTACACTGCCCAGATCTAAGAGGTGCCCCTCTAGGGGCTGTAACATGGATGAGGGCCCTATGGTTGGGCAGTGCTCATCCATACAACTGTACATGGCAGCCACAGTTTACTACAGTTCTCTTTTCTTCTAATATTTAAGCATAAAGTTATTACTTTTCTATTAAACATAAAATGTATAAAATGGCCCATTGAACCTAGTATATTTCTTCAGAGCAACAGTACAATGGGATGGTTACAACACAGATTTGGAAGTTTTGCTGGCTGGATTTGACCATCAACTAGCTGAGTGATTTTGTATAAATGACTTATCCTCTTTGTGTTCCAGCTTCCTCATCCATGAAACAGAATAATTATAGCTCAAGCAGTAGTTGTGAAGATTTAATGATGTAATCTGTGTAAATTGCTTAAGCTGAGAAGATAAATCAGCAGCCAAATATGTTCAACCTGACTGTAACAAGAGAAAGCAAACGAAGGCCTCTGCTGTTCAGCATTGGTTTGTGATCCTGAAAGGGGTGGCTCATTTGGTTATAGTTCACTAGAGAGTTCCGCCCACCTTAGGAATTTGCCATTGTTCCAATTTTCCATGATTTGAAATTGCAGTATGAATCTTCCCACATGAACCTTTTAAATTCCCAGCAAACACAATCAATAGAAGAAATCTTGCATTTTGCTTTTCTTAAAAAACATTATTTTTAAAGATTGTGCATAGTAGCTACTTCAGCACCATCATTCTGTAGTTATTAAGTAAATGCAAATTTTTAATATTTGTGTATTGATCTGAGGAGTTTTAGTGCTGGTAGCCTGTTGTGGTTGATTTGAAAATTTGACAAAAAACAGGTGTCTGGTGAATTGTGACTTGCCCTCTGTGGCCTGCACAGGACTCAGTTGCAGCTTTTTACTGTATTAAGCTCATATGTCACCAATAAAAAGTGATACAAGTGTAAACAGCAGATTGTAGACATGGCCTTATCCAATATTGTAAGGCACTTTCTGTGTACATTATTTATTGTTTACACCTGGGAACACAAATTTATTCTGTCTTGAGAATAGTTCAGAGATTTCATTCATTAAGGAGGATGCTGTGAAAGTATCATCAAAATCCAATATCTTTGGGCCTGAAGTTCAAACATGCCTTACAATATTAAACATGCCTTAAATATTAAACACCCTAATTGGTGGTGGCCATCACAGAAACCCACACATGCATTTTTGCAGAATTTAGCGCAGATGGTTATCTCTTCTGGCTGAATCACTCAGTGTCACCAGGGCTTTCAGGTGCTTCCCCTTACCATTTGACCTGAGCCCGTCATCTGCATGCCTGTCTGCTTCCCAGCCATGGGCTGAAGGGGCCTGAGCACATACACATCTATGAGGGATATCTTGATATATTTTTTTCAGGAAAAAAAGTACGCATAATTCGTAAGGCTGAGTTCTGCTTCCTTGTTCAATGATTTCCTAGGGATCTATCTTCTGTATCTGCACTTGGGTATCTCTCATCAATTTGCTTAAGACTGCAGGTTACAAGAAGAGATTGCAGCTCCACTTATTCCAACACTCCCCTGCCCTCCTCTTTGAGAACTTAACATTTAAAAATCGGTTTTGTTTTGTTAATAGCTATAATATTCACACGGTTTAAAATTCAAAAGGTACAAAAGAATATACAGTGAAAATTTTCCCTTCTTCCCCCGACTCCCAACTATCCAATTCCCTTTCAGAAGCAACCAATGTTATCATTTTCTTGGGTGTTTTTCAGAGGTACCACGTAGATATATGTAGTCTCTCCCTTGATTTTTAGCAACTGACTTAAGTACACTATATGTAAAGTTCTATTTCATGTTTTTGTATTTGACGTTGTGTATACACTTTATGCAGGAACCGTCTATCTGGGAAGGTTGGCTCTTTTTTGACAGCTTCAGGAGATGCCCACAGGGACTAGGGATGGAAAATAGACTGTCTGCCAACCGTAAAGAAAAGTGCAGTCAACTCTTCCATATGTGGGGAGACGGATCTCACAGCCAGGGGATCACCCTTACATCCTCCTCAGGGTTTAAGATCACACGGTAACTTCCCAATGCCAAACCTAGCACTGGCCACCTGGTAGGTCTCAATAGATGTCTGCCAATCGGTGGATAAGAAAAAAATGTTGGACCTACTCAATTCACAATAAACATGTTGCAGAACCAGTAAAAGCTGTTTAGAATCCATTAAAAGATTTTTGTTATGAAACCAATTTAGCCGTATCTTTTTCCTGAACCAAGAGTACCCTCTGCACCCCTCAACCCCCACAAATGTACTAGCCTTGGGGAAAAGACTGGGTGAAAGTGTTACCACAGGCAGCAGAGGGCAGCTGTCATCCAAGCAGAGTGTAAACTGGAGTCCCAGGTAGGTGGCAAGGGAATGGGAGAAGCAATCAAGCACCAGGTCTGATGGGCAAAGGTGAGGCCAGAGACTGCAGGCCAGGCAATAGCTAAGATGCTTAGAAGGTCAACAGCTAGGGGAAGAGCAGCAAATAGGGCAAGATGAGATGCTCAGGTGATAGGTCAGGAACCAAGGCAGGGAGCTGAGAAGTTTGTTCCTATTGGCTATCTAGCCGGGGAAGAATTTGGCCAGCTCTCAGTAGGTGTACAAGCCAAGTGATAGGTGGTGTAGTCCTTTAAGATCTTTGTTTTGGCAAACCATACCTTTTTAAAGGTGACTGTACACTTGGTGTGTTGCTCAAGTCCCTCCTAGGACTCCCACTTGAAATCAGTCCATTTATCAGCCATCCAAGAAAATAAGTATCACACTTTATAGTTAAATTCTACACACTGCAGGATCAAGAACTCGATTACATATTTTTTCTACTTTTGAAAAGTAATAAGACAGCTAGAACAAAAATAACAAAAACACTTTGATACAAAAGACCTTAGAAGATACGGGTCATGTTTGTTTGTGACTGTAAACTGCTTAGCTGAAAGTGATTGACACTTTATTTGAAGGCTTAAAATGAAATCCTTCAGACTAGTTTCACTGTTCTGCTATCAGAATCAGATTGAAACACCAGGTAGGCCATATTCAAGCCCAGGGTTTCTGTCACAAGGCCTGGAGATGGCGTGTGGGTCTGAGATCCCCAGGCAAAGCATTTCCCAACATTTCCCTTCCTGAGGAGTACTGCCTGTTGCTCCATTTTAAGATGTCTTGGGGATGGCATAAAATGAGGGCTACTTCAATGGGAGAAGCCTATTGACTCTGAATCCAGACAAGGAGAAGACTCAAATGACCAGAGGTAGCTCCTAAGCTTATGCTTTTGTGAGAAAGTAGCATGAAGTCTAGAATCAGATACTAGGCACATATTCACAAGATAGCTTCTGGACATATATTGGGCTCAGCTGCTTACATCTTCTAAACCTGAAGAAATACATGGTGATAACGAAACAATGAGATCCCAACAGATCCCAAAGCTCTTCTAAATTGCCAAAGAAAGAATAAATTAATAGCTTCAATGTTAATGCATTTCATTGAATTCCAGTTCTTTGAAAGTTGGTAACCAGCTCTTTGAAAGTTGGTAACCTGAGTATGAACGTAGGAAACAGCTTGGTAAAATAGAACATACCAGTTTCCTCTCACTGCCAACTAAATTAGAGTATACCAAAACTAGAAATGCATGAATAAATCACTATGGCCAAAGTGGAGATATTCTCTTCCACTGTAGAATATTAAGCTCATATCTAAGAAGTATCTTTATTGATTGATTGATTTATTTATTTTTTGAGGCAGAGTCTCACTCTGTTGCCCAGGCTGGAGTGCAGTGGTGTGATCTTGGCTCACTGCAACCTCCAGTTCCCAGGTTCAAGTGATTCTCCTGCCTCAGCCTCCCGAGCAGGTGGGATTACAGGTGTGTGCAACCACACCCAGCTAATTTTTGTGTTTTTATTAGAGAGGGGGTTTCACCATGTTGGCCAGGCTGGCCTTGAACTCCTGACCTCAGGTGATCTACCCACCTCGGCCTCCCAAAGTGCTGGGATTACAAGCGTGAGCCACCAGGCCCAGCCTGAAATATCTTCATAGTTTGTAAATCTAGCATTGTCCCTCTCTGTGACAAACTGTTGTGACATATGAAGTCTTGTGCCAGAGTGGACAAAGGTTAAGCCTTATTATAGAACAGCTGAGGTTACATGGATGACGTCAAAAGTCCTTATATTTAGAAACCTTCTCAAATTGCCTTGTGTATTGTCAGCCCTCTCAATCTGTCACTACTGGCAGCCACCAGTGGATCTGGCGTAAGAAGCCTGTGGTTTTGTGTCCCTCCCACAGGCCCACAAACTTTGGACTTTTGGTTCTCTTGCTGACTCCCTGACCCCGTTCCTGAACCCAAGAAATTCACTCCCATGGTGGCTGGCACTGCACCCCCACACCCCTCCCTATGTTCCCTTAGGTGTCTGCTTTCAGGTAGCACTGAAACAGTCATAGCTATTTTTTAAAATGTAACTCTCCTAGAATTTAGCCATGCTATGCTATCTTGCTATTTTGAAAGCTGAATCTATTCAATATATATTTTCAAATATACATTTGTCTGCTCTATATTCTTTTACCTCTACCTGCTACCTATTGCTTCAGATCTCCTGCATCAGACAAATTAAGAAACACCAGATTAAGATGACCATAAAGAGGAGTGTTTGTGGGGATGTAGCAGAAGGCAAAGACCAAATGTCTCACCGTCATTGTCATCTTCATCCTAAAGAAAAGGAACTAAGATTGATAGTGCCGGGGCCTGTTCCAGGCTCTTTTTTTTTTTTTTCTGAGACAGAGTCTCGCTCTGTCGCCCAGGCTGGATTGCAGTGGCAAGATCTCGGCTCACTGCAATGCAAGCTCCGCCTCCCGGGTTCACGCCATTCTCCTACCTCAGCCTCTCCGAGTAGCTGGGACTACAGGCGCCCGCCACCGCCCCCAGCTAATTTTTTGTGTTTTTAGTAGAGACGGGGTTTCACCGTGGTCTCGATCTCCTGACCTCGTGATCCGCCCACCTCGGCCTCCCAAAGTGATGGGATTACAGGCGTAAGCTACCGTTCCAGGCTCTTTGTGGGCATCACCTCACTGAATCTTTTTAGGAGGGAGCAGCTATTATGATGCCCATTGTATAGAGGAGGAAACTGAGGCTTTAGGCGATTGACTGATCTGTCCAATAACACACATCTAGAAAGCGTCAGAGAGAGGATTGCAATCTAAGTCTGTCTGACTCCAGAACCTGGCCTCTTAACCACTAAACAATTATGCCTCTCATTATGGCTGGTCAAACTTTAGCAAAGACTACTTAAAGGCCCTTACAAGGGCAATCCCATAATCAGACCGGAAGTACAACTAAAGCTTTCTTAATCCAGCCACATGTACAGAAGATGATTGAAAGGTTGTATGTAAATCAGTTTTTGAAAATCAAATCCTATTCTAAATTCACCAAGGGAGCGTGCTTCATTTCTTCACAAAAAGAAAAAAGTAATACTATTGTACACAATCAGTTCCAATAGATTTATTTGCCAAGCTTAGCATTTTATATGTATGACTACCTTAGAGTTGGGATAATCTGTGGTCCCCCGTCCTCCCTTAGCACAAATTCACTCACTCATGACGATGAAGGTAATTTGTGATCCAGACAGAAGAGGGAGAAAGAGCCACATCCCTATCCACCAAGTCAGAAATTGTTGGCCAGAGGGTAGGATGGCAGAAATTAATGCTCTTTTCAGAGGGAGAAGAGGAAGCCTGAAATATGCATGAAAGTTACTTGCATGGATGGCTGATAAATTCCTCAGTTAGCCTACTACTTATTGCTCAGCCCCAGCAGTAAAATGAAAGTAACAGCACTATGAGTCAGCTACACTTCTTGAAGCTATTTGAAACCCTCTGAGGAAAACAACAGAGTCAATAAATATCATCACATGATGCGTCATGTAGCTTCTCCTGCAGATGAAATTAGTTGTATGTAGCTAGACTCTTATCATAATTCTACTAGCATTGTGATGGATCTGGAAGGAAGGGCCTTCAGCCCCAGAATTTGCTGTTAGCAGACAGCATCTGTGGGCACCTTCAGGAAATGCCTTAGATGCAGAAAGCCACCTTGCCTAAGATTATGTCCTTTCCAGAAGACGCCCACATCCAGTGACTGACAGAGGAAGGGTTGGTTATAAAGGCCCAGCCACAGTGGCCTAACCTGGGACAACTCTGACAGGGCATTTAGATCCAGAGCTCCCACAGGGTCCACTGAGGCTGTGGACCTGCCTGATCATTCAACTCCTCCCTCTGCTCCTTCTTCACTTCTCCACAGGTGTTGATCCCAGAGACAATCCCTAATAAACACTTTTTACACTCGACTCCACCTCAGAGTCTACTTCCCAGAAAACCCAGCCTGCAATAAGAATCTATACAAACTATTGAAAATGAAAGTTATATTAAGGGGAAAGGTCTTCCATTTATCATGTATAAAATCTGGGAAGCCAGACTAAAACTAAGCTGAGAATTTGCCCCTGTAGTTTTTGTTTTCATGGCATTAATATTAGCAAGAATGACTGCTTATTACTATTTTAAAGGTACAAATCCATATAATTTATTTATCAGCTCATTTTTCTTCTATGGAAAATTCACCTGTGATAAAATTATTTGGATCCCCTTTTCCTCCATTACATGTGTGGTAGATTGCAAAGATGACTACAGTGTAATAACTCCCTGCATCTGTGCCCCTAGTAATGTGACCCTGCAACTCTTTCCATCAAGCGGTAGGCTGGCCCTGAATCTGGGCTGGCTTTGTGACTTGACCAATAGAATGTGGTGGAAATAATATTGTGCTAGTTCCAAGGTAAGACTTGTGGAGGTCTTGAACACTTCTGCTCTCTCTCTAGTGTCCCAGCCAGCCCCAGTGTGGAAAAGCCTGGGCTAGCCTGCTGGAAGGTGAGGAGACCACATGAAGAAACAACAAGTTGACCAAGAGGCCACCCTATGGGTCCCAGTCAACCCGGCAGACCCATAATTGAGCCTAGTCAAGACCAGAACTGCCCAGTTAGGCTCAGTCGAAATTGCTGATCTGCAAAATTGCTAGCTACATAAATAGTGGATGTTTTAAGCCACAAGTTTTAGGGTAGTTTATCTTGCAGCACAAACTATCTGATAGAGTAGCTAGTGGTTATTTCCAAGACTGATTCTGGAAGAATGAATATTTGAGCAAATTGGTTCACTTCCAAAAACTAAGAATTGATATTGTTTTCCACTCCCATCTTCCATTTTCCAATTTCCAAGGCAGGGATCTGAGTAGATATTGAGTAGATGGATATGGAGTAGATATTGATACTGAGTAGATGGGAAGAAATCCAGAAAAATTCCACATAGGTACAGTTAAAATTTCACTTTAAAAATGGCTCAAGAAAAGACTGTATAGTCTAAGAGGTGGACTTCCAGGCAAACATATAGAATGAGATGTGTGATCAAGTTGGGAGTTTGTGAACCATGATCTTGAAAGTCCCTGTATTGTCCACTGTTTAATGTTATGCTGTTTTATGGGCACAAAAGTGGGGAATTGCAGTTGACTTCCTTAGAGAACCCTTAGGAATCCAGCACTCTCTTCCTGCCTGCTATAAATTACAGCTAGTGAAGAAAGAAAGAATATGTCTATTTTTCCAGTAACAGAATAAATAATATTATGAATTAAAAAAATTATTTCAGGTAGAGCATGACTAGTTTTTCTTATACCTTGTGCTAAAAGATTGCTGGCACTGTTGCCATTTCCTAGAAAAAAAGTCACTCTGGTCTCTGGCCCAGGTCCTGACATAAACCTAGTTCCTTTTCTTCTGCTGTGATCAGTCCAGATAAATTTGCACAGAGCAGCTGTTTCTACCTGCTGCTTTCATGCTGACGAGGTATGCATTCCTCTGATCTAGTGCCTGTGGCGGTTTGATTAGTCATAATTAGACCTCAGAAATCAGACTCTTTTCATCTCAATCTCCAAAGCAAAATTTTCTATAAATTCAACATCAGTTTATGTAGGACCTTAAAGTTAAAACAACAACAACAACAAAAAACTCCAAAGAAATCTTTTGACTTCCTGATACCTTTTACTTCTCTAATCTAAATGCTTAGGAAGCATCAGGATTAATTAGGCTAGTTCCTGCTACTCAGCAGCCGGAAGAAGCCGAAAGAGGTGGAGTTTTGACCTGCCTCTGAACCTTCTACATGGGCAGCTGGCCCTGGGCAGGTGTACATAATTAACAGGTGTGAGCTGGCAGGGTACTCGGAAGGTCCTGTTAGCAGTTCCCATGCAATCTTCTGAAAGTAGGGTCTTGAGCTGTCAATGATTTTCTTATATTTGCATGAGTCAATGCACATGATCACACGTCATTTGCCATGCCAGAGTTGTCTCTCAGAGAGTTCACGATATGGACGGTGGTGGCCTAACATTCACCAGCATCTAGACTGCTACCAAGAACTGAAACATATCATTTCTCTTCTTAATAAACTCCCTTTAGGTATTTTCTAGTCCACCCGGCTCAAGCAAGTTCACACATCGACAAATATAGGGCTGTTGGTGGAGTGGGTAGGGGCTGGCTGGGGTGGAGGTACAGCATGGTAGCATACTCCCATGACATATTTGCACTCCCCTCGAACTTTGTGTAGAGATGAACATCTGATCAAAATGAATACAAAATCTATCTAATGATCCTGTAGAAACCACGCCTATTAATTAATCCACTGTTGACAATGTCAGGTGACACGTTATAACAACGCCATTGTGTTTCTGAGCTTTATTTGTTATATACCTTAAAATAAGACAGTTTCTACAATTATAACTTTAAACAGGTGTTCAATATTTTGAAGCTAATAAAGTATGGACAAGTGCTTATAAGGACCTTTTACATTTCTGGAGGTTTTTATAGTAAGTAAATAATTTTATGCAGCTTGTGCATTTATATAATTAAAAGTTTTTTTGATAGGTGCAGCAAACCACCATGGCATGTGTATACCTATGTAAGAAACCTGCACATTCTGCACATGTATCCCAGAACTTAAAGTATAATTTTTTAAAAAAGTTTTTAAGTTTTAAGAAGTGTAAAAAACAGTATTTAAGAAACATTAATGCAAGATAATAGATCTTTATGTGAAACAAAACTATACAACATGAAGAAAGAAACAAGAATTTTTAAAAATCTCAAGAGTAGATATAACACAATAAAAAACAATCTCTGGATGTGAATAATCAATACGCTATCATCAAACAGAGAAACTTAAGAGCTATATGGTATAAATAGGAGTACTTCAAAGGAAGACTTTGGGGACAAGAATCATGTATAATAATATTTTATTAGTAAGTTAAAATTTTCTAAAACAGTGGATATAATTCTGGGAAAAGCTAAAGTAAATGCATAAAATTCTCAGGGTTTCCAGGCACCTGTGTAAGGGTGTGCATGTTTTAGCAGCAACTACTGGCGTTTCCTCTTTCTCTTAGTAGCTGAGTCATTGGCCAGTCAGGAACCTCACTACGGAGGTTCTTAATTAACTGCAGCTGTGTTTAAATATTTTGCTCTCAAACAATAACAATAATAGAAGCAACAATTTAAAAATAGTATTCATACGCAAGCTTTATTGAGAGCTGACTATCTACTGGGCTCTGTTCCAACCACTTTATATGTAATACAGCATTGATCCTCACTAGAATGAAGAAGTGGGGACTATTATTGTCCTCATTTTACAAAGGATCTAAGATAGTTACTATTCTTGAGCTCAGATTAACTTTTACCACTTTTCAAATGTCAGAGTGGTGTATGGTAATAAGAAGCGTAGGCCAGTGCAGTGGCTCACGCCTGTAATCCCAGCACTTTGGGAGGCCAAGGCTGGCAGATCACTTGAAGTCAGGAGTTTGAGATCAGCCCAGCCAACAGGATGAAACCTCGTCTTACTAAAAATATAAAAATTAGCCCAGCTACCCAGGAGGTTGTGGTAGGAGAATTGTTTGAACCTGGGAAGTGGAGGTTGCAGTGAGCCAAGATTGCACTAATGCACTCCAGCCTGAGCAATAGTGTGAGAATCCATCTCAAAAAAAAAAAAAAAAAAAAGTGTAAAACTGTACCAAAGGCCTGGGGTGCCCAGGGACAGAGTTTTCTAGCTAGCTCAGGAAGCACACTGGGCTATGACGCATTACAGTCTTCTGCTTCCATTTCCAGTATTTCCAAAGGCAGCCTGTGGGCTGCCTTACTGCCCTGGACTCCTGGAAATAGAGCTAGAGTCACAAGGATTTATGGCCAATAGTGGGCATTACCTTTAATCCAAGCTACTTAGGGAAATAAATCCCTAAGTAGTACTGAACAATCCCATTAACTAGGCAAGGAAGTTCATTGGTTAAGAAAAAAAAATAAGGCATGCTTTAGAATCAGGTCTTCGTTCAAATCTTATATCTATTACTCATTAGATGAGATTATAGGCATCCAATCTTAACATCTTTTTTTCTCCCACACTGCAAAAAGGCAAACAGAATTAGGTTTTACCTGCAGCAGGAAGAATTCAAGCGAAAAATTAACAGACGCAGGTTTTCCTGAGTCAGCATTTCTAACACCTAGGAGGGTTTGCCAGAAAGGTTACAGAATTCTCTTTTCCATAAACCTTCAAAACCATGACAGAGCATCATTAAGAAGAGGGGTTTCACTGAGTGCAACCCTGGTGGTCTGTGAAGGACTTACAGATGGTCCCTTTGGTCTCTTGATACCAATATTAACCTATTATATTTGCCTAAAAGATAATTTTCACTTCATGTAATTACTGTCTTGTTTGCCTCTACTTACATTCCAAACTTTATTAAAATACATTAGAAAATGAAGATACCTTCATTTGAAATTATTGGCTACTTCTGTTTCAAGATAACAGAAAGCCCCCAATCAAACCTAAGATGTATGTGAAACTCTTTATTAGTGTGTGAAATGTATCAAAACCAGTCGATTACTTCCACGAATTAATGAATAATTAAGCAGAGAAACAGATGCAAAATGAGAAATGGTTACATTAAATGAAGAACTTCTTGTGCCTGAGAACAAAATTTGATCAGTTTAGGTCTAGTCTATTTTTTGTGGCAGCCTGAAAATGCAGAGAGACAGGTAAACAAATATAGAGAGTACAACAATGAATTGTAGGCACTGGTGATGAGAGAGCCAGCTAGAGTAAGCAAATGAGGTAGGCAGCTGCCAGGTCTACCTGGGGCCATTGCTGGAGAAAATCAGTTTGGTGCTTCTGCTCCATGGCAGGCCAGAGGCAGGAAGGACTTTTTAAGAGTTGTGCAATAGTTAAGAAATAGATGGACTCTTTTCATCCATGCCATAGGCTCAACATACTACCCCCTGATGGTTAAAACTGCCTGTTATGCTGAAACATTCCATACAGGCAAGTGAAGAACACTGGAAATTCATTCCATTATTCCACAAATACTGCCTGTATCCTATGTGTGCCAAGCTCTATGCTATGCTGGGAATACGATGGTAAATAAGACCTAAGACTTGCTTTCAGGACATACAATTCAGTTTTTAAAAGCCCCCAGTTATAGAAGTTACAATAAAGTGTTATGGCAGTCACCAGGAAAGTGGAGGAGGCATATGATGGGTGTCAGCCTAGTCTAGGGATCAAGGAGTTGTCGAAGAAACAAGCTAGACACTAGTTAAAGGCAATAAAGGCAGATTGTGTGCAGGAAGAACTACTGCAGGAAGGGAAAGAGACTTTAGTATAGAACTGAGCTCAGTTCTCAATGCAGCAGACAGCCGGGGATTTATAGCCAGCAAGCAGAGTAAGCAGTCTGTGGATGGAAAGTTACTAAGAGGGACATCAAGTGTTGGCGGATTCTTGCTAAACTGGCATCCCAGAACTTGTGATAAAGGTGGACCAAAGACTTAGAACTCAAGGTTAGCAGAGAAGATGAAGAACTTGACCAGATGTCAAGGTTGGTGAGATATCAAGGGTGGGGGAATCTAAACTGACTAGGAGGATGCTTGATGAAACAGGCTTCAGCAGGCCAAGGACAGGGCCCAAGGATGAGGCCTGGTCAAAAAGAAGACTCTGAGGAGCTGTTTAAAGTTTGGTCGAGGAAAGGGCTTTTGTCAGAGTGCTTGCAGAAAGGAGTATTAAAGCTGATTCAAGTTGGATGAAGGTGTATTCTAAGCAGAGGGAAGAGCACCTGTGAAGGCCTTAGAGGTGAGGCGAGCATGGTATATTTGGGAAAGTAAAAAATGCTGATGGATAAATGAAGTTTGAGGCAAATAGGATAGGAAATGAGACCAGAGACAGAAGCAAAAGAGAGATTTGAAGGCACTGTAAATCTTGTTAGAAGTTCAGATTCTGTCTCAAGGCCAGTGGGGAGTATTATGATTTGGTTTCTCTAGCCTGCAGAGTGAAAGATAGATTGGAGGGGGCAAGACTAGAGCAGCTGTCAACCTATATATCAGAGAGAGGCTCTCTAAAAGAAAATAATATTTATTCAGGAATGGGCATTGCCATGGGAATAAATGTACCATGGTAAACTATATGTGCATTCAGGAAGGTAAAGGGAGACAAAGGTTTTTAAAGGAAAAATGAGGAGAATTGCATACTTGTTTTGAGACAATTATCCTTGGCTATTACAAAGATCAATAACAAGGGTGATGTCAGTCTAAGTTTGGACATGCATTTGCAGGGAAGATGTCCTTATAGAAGTATTTTTGTAAGGATGCTGTGGCCTTTTTGCAAGGTAGCTTTTGCAGAATCTTCTGTGATAGTTTTTTTTGTTATCAGGCACAAAAGCATGAGACAGCTTTATGACATTCCCCAGCTCTATTTGTCATGTGTTGGTTTGGTGTTTGTTTTTGCTTTTTAACACAAGTGACTCCATTTTGATTCTGACAGTTTGTACACAGGGAGCCCAGTTGAGCACATGCTACAATAATTTGGGAGTGAGTTAATGTAACCAAGGTGAGGGT
Source organism: Homo sapiens (assembly GCF_000001405.40). Taxonomy (NCBI): domain Eukaryota; kingdom Metazoa; phylum Chordata; class Mammalia; order Primates; family Hominidae; genus Homo; species Homo sapiens. The sequence continues at coordinate 115,384,856 of NC_000005.10, forward strand.
GATGGCATGGAATGATACAGAAATAAAAGAATGAAGATATTTAGGAGATAGGAATAGTAGTACTTAGGGCATAATTTACTGGGAGTAGAGAGAAAGGTAGGAGTGAAGGACAGTTCCCAGGCAATGGGGTGGATATTGAAGTTGGGAACATTGATGGCACAGCAACTCATGGGGAAAGATGATGTATTCATTAGGGACAGACTGAGTTTGAGCTTTAAGACATTAAAGTTTGGAGCTCAGCTACTGAAACTCCGTTATCTTCTGTCCTGTGGGGCCTTGCATTGTCTTGTGAGGGCTGAGTGGAAATCTCCTGCTGTTCCTCACTGATTACCAGGTACTTGTTCTGATGATTCACCTACACTAGAGAATGAAAGACAGAAAACAGAGATGTTGGAGAAGGGGTAGCAGGGTTAGAAAGGATAACAAGAGGGACAGCCAATAGAAAGAGAATGTAGGAATTACCTAATAGAACAGTTTTTGTCCTCCTTCTGACCTTTCTACAACCCCCCAAGTCCAGCTATTAAGAACGAAGTTAGGAGGTATCATTCACTTCTCAAGACTAAACCTTGCAACAATTCACACACCATGGGATGATTGACACCCTACAGGAAATAGTTCCACAAATAATCTAATACTTAAAGTGATTTAGAGACAATTTACTGGTGAGATTAAAATGCCTTTCTTTCCATATACACACTTCAACCTGGATAGATTTCAGAAACATAAAGTTGAATGAAAAAAATTAAGTTGTAAAATAAAACATATAAATATGGAAGTCTTTTTATGGATATATACATATATGTAAAAACAGGATTATTTTTACCAATAGGGAAGGAGTGAGGTAATTGAAAACAGCAAAAGACTTCAACCACATCAGGAATGATTTTTTTTATGTGAAAAAAAAATCTGAAGCATACTTGGCAAAATGTTAATATTTGTTAAATTTGGGAGTTTGTTATGTGTATTTGTTTAAAATATTTCATTAAAATGACTGTATGGATTTTTTCTTCGACAAGAATTTAAAATAATATATGTAGATGCTCCCTACTCAAGGAAGTAGAGCTTAACCCCTTCCGGGGGTGAGCTAGATTTAGTGATTTGGTTGCAAAAATCAGAGAAGAGAAAGGGGGAAAATAGTACCTTTACAGTAGAGAAACCTGGCAGATGCCACCTTGATCAAGAGATGATGCTTAACATCATCGTATGTGGGTATCATGTACCCCTTAATATGATGTGCTTGGCAAGAAGGACACTTTACCTCTGTGCTATTCTTCATAAAATCCAGTAACCCCAGTTAACTATGTGAAAACACACACACACACATCCAGACATGGGAGCATTCTAAGTACCTGGGCACTACTCCTTAAAACTGACAAAGTCATTGAAAATGAGGAAAGAATGAGAAACTTTCACAGACCAGAGTACTGGGAAGACCTGACAACTAAATGCAACATGAAGTCCTGGATTGAAATCTACAATGGAAAGAGGATATTAGTGGAAAAGCTGGTGGCATCCAAATAAAGTCTGGAGTTAATAGTAATGTACTAATGTTGGTTTCTCAGTTGTGACAAAGGTACCTTGGTTATATAAGATGTTAACAATAGGGGAAACTAGATGACACGTATATAAAAACTCTCTGTACTATTTTTGCAAAGTTTCTGTAAATCTAACGTGATTCCATTTAAAAGCTTTTTTTAAAAATGACTGTATGTCATCAAGAACCCTCCATCTCAAAATGAAACCAATGGGAAATCGTCTCTGTGCCTGAGGATTGAGCACATTATCCAAGTGCAGTGGTGCCTTGTTTCTCAGCCTTCAGAGAGGAGGAAGTGTACCATGGAGGTTAATTTTTCAGAAAATTGAAACTAACCCTTCAATCACAAAAAAGGTGTTGCTATTTTCAGCTATTTTTTTTGATGGCAAGCTTTCAAAAGTGGATGAAAAAATTCACTCCTCTCTGAACAGAGGACATAGGAGTAATTGAATCCTTTCTGGGTGAGTCAGGGCCACCGGTGTGAATATCTGCTATCACATTACCTCAATAAACGGCATGGTCCTGCCTTTCATTTTCTTTTCCATGGCATGAAGTTAGAAATACAGGAGCCATCATCTCACAGCTAAGAAATGGCAAAGAGAAGGTCACAAAAAATTGATGTGAATTAAGAATAAGAGAGGTGTTTATACAACCCCAGGTGAGCCAGCCCTGGGTAGAGCGTGTCTTCTACCTTCTTAAACAGGCAGTTTAGCTGAGGGGAGCAGCTGGCAGTTGATTTTCCCATTTTTCTGTGCCATTTCTTGGTTAGCAATGCAACCTCTGAATGCAAAGCACATCCTCTGGGCAACAATTGAAGACCCCAATAACCCCTACTTATCTCATTTCAGGCATGAGAGGCCAGTGAAGGTTAACTCGTTGATATTTTCATGAAGGAATTTAAATTGTGACATTTTCCAGTTCTACTTAGAGAATATTTTCTTTGTTAGATATATCATAGGGCAATAATTTGGCTCATACTACATGAAGAAGTGTCTAATGAAGCCAAAGAAATGGTATAATGTGAGCCTTGGCGATAGGTGGCCAGAGAAGTAAAGGGAGTTTAGGAGGAAGGGGGATTACAAATCAGTCCCAAGCAGTGATGCTTCCCACAAAGGCTTTTCCATTCCCCTGTTCTGGAGCTACATGGCACCCCATGCTTCCTCCTTGGAGAGACCAGGCCTCTCTGGAGCCCAACAATTGCTCAGCCTCACAGCCCAGCCAAGAGATGGGCCCCTCTTCTGGAAAATGAACTTCACCCTAAACTCTGCACGAGCTTGTTAGTTAAACCACCAGTCTTCACTTAATCTGACACAAAGATGAGATTTGCAGTATCTTCCTAAAGTATCTTCCCCTAGTTATTACCTCTGCAACTCAAATATAAGCCCACCAAGTACTGTAGTCTTATTTCCTGCCCCTTTTTTATCATCAAAATCACCTTGTTCAACATCAGTCGCAACAAATATTTCTGGATTAGCAGATTGTGTACTCAGTAATCTCTCCAGGTAACCCAGCCCTAAGGCAGTAGGTGGTGTCAAATTATTAGTGCAGACAAGAGATATTAGGGGATTTTCAAGAAGCTTCCTGTAGAACATCCACTTTGTCACCTGTTTGCTGGAGTCAGCGTCATGGATATGACTTAATTAGACAAGGCTGGAGGTTTTGACCTGAAATTAATCATCAACTAACTAATTCTGAAGAAAAGTCTGAAGGGAAGAAAGATATTTTAATGTCCATACTTTTTCTCTATTCCTCTAGAAAAGTATTCAAATATCTAGTCTTCATTTTGGGCAGGATTTCTCAACTTCTGTGCTATTAACATTGAAGGCCAGACAATTCTCTGTTGTGAATGGCTGTCCTGTGCATTATAGGAAGTTTGGCAGCTAGAGTTGCTAGAGTTAGCAAATTAAAATACAGAATTCCTGGTTAAATTTGAATTTCAGATAAACACGAATAAATTTTTATAGTATAGGTATGTCCTGTGCAGTATTAGCAGTATCCCTGGCCTCTGTCTACTAAATGGTGATAGCATGCTCCCCCACCCCCAGCTGTGACAACCATAAAGTCACCACACATTGACAAATGTTCTCACAGGGAGCAAAACTGCTCCTGCTGAAAACCACTGATTCAGGGTTACACATCAGAAAGCTACGAACATGAACATCTTTATCTTAGCTTCCAGAAGAAATAGCTTTCTCTGATGAAGTATCCATGAGAGAGTTCGCCAGACGAAGAACTCTCCTACAAATCTTACTTAAGCCATTTTGAAAATGTGTTTTATTCTGTTTTTAATGTCTCCTGGGATAAATTCCCTTTAGGCATTTGTGCCAGGTAAATTATTGGCTCTGTTTCAGAATTAGCAGGCTCATTTCAATCAGTTAATGTAAATTATGAAGGCTGTCATATTTTTATTTTTTCCTTAACTGCTAGAAAGCTTAGAGATAAATTTAGTGCTCAGTTGCAAAACCATCTAAGCTTATGGGACTAGCAGTATTTTTTAAAACAAACATATACAGTGCCTTTTATATGTTGCATATATTTTAAATTATTTACAAGTATTAAATGTTTAAGTTCATTCTATTACTGCAACAACCCTATGGTCAAGTCCTATTATTATCCTCTTTTTTTTGTGCCCGCAAAAAAGCAACTTTATTAATGTCCTGCAGCAGCATGCATTAGTAATTATAACCATGCATTAAAATTCTCATTTCATGTCATCAAGAGAGTAATCAGTTCTTTTCATGATACATTATGTTTTACTGAGTCTGTCCCTTCAAAGACCTTTCTGGGAACATTCCTTCTCCAGAGACTGCTTCCTAAGATGCCCAGATTGCTTACCACAGGTCATCTTTGGTCATTTAAAAGCTGTCAAGCCATCTGGACTACACCCTCTTAACTGAAGTTGAGCCAAATTCCCTTCTCTCAAATCCTAACGCCACCACTACTAACAGAACAGCTTGGTCAGAGCATTACTAACAACTTAATGTGGGATTCTCTTTGGTTATGGAATTTTACTTTTATTTAAGCATATAAAAATACAGCTAGAAGTAGGCTCCTGCATTCTAAAAGCATTTTTAATCAACTTAAACACAAGTATGTCCTTGGAAAATTCACCACCTGGACTGGTTCACAGTCGGCCCGTTTCCCCGTGGAATCTACATCAGTGTTGTATTTAGCAAATTCATTTGAGTGATGAACAGTGACTGATCTTCAGGAGCCCCGAGGGGTGGGGGCAGCTGGCCTGGGCAGACTTAGATGCTGTCCATGGCTTTGAACTCGCTGAGGGCCTGCACCGGGTTCAAGTGCTTCTTCTGAGATGCCCATTTAATCTCGCTCTGTGACTCATCCTGTTTCTCTCTCTTCAACAAGGGCTTTTTCTCTGGTGCCTCTATCTTCCATGACACAGCAGGAAGGTTGAGGGAAGCCATACCCTGTGACCTTTGGTATTTGGTAGAGGCGACGTAGGATGCCTTCATTGTCTGCACCACAGCATTCATAAGTCCTTGGTTGCCCAGATCAGGGACGTAGCGCTGTCCATTCCAGGGACAATGAACTCCCTGCCGAGATTCTGCATCTCGGCCTTGACCTTGCTGCAGATGTTGAGCAGGTGGCAGTAGAGGGCGATGCAGTGCAGGTAGGCCAGCAGGCCAAGTCAGGGCAGGCTGAGTCGAGCAGGCCGGCCTTGCTTGCAGGCCGAGTCGGGGCAGTGGTCTGTGATGGTGCAGCCAAGCTTGTCCATCCTGGATCCTGCCTCCGCAATTTTCTTTGCAGCACTGATTACATCTAATGTATTTTTGAGTGGTCCTTTACCTCAGGTAAAGTCAGTCACCTCCATCATAATCATGCACATCTGCTTGGCCAGCACAATGATGTCATTGGCACTGTTGTCCCATTTGGACACTTCAGCGTCCAGCTTGCTCTTTTCTTCCTGGAAGCTGGCCACCTGTTCTGCAGTCTTCGCTTTTTGCTCCTAGGGAAGCTGAGCCATGATCGCCTGGACACTCTGGCCAGCTATCAGCTGATTGTCTTTTGTCTGGATGCTCATCCTACTTCTGACATTGAAATCTTCCATCTCAAAGTAAGAGTCATCCAAGTCCTCAGGGGTCCTTATCATCAGCACTGCTTTCCTGATGTCCCGGATGCCACCATATACTAGGCAGGAGGCATTGATAAACTCATTCTCATCCATGGGCTGGGCAGGGTCTGAGCTGAGGGCTTCCACAGCTGCTTCTGCTTGCTCAGTAAAACATGGCATGACTGTGTTGGAAAGCAGCTTAGTGGCTTCCAGAACCTTCTCTGTGTAGACTCCCGGCTCATAGTTGTCCATCTCTGAGGTGACTATGTGAATGGCCCAGGCTGCCCAACCTTGAATTGCACTAGCTGTGCAGTCCAGGCCATCCACATCTTTCTCTTGGAGAGCAATGATGCATTTGTTCCATTTTCCAAAATGTGATTCTCTGAGACAGCCAAGAAGTCATCAATGGAAGTAATATCATCAGCAGCATCTGTGAGAACATGGACTTGTTTTTCCCATTGTTCTTTTAAAAAGATCCATGTTCTCTTGGGCCAGTCTACTCTGTGGTTTTGCTAAAGCCAATGCAGCATTGACAACCTGAGGACAGAGGGCTTCTAACTGGCTTGCAGACATTCGAACAAGTTTTACACCTTCTTCATTATTTGAGATGGAACAGGCCAAGTTGGCAACCTCAACCAATTTGTTGCCATGTTCACAGAAAACTTTGGCATACTCCTTGTTTCTCATTTCCATTCTTCGCAGCTTAAGTCAATACCAAAAGTGGAACATTGGTTTCCAGGAAAGAATCTGAAACGTGGTCCATGACAGCTTTGTGGAGCTGTCTACGCAAGTCCCTGGTCTTCTTGGTCATTTTATCTATAGCAGAATTGAGGGAATTACTTCTTTCTTTACATCCAGCATTGCCCATGTACTCCAAAAGCAGGTCCTGCAGGACCTGGAGGACAGTGTTACACTCTGCCGCAATTCGCTCACGATGGTCATCATGCTTGCAGGACGAGTCGCCCATCAAGGCAGCTCCGCTAATGATGCCTTCCAGGTGCTCCTCCAGGGAAGGCCTCAAGCACTCCTTGCTGAAGCTCAAAGGGTCCACAATGATTTGTTTATCAGTTATTGAGTACATATGCTAGTTCTACTCCTCCTCCACCCTGGTGATGGGAGGCATCGTCTGAGGCAGTGGCCTGGGCTACATTGGAAATGCCTGTGATGGCCTGCTGCAGCTGCTTGTATATCAGGTCCCTGTTGGCCTTATAGGCTGCAACATCAGGGTGCTGTAGGCATGCCCGGGATGCCGTATAGAAGATCAGAACATTCTTCTGCAGGATTCCTCTAGCTGCAGCCATCTGATCACGATGGCCAACATCTTTCAGTTCCTGTTGTCTTTTGACTGCCATAATGTTCACCTTATTCACTTCGGGTTTTAGGGCTTTATACTATATTCCTAAGTCTTGTTCATTGCCAGCATTCCTCAATTTCAAGATATCATCTTCCACAACTTTCAGCTGAATAAGTAATGTGTAGACATTTCCCATGTTCAGCCAAAATCAGCAAGCAGGTAACAGCAGAGAGCAAAGTTCAAGCTGCCTGAACCATGTTGCCTTGCTCCACAGAAGAACAGGGATCATCTGCGAACTCTCCCGCAGCAGTCTTCATCAAATCACCTTGTTTTCGAACGTATTCTACAGCAGCCAAAAGCTATTCCTAGAGAAAACTGGCTCTCCTTCACAATTTTATCCTCCTTCTCCAAGAAATTCTCAGCTGCTTGTTCAACAGATGCAGCCAAAACATGGACCTTCTTAGAATGACCTCTCTTCTTATCAGAGGGCCCCTTACTATTGGTGTTTACCAGGGTTGTAACCTGTGTAACAAGTCTCTCAGCTGCCAGAGTCCTGATCTCTAGACTTTTGGGGTCCCACTTCAAGTTTAAGTGGCCTGCGTGGACAGCAGTCATTTCTGCGGCGAGTAGGGTGAGCACTGGATTCCGGAGGCCCGAAGCCAACGCCCGCTGCTTTGTCCTCCTCCCTTTTAAAGATAAGGAAACTGAGGTACTTTGTTGTTGTTGCTATTGCTATGAATTATTTCCTTTTTCACCATCATCCTTATTGTATATGTAAGCCTCATCAGATTCCATCTGGAAGTTGATTGGGTACAAGTTAACATATCACATACCAATTTCAGGTCCTCTCAGCCTCACCTGTCTCTTGTTCCAGCTGCCACCTTGGCACCCCACTCCATTTATTTCTGCCAGGCACCTCCTTCCAGAGCCCAGCTCCATACCCATGCCATGAACCTCGATCTTCCCAACCTAGGATTCCCTGTTAACTTCCAAGGAATCCAGAGGCCCTCCCTCAGGCCCCAGAATTGCACAACTCATAATTACAGAGGAATTAATACCACATGGTCAAAATGCTCCCAAATGGGAGATGAAAACTGATAGATTTTTTTTTTTAATTCCAGACTTGGGATGCAGCTTTTAAAAGTCCTGGTCTTGTAAGATAGAGCAATCAGAAGTATTTAGTGGTGACCAGCTCAGTTATGCCTGCTTGAATTTCTCTCTCTCCTTCCCTGCCTCATTCCCCTCACTTCTGCTTCATGGGATCACACTCCCTATCACAGTAGTACCAACATAGCATTTTCAGGCTCTGCTTTCTAAGGAATCTAGATTAAGTAATTATAAGTAAAATTCCCCCAAATGGAAGTTTAGTCATTTTCATTAACTTCAGAATCAGTAATATTTATTGTGGTCTAATCAGAATACAATTCTGGAATATTATCCCTAGAAGTGCTATGGGATCTTTGGGGTGTCAATTTACTGGCCAGAAACCTCTGTGGCTGGTGGCACCTTTGCCTGAGTTCTTGTCCTGCATCCAGGAAGAATGAGGTATGCAGACAAGTGGAGGGTAAACAAGATTAAGAGGAGCTTTATTGAGTGTTAGAACAGCTCAGAGGAGACCCGCAGTGGGTTCTGTAGCTCTTCTCTGTAGGCAGGTCACCCTGTCCAGTGTTCAGCTCTCAGCAAATAGAAGGCCCTGGAGAGGGTAGCTCCTCTCTGCTACTGGTTGTGCTGACGTTTGCTGCTTTCTGCAGAGAGGAGGCCCTGGAAAGGGTAGCTCCTATCTGCAGCTGGTCGTCCTGACATCTGCCCAGCTCCTAGCAGAGAGGAGGTCCTGGAGTGAGTTGCTCCTCTCTGCAGCTGGTGGTCCCACCGTCTCTGCAAGTCTCTGAAGCTCTCAGCAGAGAGGGTAGCTCCTCTCTGCAGCTGGTAATTCCATCATTTGCTCAGCTCTGGCTGTTCCTGGAGATTTTATGGGCCTCAGAGAGGAGAAAGTGCATGCTGATTGCTCCATGGGTGACCATAGCAAGCTCAGAAAAGACACCAGTTCCCATTCTGGTCAAGGGGACTGGCAGCCCCACCCCCAGCCTTCAGGAACTGCCCCCTTCCATCTAGGAATCTGTCTACCTCCTGCTTCTGTTCATGGTACCCAGGCTCTGCCCCAACTTTGCTTCAAGATTGGAGAGGGCATTGACAGCAAGGAGAAGCCAGGCAGCAGAAGGAGGCACTTCTGAGCCTGCAAGGGCAGCAGGGGTCTTTCCTGGGCCTCCAAGAGTGCAGGGATGCCTGAGTCTGCAGTCATGGTTTGGGTGGCTGCAACTGCACCCTGGGTGCCTATTCCATGGAGTGGGAGGCTGGGGTCTGCAGGGGTGGTTTGGGAGGCTGCAGCTGCAACTGGAAGGGCAGGGCTCCTGCCTGCTCCTGGCCCCCCAAGAGCACAGGGAGGCTCAGATCTGCAGCCACAACTTGGGAGGCTGTGGCCCAACCCAGGAGCATGGGGTTCCTGCCTGATCCGTGGAGCATGCAGCCTTGGCCATGCCTCCCCACTGCAGCCAGTGTGATGGCAGTGGCAGGTCATCTGGAGTGGCCACTGCCATCAATCCCCGCTTCTGAAGAGGTACATCTAACTGCCATTAGGGTAGGGATGATGACTGCTCTTAACTGCTTCATGCTAACAGAGAGCATTGTTTTGGGAAAATGAAGTCAGGTCTCAGGACTCTAGCATGTTGAGGTTGATCCCATCTTCTTTATAGCTGATGACACCAAGACCCAGAGAGGAAAGGGGTTTGCTCAAGATTGCATGCTTTATGGGTGGTGTCTGAATATAGTACAAATATTTATTTAGTGCCTACAACGCCAGATTCCCATATACATTATTGCATTTTGTGCTTGCAAATTGGATAATTAATATTACCACCCCCATTCGAGGCATAAGAAACAGAGGGTCAGAAAAAAGGAAGTGAAATGTTGCATGTCACAATATTAGCAAATAGAAGAATCAGGCCTCCAATTCTACATGTCTCGTTCTTTCCCCAGTTGTCTCCCATGGTCAGGAGGTGGGCCCTGGCTTTTTGAGGAGCCCAGTGGAAAAACAACATGAGCTTTGGAGGAAGATAGCCTTGAATTCAAGTCCTAGCTTCACCACTTAGTAGCTTTGTGATCTTAAGTAACTTAATTTATCTGAGCCTCAACTTTTTAATTCTAAAAATGGGAAAACTAGTATCTACTCATAGTTTGTGAAGATGAAAGGAGATAATGTATGTAAATCTCCCACTGAAGTGTCCATATGTTGGAGTAGTTAGGTAGATGTGAACACGGCAGGAGAGCCCCCCACCACCCCCAAGCCCTGGCCACCAGGAATGTCAGGTGACCATCAGGTGATGGGTATGGTCAGGGGGTCATTAAACTGTATCACTAAAATAATAATTGGTTGCAGCTGGTGCCAGGGAATGGCAGTCTCCCAATAGATAGAAAAAATCTGAAACTGGTGATCAGCAGTTTCCTGATAAGATCTCAGGAGTTGGGTAAGTGGGCTCAAGCATGTGCACTAAGAAGCAAAATGGTGGAGTTCAACGGGTATGACCTTCCTCTAGAAACGCTTGACTGGTAAGGGCAAAATGCCTCAAATGAACATGTGTACAACTTCAGTAAACACACTATGCATGCAGCCCCTCCCAAGTTCTGGCAGGCCACTGTGCATGTGGACAGCCCATACCAAGGGAAGAATCAGGGGAAAAGTAATACAGGCCTTGGAAGCATGCCAACATATAAAGCCCCAAGTCAAAGGTCAAACAGTGCACTTTAATCTCTCAAGTCACCCCCTTGGCCCTCTTCCAAGCGTACTTTACTTCCTTTTGTTTCTGCTCTACAACTTTTTTTTTTTTTTTTTTTTTTTTTTTTTGAGACGGAGTCTTGCTCTGTCGCCCAGGCTGGAGCGCAGTGGCGCGATCTCGGCTCACTGCAAGCTCCGCCTCCCGGGTTCACGCCATTCTCCTGCCTCAGCCTCCCGAGTAGCTGGGACTACAGGCGCCCGCTACCACGCCCGGCTAATTTTTTGTATTTTTAGTAGAGACGGGGTTTCACCGTGTTAGCCAGGATGGTCTCGATCTCCTGACCTCATGATCCGCCCGCCTCGGCCTCCCAAAGTGCTGGGATTACAGGCGTGAGCCACCGCGCCCGGCCTCTACAACTTTTTAATAAACTTTCACTCCTGAGTTAAAACTTGCCTCAGTCTCCCCTGCCTTACGCCCCTTGATCAAATTCTTTCTTCTGAGGAGGCAAGAATTGAGGTTGCTGCAGACCCATATGAATTTCCCGCTGCTAACATGTACACAGTAAGGGCCTAATAAATGTTAGCCAGTATCAGTTCTCTGGAATCAAAGATGCCTTTCAAAAAATGATATTAGCTTCTATTTTATGGGTACTTATTAAGTGCCAGGCATGGTACTAAGCACTGTCTGCAGAAGATGGAATCTCCTCTAACTATCCTAACCTCACTGTGGGAGGGAAGATGAAGGGGAATGTCTACTATCTCCTAATCTCTTGTTGCCTCTAACAACAGTTCATAAACTGTAGCCATCTGTGTGCTCTCTTCTTGCACTTTGCCGTATCTGTGTAGCAGTTTTAAAAGTTTAAATTTACAGTTTAGTTTTGTCCAAAGCAATAACGTTGTGAAATTATAGATTTGATGTGCTGGTTATATATTTTTTGTTATTCAGATTAAAATGTTTAACCATTGAAATAAAAATGTGTTATTACTTAAAATACTCCAGAAAAAATATAAGATAGATAAAATAAGATTGGCAAAATGTTGATCTTTTTAAAAACTGGATGATGGGTACACGGGCTTATAAATTCTCTAATTTTATGTATCTTTTGAAATTTTCCATAATAAACAATGTTTAAAAACTAAAATAAAACACATCAAATCTGGGGCCAAGGCTCGGGAATGTTCTCTCACAGAGACCTAAAATCTACTCAAGTTCCACAGAGGAGCAATAGAAAAACTAGTCACACAGAAAAATTCCAAGTTAAAGTTTGTTGACTCGATGAATGAATGGTTTTCAAACTTGTTATCTTTCTTGTGGCTTTTAGCTCTGGTTCCTTGGATGCTCTAAACTGCTAACTTTCCCTTAAGGGGTGGGCAACAAATTAACATAGAAAATTTCATGACAAGATGAGTAATACCTTAGAAAACAGCCTAATCTGAGGAGCTCCTGCTGCTTTTCTTTTATTGCTATGCACTTGGTTTCCATTACCATGAAGAACATATCTAGAAAGTTTTGATAAATTTCCATAGTCATGTTTGGTTGCCCTTAGATGTTTCTGCAAAATGAGGTCAAATGTATTAAATGATATTAGTTGGCTAGTAGTTTTTAAACGTATTTTGTGAAAAAAATCTCTTACCAGATGTTCTTAAGAACAAGCTGCAGAGCCATTTGTCTCAAATGGCTTATGTGATGTAGGTCTGGAAAAGGAGAATGGAGCAAGGTGGCCTCAGGAGCCAGAAATGGCCAATGTGCTTTGAGAATCTGACATGTACCAGTAGGCCAGCATCATCTGTGACTGCACTAAGATTTTCCAAAGCACGTCTTCTCCCACTCAGATCTGGAGCCAAGCAAACACTCCCAACTCCTCACCCATATTCTATCTGGAATTTACTGGGATCAGAGTCTGGTATCAAATTAGGTATCTCAATTAAAGGTTGAGTATACTAGAAGTCTAAATCTATTGCAAGAAGATAGAAAGGCCTTAACAGGATTACTTTTTGTGTATATAATTAGTTATGCTAAAAGATTGTAATAGTATGCTTCTTTATTATGCAAAGCAATTAGTATTATGCAAAGTAGCAGTTCAAATTATAACATCATTTTGTTCCTTTGCTGGAGAATATAGGCCAAATTTCTATACCTTTTAAATCTCCTTACGTATTCAATGTAACTGCTTTGAATATAACAATAACAGAAATTATATGACTAAATTAAGGATCACAAATAGCAGAAACAATAAAAAATCTGGAAAGTTAGAGCATAAATTCTACTCGGCCCCTACAAATACAAACACAGAAATTGGGTTTCTACTCCCCCAACCTTTATTCTGGAAATAGATTTCTCTCCTGCTTATAGAATGAAAGCAACCCATCACCTTATTTTTATGACTCTTAATGGATAGAGAATGAAGTGGATGCATGGTTGGTGGCTCAGCAGCCTCTCAATAGCATCAGCACCATATGATGCACAGCCTGATCTGTATTAAGCCAGTGCAACTGGACCACCCAAGACAGAACAGAGGATCTATTTCATGGCTTGTGGAGTAAACTAAACTTCCAGCATTTTTTCTCAAGAAAGTGATCAGCAGGAAATTGTCAGCTTAAAAATTCGGCATAGAAATAAAATGTAAATGGTCCATAAACAAATGAAAAGATGTTCAATTTCACTCATAATTGAAGAAATTAAAATAGTACTTTCTCACTTTTCTGCTGGTCTTTTGACAAGTTTTCTTTTCTTTTAGATTCAGGAGTACCTGTTTTATAGTTTTATTTTAGATTCAGGGATACCTGTGCAGGTTTGTCCTATAGGTAAATTGTCTGTCATGGGGGTCTGATGTATAGGTTATTTCATCATGTAGGTAATAACCATGGTACCTGATAGGTAGTTTTTCTATCTTTTCCCTCTTCCCACTCTCCACCCTTAAGTACACATGAGTCCATGTGTACTCAATGTTTATCTCCCACTGATATGTGAGAAAATGTGGTATTTGTTTTTCTGTGCCTGCATTAGTTCGTTTAGGATAATGGCCTCCAGCTGCATCCATATTTCTGCAAGGGATGTGATCTTGTTCTTCTTAATGGCAGTGTAGTATTCCATAGTGTATATATACCACATTTTCTTTATCCAGTCTACCGTTGATGGGCATTTAGGTTGATTCCTTTTCTTTGCTATTGTTAATACTGCTGCAATAAACTCATGCATGCATGTGTCTTTATGATAGAATGATTTCTTTTCCTTTGGGTATATATCCAGTAATGGGATTGCTAGGTCAAATAGTAATTCTGTTTTAAGTTATTTGAGAAATCATCACACTACATTTCACAATGGCTGAACTAATTTACATGTGTATAAGCATTGCCTTCATCTACAACCATGCCAGCATCTGTTATTTTTTGACTTAGTAATAGCCATTCTGACTGGAGTGAGATGGTATCTCATTGTGGTTTTGATCTGCATTTCTCAATGATTAGTGATGCTGAGCATTTTTTCATATGCTTGTGGGCTCGGTGTATGGCTTCTTTTAAAAAGTGTCTGCTTATGGCCTTTGCCTACTTTTTAATGGGTGTGTTTATTAATTTAAGTTTCTTATAGATTCTGGGTATTAGACCTTTAACAAATGCATAGTTTGCAAATATTTTATCCCATTTTGTAGGTTATCTGTATAGTCTGTTGATAGCTTCTTTTTTTATTTTTTATTACTAAAGTTGTGGGGTACATGTGCAAAACGTGCAGGTTTGTTAACATAGATATACATGTGCCATGTTGGTTTGCCGCGCCCATCAACTCGTCATTTACATTAGGTATTTCTCCTAATGCTATCCCTCCCCCAATCCCCCACCCCTTGACAGGCCCTGCTGTGTGATGTTCCCCTCCCTGTGTCCATGTGTTCTCATTGTTCAACTCCCACTTATGAGTGAGAACATGCACTGTGTTACTTTGCTCTTCCTGTAACTCTTCTTGTGTTACCTTGCTGAGAATGATGGTTTCCAGTTTCATCCATGTACCTGCAAGGGACATGAACTCATCCTTTTTTATGGCTGCATAGTATTCCATGGTGTATATGTGCCACATTTTCTTTATCCAGTCTATCATTGATGGGCATTTGGGCTGGTTCCAAGACTTTGCTATTGTAAACAGTGCTGCAATAAACATATGTGTGCATGTGTCTTTATATTAGAATGATTTATAATCCTTTGGGTATATACCCAGTAATGGGATTGCTGCGTCAAATAGTATTTCTAGTTCTAGATCCTTGAGGAGTTGCCACACTGTCTTCCACAATGGTTGAACTAATTTACACTCCCACCAACAGTGTAAAAGCATTCCTATTTCTCCACATCCTCTCCAGCATCTGTTGTTTCCTGACTTTTTAATGATCGCCAACCTAACCGGTGTGAGATGGTATCTCACTGTGGTTTTGATTTGCATTTCTCTAATGACCAGTGATGATGAGCATTTTTTCATAAGCTTGTTGGCTGCATAAATCTCTTCTTTTGAGAAGTATCTGTTCATATCCTTCACCCAATTTTTGATAGGGCTGTTTGTTTTTTCTTGTAAATTTGTTTAAGTTATTTGTAGATTCTGGATATTAGCCCTTTGCCAGATGGATAGATTGCAAAAATTTTCTCCCATTTTGTAGGTTGCCTGTTCACTCTGATGGCAGTTTCTTTTGCTGTGCAGAAGCTCTTTAGTTAATTAGATCCCATTTTCTATTTTGGCTTTTGTTGCCATTTCTTTTGGTGTTTTAGTCATGAAGTCTTTGCTCATGCCTATGTCCTGAATGGTATTGCCTAGGTTTTCCTCTAGGGTTTTTATGGTTTTAGGTCTTACATTTAAGTCTTTAATCCATCTTGAGTTAATTTTTGTATAAGGTGTAAGGAAGGGATCCAGTTTCCACTTTCTGCATATGGCTAGCCAGTTTTCCCAACATCATTTATTAAATAGGGAATCCTTTCCCCATTGCTTGTGTCAGGTTTGTCAAAGATCAGATGGTTGTAGATGTGTGGTGTTATTTCTGATGCCTCTGTTCTGTTCTGTTGGTCTATATATCTGTTTTGGTACTAGTACCATGCTGTTTTGGTTACTGTAGCCTTGTAGTATGCTTTGAAGTCAGGTAGCGTGATCCCTCCAGCTTTGTTCTTTTTGCTTAGGAGTGTCTTGGCTATGCAGGCTCTTTTTTGGTTCCATATGAAATTTAAAGTAGTTTTTTCCAATTCTGTGTAGAAAGTGGTAGCTTGATGGGGATAGCATTGAATCTATAGATCACTTTGGGCAGTCTCGCCATTTTCACGATGTTGATTCTTCCTATCCATGAGCATGGAATGTTCTTCCATTTGTTTGTGTCCTCTTTTATTTCCTTGAGCAGTGCTTTGTATTTCTCCTTGAAGAGGTCCTTCACATCCCCTGTAAGTTATTTTATTCTCTAGTAGCAATTGTGACTGGGAGTTCACTCACGATTTGGCTCTGTCTATTATTGCTATGTAGGAATGCTTGCGATTTTTCACAATGATTTTGTATCTTAAGACTTTGCTGAATGTTGATAGCTTCTTTTGCTGTGCAGAAGCTCTTTAGTTTAATTAGGTCCCACTTGTCAATTTTTGTTTTTGTCACAATTGCTTTTGATGTTTTTGTCATGAAACCTTTGCCATAGCCTATGTCCAGAATATTATTTCCTTGGTTATCTTCCAGGATTTTTATAGTTTTACATTTTACATTTTCTGATTTTGCTTGTTTCTTTCTTTCTACTAGCTCTGGGGTTGGTTTGCTCTTGTTTCTCTAGTTTTCCTAGGTGTAATGTTAGGTTATTAATTTGGGATATTGCTAACTTTTTGATTGGGTATTTATCTGGTGGTCTGCTGAAGTAGCTTCCTAACAAGTCCACTTGTTTCCATTTTTACAAACAGAGCAGTCTTTCAAAACCAAAAATCTGATCATGTCTTTACACTGCTCAAAACCTTTCATCAGCTTTCCAGTTCACATTATAGATATATTTTAATATAAATTATATTATGCTGTATAAAATCTTCTGCAATTTTTTATTTACAATGTCTTAGAAATCTTTTCATGTCAATATCTAGCAATCTACCTCTCTATTTAGCTGTTGCATAATATTACACATTATGGCTAAAGTTCATTTAGCTATTCTATTAGTAAACATTTAGACTGCTAAGAACTTTTTGCTTTTATAAATCAGGCTGCAACTAACATCCTATATATGCCTCCTTGTTGTCATGTGAAAGTGTTTGTTTAAAGAGGATATCAATAGGTAATAAAAATATTAATAGTTGACACCAAATTGTCTACCAAAGTAACTGTCCCTACTATATCTCACCAGTGGAGTGTGAAAATACATATTCACTCACAACTTTGCCAGTATTTGCCTCTAGATGTTCTATGCTGTTCCACTGATATATTTTCTATTCCTGCAAACTCTTACTATTAAATTCTGGGAAATTCTTGTCTATTCTGTAACTATGTCTTTAAACATTGTGTTTCTACATTCTCTCCATTTTCCACTTGTGAAAGGTGAAACTTTCGAATCTATACTCTATGTCTCTTAATTTTCCTTTCATACTTACCATTTGTTCAGCTCTTTGTACTGCATCATGGGAGAATTCCTTGGCTTCACGTTTTAACTCATGAATTTACTCTCCTGCAGTGTCCATTTTAAAATATCAACTTCTACTGCCAGTTGCGCCCTCTGGGACGTGTGTCCTCACAATGCTGCAGCCAGAGCCCAGCCCCAGAGCCTGGGGAGCATGCAAGCCAGGCCAGGGTCCAGTCATTGGTGCATTCAGGCCTTGTGCAGGGGCCAAGGGGGGCCTCTGGGAGGCTACTCACAATGTGATCATGGGGGCCAGGCTCCAGCAAGCACACCCTGCCATCGTGCATAATCAAACCCTTTGAACTGAACCACCTTTCCCACAAGGATCTGCCAAGAGGCAATATGTGGAGGGACACAGAGATTTGTCTGCTGGCCAAGACTGTCATTGACCAGGGGAAGCTCATACCAGGTGACGTTATGATGTGATTGACTTCACACGAGCTGAAAAATCTCACCCAGTCTCACTGGCTGTTGCATGGTTTCACCAGGATACTTCCACAGGCTGAAGGCCTAGATTGAGTTTATCAGATACACCTGATGATGAACCCGAACATGCAATCTGAGGTCATCAAGCTACGCCTCACTGTTTGCTGGATTCATCCAGCCAATAGCCAAGTCAACAACCTCGAATTCAACCCTCCAAAACAGTCTGCATTATGATCTGACTTTAACAAGAGGTTGAAGGTTTACTAATCCCAAATGCAAGTGGTCCTGGAATAATGCCAGAAAAAAGGGGTGTTCAATCTTCAGAAGAGAAACCAACAAGATCTGGCCCAATGTACATGCTTTCCCACAAACAAAAGTTCCCCAAATAAACCAGAAAGCATTAGTTACTCCATAAGGAAAAATGCATATAATTAGCAAGATGAGCTGAACCTCCCCCTTCTTTTCATTTAGAAGGCCCTTGTTCTAAGACTCCAGCATGTAGAAATTCTTTGAAAATTACATCACTTTTATTTCTACTGATTTTATTTTAAATTCTAAGGATGTGCCAAATGAGTCAGATACTAAGATTTATCTTTTGAAATTATGTACTGTGTTTCATTCCGTTATCTTTTATGTGGGTGCAATTCAAAAACATGAGAAATGCCTAAACTTTAAGTATTTTAGAGTAAAATTAAAAGAACAATTGGTAGTAACTTTTGCTCCATATGGGTAAGTGGTTGATGAGGTTGCCATGTTTTTCTGGAAAAGTAAAAAAATTATTCCAATTCAGGGGAAGTATCTCATCAGAGTCTTTCACATAGCCTGATGCCAAAAAGATGTTTCTTGGATATGAGACATGGTTTTGTGAGACATTGTACCTATAAAATTCCAGAGAAAAATAATGGGATTTACAGGTCAGTTGCAGAATGCAAATATACTGTTGACTTTAAACAAATAAACCTATTATATAAGCTATATTTGTTTTATTATTGAACATACCTTCAGTTTTATTTTTTGACACAGGGTCTCACTCTGTCACCCAGGCTTGCGTGCTGTGGCATGATCACAGCTCACTGCAGCCTTGACCTCTTGGGTTCAAGTGATCCTCCCAGGTCAGCCTCCCAAAGTACTGGGATTACAAGCATGAGCTGCTGTGCCTGGCCACCTTCAGTTTTCATATTCAAAAATTTTTAATTTGCTATAAAAATATATCAAATAGCATTTGGGAAAAATTTGATTTGCTATGACTTGCTTTCTTCTGAAAATACACGTGTACTGGGGGTTATAACGTATGTTAGAAATTGACATTATAAGTTCTTGGATAGGCACCAAAGTTGTATGGATTTTCTTCAGTGGAAAATGTAACTGAAGTCTAAGTCTTACGTTTTCAGATGTTACTTAGGTTAAGAAATGTGTGTGCTTGCTGGTTCTCTTTTTGATCTAGGTGTGCAATATGCCTTGATGAATGACAATTAGAATGTTTTTTTAAAGCAGCATCAATAAAATAATATTGTGACACTACATAAAATAAGCATACTTTGTCATTAGGAAATAGAAATAGATGTATGCCTGGGGGAATATTTCTTTGAGCAAAATAGCAGTCATAATTAGTGAATAGGTGTAACAATAAAAAGGCTTTATATGACAGATTAAAAAGGACTAGGAAAGTAATTGGGCTTGCTGAAGAAATTTTTATAACAAAAAAGTTGATACCTGTAGTGTTCACTGATATCCTATCTTAAAGGGAAAATACTCTGATAGTGTGTGTAATCTGAGCAGCTATGTTAAAGCCATTATTTTAGATTCGTTAGTGAGATTTGAGGATCCATGTTATCTACTATGGCCTGGTAAGAGGAGTAAGGCAATGTGAGAGGTGGAGAAGAAACCAAATATATCTTAAATGGAATATTTCCTCTTTGCTTAAACCAAATTATAAAAGTCCTTGTATAAACTGTTATTAACTGCCTTTGAAAATTTGGCCCATTTTACTCCAGACATTTAAAATACAAAGGCCAGCAAGAGTTTCTTATGTTTTTGAGAGAAAAACTTACTTTTCTTTCTTTTGGTTTTATTTTTTCACTCACTGTTGATTTTCAAAATGAACCAAGTTTTAAAAAAAGGATTACAGAAAATATTTCATTCTTTCAAATACTTTCTATGTCTCATGTGAATATTAATATCATGTACATCCTAAAAATGGAAACTATTTTTTAACCATCTTAACCATTTTTTTAAAAAAACTTTGTGGGTACGTAGCAGGTGTATATATTTATGGAGTACATGAAATGTTTTGATACAGAAATGCAATGGGTAATAATCACATCATGGAACACAGGGATTCCAGCCCCTCAAGCATTTATCTTTTATGTTACAAACAATCCAATTATATTCTTTTATTTATTTAAAAATGTACAATTAAATTATTGTTGACTCTAGTCACCCTGTTGTGCTATCAAGTGCTAGGTCTTATTCATTTATTCTATTTTTTTGTACCTATTAACCATCACTCCCCGTCTTCACCTCCTCACTACCTTTCCTAGCCTCTGACAACCATCCTTCTACTATTTATCTCTCTGGGTCCAATTGTTTTTATTTTTAGATCCCACAAATAATTAAGAACATGTGATGTTTGTCTTTCTGTGCCTGGCTTATTTCACTTAATATAATGACCTCCAGTTCCATCTACGTTGTTGCAAATGACTTAATCTCATTCCTTTTTATGGCTGAATAGTACTCCACTGTGTATAAGTGCACATTTTCTTTATTCATTCATCTGTTCATGGAAACTTAGGTTGCTTCCAAATCTTGGCTATTGTGAACAGAGCTGCAACAAACATGGAAGTGCAGATATATCTCTGATATACTGATTTGCCTTCTTTTGGGTATTTACCCAGCAGTGGGATTGCTGGATCGTATGGTAGCTCTATTTTTAGTTTTTTGAGGAACCTCCAAACTCTTCTCCATAGTGGTTGTACTAATGTACACTCCCATAAACAGTGTATGAGAGTTCCCTTTTCTTCACATCCTTACCAGAATTTATTATTGCCTGTATTTTGGATAAAAGCCATTTCAACTGGGGTGAGATGATATCTCATTGTAGTTTTGATTTGCATTCCTCTGATGATCAATGATGTTGAGTACCTTTCATGTGTCTATCATATGTGTGTCTTGTTTTGAGACATGTCTATTCAAATATTTTACCTATTTTTAAATTGGATTATTAGAATTTTTTTCTATAGATTTGTTTGAGCTCCTGATATATTCTGATTATTAAGCCCTTAAAGATGGGTAGTTTGTAAATATTTTCTCCCATTCTGTGGGTTTTCTCTCCACTTTGTTATTTCTTTTGCTGTGCAGAAGATTTTTAACTTCATGTGATCCCATTTGTCCATTTTTGCTTTGGCTGCCTGTGCTTGTGAGGTATTACTCAAGAAACCTTTGCCCAGACTGATGTCCTGGAGAGTTTCCCCAATGTTTTCTTGTAGTAGTTTCATAGCTTGAAGTCTTAGATTTAAGTCTTTAATTCATTTTGATTTTTCTATATGGTGAGAGATAGAGGTCTAGTTTCATTCTTCTGCATGAGGATATCCAGTTTTCCCAGCCCCATTTTTTGAAGAGACTGTCTCTAAAAATGTGAACTATCAAACTTAAGAACTATTACTAGTCACTAGGTCATAGGTATACATTAGTCTTTAATAAAATTAAGTTTTGGAAAAAATATCAGTTCCATCTACCTATTCAGTTTTGTTTTGTTTTGTCTTTTTTGAGATGGAGTCTCGCTCTGTTGCCCAGGCTAGAGTGCAATGGTGGGATCTTGGCTCACTGCAACCTCCGTCTCCCGGGTTCAAGCAATTCTCCTGCCTCAGCCTCCTGAGTAGCTGGGATTACAGGTGCATGCCACCATGCCTGGCTAATTTTTGTACTTTCAGTAGACGGGGTTTCCCTATATGTTGGCCAAGCTGGTCTCAGACTCCTGACCTCAGGTGATCCACCCACCTCAGCCTCCCAAAGAGCTGGGATTACAGGTGTGAGCCACTGTGCTTGGCCTCAATTTTGTATTCTAAGTATTAATCTCAATGTCCTCTAGTTGATTTGTCTGTAGCTGCTCTAACTTGTGAGTCTTGACTGTCATCTTTTTTATTAAGATTCTCTGTTAGACTGCATTTTCTATAAGTGGGTGTTGTGTACTTGTGCTTGGGAAAATTGTTGCTCTGGACTGTCCTGTGGCCTATTTTCAGGGAAAGTAGGGGACAAGCCACTGGGTGAGATTTCTCTTGGGTATTCTAGTCTAGTGCCCCCTGGCAATGACAGCCTCATGACATGGTCATGCCATGCCTCTTTAATTTGGGCCCCCTGGTCACAGCTCCAACCTGGAAGTGGACACTTTGTCACTGCTGTTTGGCTCAGGGGTAGATGGAAGGGCATTGATGAAGAAAGATCTACCTGGCCTCTTCTGCAGCACTACCCCAAGAACCTACATGTTGATTGCCCTTGACACCCTCCTGCTTCTGGTGTCTGCCACTTTAGGGGATGGGGCAGTCTTGCTGCTCCCTGCACCTTTTTTTTTAGCAATACTTCCCTGTGCGTGTTTTAGATTGGCCTTTCTGTCTTTGATCAATCCAGTGTTCACCTCATCCTTTAGGATTTTATCCCAGTTTCTGGTTCACTGAAGGTTTCACTTTTTATTCCGGATCACCAGTCAAGTCCCTCGCTGTAGGAGTAAAGAAGCTCTAGGATATACTCAGTCCATCATCCTGACATGGAACTATGGAACCTTCAAAATACCAAGTCATCTAACCTCCTATAACTGTAGCTTTCAAATCTGGCTGCATATGAGAACCAAAGGGGGAGGTTTAAGACAGAATACTGATACTCCAGACATTTTGATTTAGTTGCTCATGGGTGGGGGCATGGACATTGCTGTGTTTCTTTGTTTTAAAGCTCCCCACCTGCTGCTAACCACTATCCTAAAATAACAGAGCTGACTACCTCCGAGAGAGTCAGGCTTCAAAATGGTCTTCAGCAGGGGCTGAGAACCACCTGGAAGCCTCACCAGCTGGAACTTTCATCACAAAAGTCCAGATCTGCCCTCATAATCACATTTCTCCTCCTACACATGAGTATTTAAGCAATAGATTGTTTATCATTATTTTATCAATAGTCATCGTCATGGATAGTTAACATTTTTCATTCTGTCTGTGTTACTTATCAAATGTCACACTAGTTAAAAGTTTTTGGAAGCTTGCTCCAATAAACAGCTTTTCCTGTATGGCCAGGTCTTGATGTGATTGGTCAAGTTCCCTGATATGGCTATTGTATTTAATTAAATTCAGCTAATAATATTCATTTTCAAGTGTGCAGGTTGTAAAACAACTTTCAATGAAATCACAATGTACTTGTTTTATATTTTCTAGTCTTCAGTAGCTCTTGTTTGGTTTTAACTAAAAATTGGAAAAATGACAATTAAATGGCTTTTGAAGATAAAGTGACCCCAAGCACAATGGATTTCTCTAAACATCAGCAAAGATTCTTATTGGTCACTTACATAAATTTATGTAAACTGAAATGGGAACGTGTTTATGTACAATTTTGGATGTTCTTATTATCCAGTTAGGCTCACAATCTAGGACTAGGCCTATGGTCTTGTGAGGTCTTTGCACAATTTGTTGTTGACCAGTACTAGTCCCCAACCCCCAGGCTGTGGACTAGTACTGGTCGATGACCTGTTAGGAACCAGGCCGCACAGCAGAAGGTGAGTGAGCATTATTACCAGAGCTCTGCCTCCTGTCAGATCAGTGGTGGCATTAGATTCTCATAGGAGTGTGAACCCTATTGCAAACTGTGCATGTGAGGGATCTAGGTTGTGCGCTCTTTATGGGAATCTAACGAATGCCTGATGTTCTGGGGTGGAACAGTTTCATCCTAAAACCATCCCCCCATCATCCATGGAAAAATTGCCTTCCATGAAACTGGCCCCTGGTGCCAAAAAAGGCTGGGAACTGCTGATCTAGACAACATTATAGTAGTGCCTTATTCAGCAATGGGCAGGGAAACACCAGGCATGAAAATTGAATATTGAGTTAGAATAGGGTGCAGGTGGAAAGCAGGTATTGGGAAGAAAGAAAAAAAATTGGGGCCATGTGTTAGAGGACTGAATATCATGAAGTGGTGGCACCTCTTCCTTTCAGCAAGCTGAAAAAATTCCATAATGTCAGGAGACTGGAAAGAATATTCAAGACTGGTGATGGTTGTGGTGGTGGTGAGCTCCAAAGTGGCTAAGATTGTTTATAGGCAATCATCAAATGTATGTTTAATAAAGAGACTGTCAGGCCACTCAGATGCTGAATTTGGCTTCAAACTGTAAGGCTTTGAGAATTTTTCAGATATCCCACTGTCTTAGTTTGTACTGCTATAACAGAATACCATAGACTGAATAGCTTATAAACCACAGAAATTTATTTCTCACAGTCCTGGAGGCTGGAAGTCTGAGATCAAGGTGCAGCATGATCAGGTCCTAGAGAGGGCTCTCTTCTGGGTTGTAGACTTCCAGCTTCTCATATCCTCACATGACAGAAAGGGAGCTATCTAGCTCTCTGGCCTCTTCTTATAAGGGCACTAATTCCATTCATAAGGGCTCTACTCTCATGACCTAATCACCTCTAAAAGACCACACCTTCGAATACCATCACATCCAGGATTAGATTTCAACATATGAATTTAGTGGAGGGATGTAAACATTCAGTCCATTAACACAACACCCACTGAGCCAATGTTGCATGGATGGTAAATACCCACCCAACTATGAGTAAGGGAAGAAGTCATAGAATGGAAGAAACAAAGAGGAAGCAAGGAGGGACGCTGACTGGAAAGACTCTCTGGGAGGGAAATGGGAAACTGGTTATTTGGCAGAATAAAGAATTTGAAGGTGGAATAAATTAGAAGAAAAACAAGAGAATTGATGGAATTGTAAAAGAAGAAAAAGAAATAGGCTCACACTCAGAAAGAGCCCTAGTTCTGCCTAATCAATGTTTTTATTTCTCCTCATCAAAAATAATTTCTATTATATCTCCTGAGCACGGAAACA
Organism: Homo sapiens; assembly: GCF_000001405.40. NCBI lineage: Eukaryota > Metazoa > Chordata > Mammalia > Primates > Hominidae > Homo > Homo sapiens. The sequence goes on from NC_000005.10 coordinate 115,409,637, forward strand.
TTGGTAAGAACTATTAACTTAGGTCAGTAAAGTGGGATAGGTAAATTATTTGGAATCAAAGTCTTAGTGGAGTTTTCATCTAATAAGAACAGAATACACTAATGGCCATTTCATGGGGCTACTGCAAGCAGAAACATTGTGTGTGATATGTCTCCAAATGTGATCATTTCAAATATCATTTGAGAACCCATGAAAATCTTTAGTAAATTTAATAATCCTAGAATCTTCCTTTTTTTCTAGTCTCTATGAAATTGCTCTCAAAAGTTAACAAATTTCAGTAATATAGCAATCAGATGACATTTCTATATTTATATGGCGGTTGGGCTCAGAGATAGCCTTTACAAGTGATGACAAGATTCAGGCTTTAGTAACTATAGTCTCACAGCAAAGTTTTCAACGCAGTCATACAGTGACATTTCAGTCAATGACCAACTGCAAATATGATGGTAGTCCCATAAGATTTTAATGGAACAAAAATTTTCTATCACCTACTGATTTGTGTTATGTTATTCCCTACCATATTCAGTACAGTAGCTTGCTGTACAGGTTGGTAGCCTAGGAGCAATAGGCTATACTATATAGCCTAGATTGTTAAGCGACACATGATTGTACATTGTAATTTGTTAGGTCTTTTGTTATTTAAAATATCCTCACAAAATTCCAGTGGGCAATACTTGGAAGTAAAGCTCTCCTCAGCAAATGTAAAAGAACAGACATTATAACAAACTATCTCTCAGACCACAGTGCAATCAAACTAGAACTCAGGATTAAGAATCTCACTCAAAACCGCTCAACTACATGGAAACTGAACAACCTGCTCCTGAATGACTACTGGGTACATAACGAAATGAAGGCAGAAATAAAGATGTTCTTTGAAACCAACGAGAACAAAGACACAACATACCAGAATCTCTGCGACGCATTCAAAGCAGTGTGTAGAGGGAAATTTATAGCACTAAATGCCCACAAGAGAAAGCAGGAAAGATCCAAAATTGACACCCTAACATCACAATTAAAAGAATTAGAAAAGCAAGAGCAAACACATTCAAAAGCTAGCAGAAGGCAAGAAATAACTAAAATCAGAGCAGAACTGAAGGAAAGAGAGACACAAAAAACCCTTCAAAAAATTAATGAATCCAGGAGCTGGTTTTTTGAAAGGATCAACAAAATTGATAGACCGCTAGCAAGACTAATAAAGAAAAAAAGAGAGAAGAATCAAATAGACACAATAAAAAATGATAAAGGGGATATCACCACCGATCCCACAGAAATACAAACTACCATCAGAGAATACTACAAACACCTCTACGCAAATAAACTAGAAAATCTAGAAGAAATGGATAAATTCCTCGGCATATACACTCTCCCAAGACTAAACCAGGAAGAAGTTGAATCTCTGAATAGACCAATAACAGGAGCTGAAATTGTGGCAATAGTCAATAGTTTCCCAACCAAAAAGAGTCCAGGACCAGATGGATGCACAGCCGAATTCTATCAGAGGTACAAGGAAGAACTGGTACCATTCCTTCTGAAACTATTCCAATCAATAGAAAAAGAGGGAATCCTCCCTAACTCATTTTATGAGGCCAGCATCATTCTGATACCAAAGCCGGGAAGAGACACAACCAAAAAAGAGAATTTTAGACCAATATCCTTGATGAACACTGATGCAAAAATCCTCAATAAAATACTGGCAAAACGAATCCAGCAGCATATCAAAAAGCTTATCCACCATGATCAAGTGGGCTTCATCCCTGGGATGCAAGGCTGGTTCAATATACGCAAATCAATAAATGTACTCCAGCATATAAACAGAACCAAAGACAAAAACCACATGATTATCTCAATAGATGCAGAAAAAGCCTTTGACAAAATTCAACAACCCTTCATGCTAAAAACTCTCAATAAATTAGGTATTGATGGGATGTATTTCAAAATAATAAGAGCTATCTATGACAAACCCACAGCCAATATCATACTGAATGGGCAAAAACTGGAAGCATTCCCTTTGAAAACTGGCACAAGACAGGGATGCCCTCTCTCACCACTCCTATTCAACATAGTGTTGGAAGTTCTGGCCAGGGCAATCAGGCAGGAGAAGGAAATAAAGGGCATTCATTAGGAAAAGAGGAAGTCAAATTGTCCCTGTTTGCAGACGACATGATTGTATATCTAGAAAACCCCATTGTCTCAGCCCAAAATCTCCTTAAGCTGATAAGCAACTTCAGCAAAGTCTCAGGATACAAAATCAATGTACAAAAATCACAAGCATTCTTATACACCAATAACAGACAAACAGAGAGCCAAATCATGAGTGAACTCCCATTCACAATTGCTTCAAAGAGAATAAAATACCTAGGAATCCAACTTACAAGGGATGTGAAGGACCTCTTCAAGGAGAACTACAAACCACTGCTCAAGGAAATAAAAGAGGATACAAACAAATGGAAGAACATTCCATGCTCATGGGTAGGAAGAATCAATATCGTGAAAATGGCCATACTGCCCAAGGTAATTTACAGATTCAATGCCATCCCCATAAAGCTACCAATGACTTTCTTCACAGAATTGGAAAAAAACTACTTTAAAGTTCATATGGAACCAAAAAAGGGCCTGCATCGCCAAGTCAATCCTAAGGCAAAAGAACAAAGCTGGAGGCATCACGCTACCTGACTTCAAACTATACTACAAGGCTACAGTAACCAAAACAGCATGGTACTGGTACCAAAACAGAGATATAGATCAATGGAACAGAACAGAGCCCTCAGAAATAACGCCGCATATCTACAACTATCTGATCTTTGACAAACCTGAGAAAAACAAGCAATGGGGAAAGGATTCCCTATTTAATAAATGGTGCTGGGAAAACTGGCTAGCCATATGTAGAAAGCTGAAACTGGATGCCTTCCTTACACCTTATACAAAAATCAATTCAAGATGGATTAAAGACTTAAACGTTAGACCTAAAACCATAAAAACCCCGGAAGAAAACATAGGCATTACCATTCAGGACATAGGCATGGGCAAGGACTTCATGTCCAAAACACCAAAAGCAATGGCAACAAAAGACAAAATTGACAAATGGGAACTAATTAAACTAAAGAGCTTCTGCACAGCAAAAGAAACTACCATCAGAGTGAACAGGCAACCTACAAAATGGGAGAAAATTTTCGCAACCTACTCATCTGACAAAGGGCTAATATCCAGAATCTACAATGAACTCAAACAAATTTACAAGAAAAAAACAAACAACCCCATCAAAAAGTGGGCGAAGGACATGAACAGACACTTCTCAAAAGAAGACATTTATGCAGCCAAAAAACACATGAAAAAATGCTCATCATCACTGGCCATCAGAGAAATGCAAATCAAAACCACTATGAGATATCATCTCACACCAGTTAGAATGGCAATCATTCAAAAGTCAGGAAACAACAGGTGCTGGAGAGGATGTGGAGAAATAGGAACACTTTTACACTGTTCATGGGACTGTAAACTAGTTCAACCATTGTGGAAGTCAGTGTGGCGATTCCTCAGGGATCTAGAACTAGAAATATCATTTGACCCAGCCATCCCATTACTGGGTATATACCCAAATGACTATAAATCATGCTGCTGTAAAGACACATGCACACGTACGTTTATTGCGGCATTATTCACAATAGCAAAGACTTGGAACCAACCCAAATGTCCAACAATGATAGACTGGATTAAGAAAATGTGGCACATATACACCATGGAATACTATGCAGCCATAAAAAATGATGGGTTCATGTCCTTTGTAGGGACATGGATGAAATTGGAAATCATCATTCTCAGTAAACTATCGCAAGAACAAAAAACCAAACACCGCATATTCTCACTCATAGGTGGGTATTGAACAATGAGATCACATGGGCACAGGAAGGGGAATATCACACTCTGGGGACTGTGGTGGGGTTGGGGGAGGGGGGAGGGATAGCATTGGGAGATATACCTAATGCTAGATGACGAGTTAGTGGGTGCAGCGCACCAGCATGGCACATGTATACATGTGTAACTAACCTGCACAGTGTGCACATGTACACTAAAACTTAAAGTATAATAAAAAATAAAAAATAGAAAATAAAAAATTCCAGTGGGCAGGGCCCCTCAGGAGCTGAAGTCATATCAGAAAGTGGTAGTGACTGCTGAGTCTCAATGAGATGCCAAGTGCCAGCCAATGCTGCTTCTGCATTTGTGTGCACCAGAAAGGGGAAAATGTCAAGTTCTCAAAATAAAACAAATGAAAAACCCAACAGCAACAAAGAGCAGCCACACATGAGAACAATTTGAGTTTCTTTCAGGGACACTGTCTTTCCATTTGAATAGCTTTATGCTCCGGGACTCCTGTTGGATCTGCTGTGAGCTATTTTTTTTTTTTTTTTCCCCTAAGCAGAGCTTGCTTTAAACCACGGTCTGTGGACCATCCTTTATTAAGGAATTAATAAAGCCCTCCTATTGCCCACAGACCCTTCCTCTCCTGATGGTAGTCTTGGAAAGGGGAACACAGTCTTCTATCTCACAGTTAACACTGAGGCTTAGAATCATCGCGGAAGACTTAACACAGTGACTGGTCGTCATTCTAGGATAAAAACGAGGGATATTAGAGGGCAGAGAGCATGATGATTACCTATAGTGTGGACAGTGGTAAGGCGATGGGGGTAGGAAGCAGGAGGGAGGGCAAGAAAATGGTAGTGAAAGGGAGATGATACAACCTTCTGCCACATCTGCCTAAGGCAAGGCTGGGTGACAGTAGTTTTTTTAGTCCAGCAAACCTTCCCACTCCCACTCATAAAGTGATCTCTAATTCTCTGGCACAACAGGTGCTTGCCACATGTAATTCTTGGAAACTGCTGAGTTTCCTTGTGCGGGTAATTTGTAACACTTACAACTACTTCTCCTCCTGGGGCTGCTGCTGTGGCTTCCTGGAAAGAGTGTCCATTCCTGTGCTCTGATGGATCACAGCTGCAGATTGCCCGGGCTTTGCTCATCACCACATGGCTATCATGTCACAAGCACATTCATACATGTGTTTTAGGGAAGTCATGTGATTATTTCTTCCATTACCTAAAGCTGTACAGCTAGCTAAGTGTTATGGGCCAGAGGTAGATTTGAAATTTAGTCATTAGACCCACAATCAGCATGAACTATTGGGTAAATGCTCATGAGAACATGTTTACATGTGCGTGTGTGTGGGGGTGTGCATGTGTGTGTGTGTGGGGGGGGTGTGTGCAGGAGGAGAGGGTGTCTCATCTCTGAACACTTCTAAAAGGGTAAAAATCCCAAGCACGCCTCACTCAGGGGCCTCAGCTCATGCCCCACTTGAGCTGCATTAGTGAGCTTGTGCATTCTTAGGTAAGTACATACTTAGTACAGTTTCCTCAGGGAAGCTGAGCCACAAGTACATGACTGCTTACTTACCATTTGGACATCTGACACAATCCACTTGCTCCCATTTTCCTAAAGACACAGCATGCGGTTGCATCTGTGGTTATCCATAGTAAAGCTTTGCCAGTCAACTCAGTGGGTCTGCATGCTCATTCTGATCTTACAACAGTCAAATGGAGCCTCGCTGAGGCTTTGGATGAAAGGTCACACTCTCCCTCCCAATGCACTCAATGAATTGCTATTGTGTTTGGAGTGCCCTGCCCACTGTCACCACCTATTTTAAACAGCACATGACTCTGACTCACAGAAAAGAGCAAAGAACTGCATGAAGGCTGTATAACATGCTGCACACCCACTCCCTTGGGCAAGGGCCCAAAAACACTCAGGCCTCTGAGTGTCTTAGGTGAGAACCCTTTCCTCCTCTGGCATCTCTGAACAGATCCAATGAGTGAGGTTACCGAGGTTTTGCAACAAACAAGCAAACATTTGAAAATATCTCCCAAACATACAAGTTGACAACTTAAACAAGAATGTGGGGCAAAAAAAAAAAAAGTCGTCATTTATAGCTTGATGCCTTCTATGATATAGTTAGCTATGCCCAGATGCTGTGGGTGGGAAGAAGCCTGAAAGACTCCCCATCAACAGGGGTTCTGAGGCTGCCAAAGACGGCCTCATTAAAGGGGCCAGTGGCTCCAGGTGATATCGTGGAACACAGTCCAGTTCTTTTCTCCACTGGATCTTTTCTTTACTAGGTTAATTCTCAGAGGTTGTTTTTGTGAGAGCCCCTTTAGCAGCAAGGTGTGAAATCCACTCAAATTAGCTTACGTAAATTGTCTATTGTGTGGGGACAGCAGAGAGAAGGGAGAAAGCTTACTGTAGGTATAAAAAAGTCTTTGGGGAAACTTAGAATTGCTAAAGAGCTAGACCTTAGTAGGGGCTAGAACTGGGACCCCTCAGAAGCCCTCTACATCCTTCACTTTAGGCAGGGTTCACTGACCCCACTGCCTATAGGGCTCACACATGTGAAATAGTGGGGTCTAAAAAGGAAACTTGCTTATACCACTCAGCCTCTGGGCCTGGGGAGCTGTAGAGAGAGGTGGGGAATCTGGCCACTGAAATAAAACAAAATTCTCTGTTCACTGAGTCTCCTGTGAGTTTGCTGAAAGTTGCTCATCTATTCTGAGCAGCAGGTGAGTCTGGGGCAGGCCCCTTGGTCCTCTGTATGGACACTTATGCGAGCATGTGTGTGATCTTGAAATGTATGTTCTAAAAGTCTGAAAAGTCTCAAATGCACCTCAAGTCTGGCCTCTCTGGTTCAGCATGTTCATTCTTAAGATAACCACAATTTCCATGCAGTTTGCTCTGGAAGGCCCACCTAGTTTTAAATGTGAAATACTTTAGTTTTTAAGTGTTGGCAATCATTTAAATTTCAAACCTCACAGGCCAAACAAAACATGTCGTGTATCAGTTATGTCCTGTGGGTGGCTGGTTTGTGGTGACTGGTACCTCATCATACACAGTCCACACATCTGTTTCTTTATGGTCCTCAACCAAATTGGCAAGTTCTATATGTCTCTAAGCTCAGAATTCCTGGAGAGTAATTTATTTGGTCTCTGGCTTGGTTAGGGCCCATTCCCGGTTCAATCACATGGTACACAGAACTGCCATTGTTAGAAGTTGTAGGTGAGGAGTGGGTGTGGTAGATAAACTGACTGAAAGTCTGCTATCATTGTTGGATGTTTCCAGATTTGTTTCCTCTTTGGATCATGTTCTTGAACTCAGAAGGAGCAGAGGATTTATCTGGTTTGAAATTTCTGAAACTTTCTAAGTCAAATGAATCAGCAGTCATCAGCTGCCCCATGAAAATGTCCCAGAATGCATAGGTAGAGGTGGCATCATACTCCAACAGGGACTAAGACTGGCTCCTTCTCCACCAATTACATCTCAGTTTTTGAGAAAATTGATGAAGATGGGCCATGACCTGAGCTTTTCTTGTTGCCAGGATGCCTCTTCTCTTTTTCTTCACATTTCCAAACTATGCCTCTCTTCCTTACGAATGTTTGTTTCGAAATAGGTCTGTGTCTGATGACCTTTCCTGTAGGAAGAGTTCCAGAATATTCTCTCCCCAGTAAGAAAAAGAATTGGCAATTGGCAGTTTCTGAAATGAGCTTATTGTCTTCACACAGTTCTCATTTTCAGAAAAGCGGGAAGGACTGGCAATGCTGCACATTCTCTGTGCCTGCTTGGTCTGCTCACATCATTTGCATTCTGATCCAGCATTTTCCACTTCATTTTCAAAGCCTCTGTAGACTCCACTCTTCATCTGTGTAGTATAAAAGATAGCATTTCTCAACTTCACAAAGATTTCTTTTCAAACATTCTATTTCTGGAAGGTAGAACCAGTGTTCTTTGCTGCTTTTTCTACCCACCCACAGCAGGGTACAGAGTCACCCTATCTGACATGGGGCAGAACACCTGAGTGTGGGTCCAGTTCTCCGTTTATTGGCTGCTCTGCAAGCATCAGTGTATTCATTAGTAAAAACATAGGAAATAATGGGACAAAAAATAAATTAGACTGATTCTTTTAGGTTTGGAGGGGGAATTATAAAGCCTTTGGGAAAACTTATGAATTACTCTACCTCCTAGGGGAATTCCTAGACCAGGAATTCATCCATGCCTGGGACTGGAACACATATATATGGTTTTGGAGAAAACCCCAAGAGCATATACATGTGCTCCAGTCCCCATCTGTTTTTAACCCAAATACTTCGGATAACCCCAAGAAACTCGAAGACTCTGGAGTAAGTCCCAAAGCCTTGGGCTGTGGTCTGGGAGCCTCTAATCTCCAACATTTCAGAGAAGAATCAATCATATACTGTGTAGTATATTGATAGTTCCTCTTTTTCTTTTCATTTATTGCTTGAAAATAATTGAAGCCTAGAAGTCTACCCTGGTGTGGTGGACATTTGATTTTCTGCCAACCATCTCCCTGACCCTGATAACCACATACTAATTTACCCTTAAACTCCTCCCCTTCTCCCCCACTCATCTGAAGTGACTCTGGCTCCAGGCTTGGGTATTGGATCTGGGCTTGGAAAATCAAAGGGGCAGTGATTGGTTCAGAGCTGGGAAAGTGCCCCAAGCTGGGCCATGAAAATCAGCCCTGAGATTGTTGGTGCCTTACTCTGGGGTTGCTAAGCTTATAGATGGAACTCTTGGTGATCATCTTTACCACTTGTAGGGAATACCTGCCTGTGAATGAAACTAACACAGAGGAAAGCAGGAGTGAGCGGGAAAGAGACAATGATTGTGTCCTTCATGCACTCACTGTCTAAAGACCTGGATGAAATTGTGCCTGAAACCACCCACTGAACTTTCCAGTTACAAGGATCAATAAATTCTGATTTTTCTTTGAGCCAGTTTGAGTTGGGCATGTATTTCATAACCAAAATTGTCAAGACTAATATAGCTGGTCTAGTGAGAAATTAATAGATCCCATTTGTCTAGCAACAAATCCATAGATCCATATATACCTCCCTTCATCTCTTAGACTTCATCAACTCACATTAATCTATGTGGGAATCCACCCCTGAATCAACCCTGGAACTTGCCACTTCTTAGCTATGAGCTTTCTTGATTATCCTACAATAATCCTTTCTGTAGGACCATGGGGTTGCCAAGATTCAGATTTTATCACTGAAGCAAACAGCCAGCAACTAAGGTTACTTCCCATAGAAATAACTGTCCTAAAATGAAAGCACCAAGTAAGTTTCTCCTTTGAGCTTCACAAGGCCTTGAGAGCCTTCGGAACAAATGTCACCTCTCCTGCCATCTGCCTTATGGCTCAGGCTACCCTGCTGCTATCTTCCCACTGTGTTTCCATCCCACTCCCTTAAGCCGAGCTCTCATGCTCCAGGAAAGAATCAAAATAAACCTTTGCCTTCATATGGAGTATGAGTAAATAAACTCCTGGACATATGCCAAATCCTGTCAGAGCACGTGTGTCCTCGTTCACCTGCAAGAAACAAACAACCTGGCTAAAACCACTCGGAGGCCATTGAGTGTTCCTGGACTCTATGTTCAGGGAGACTATCAATATCAACCCTAGAGCTGGCACAAAGAATCCCTAGCTGGATCAGCCATCCCTGAAGAGATCTTTCCTGTATTCTCATCTCCCCTGAATTTCTGCATGGATCCTGGGAAGATTAGATCCTTGAATATTCAGTAAAATTATACATTTATGAGGCGGGGAAGGGGAAAGGAATGGGAGTGAGAGAGATGGAGAGGAAAGGGAGAGGTGGACAGGGAAGGGGAGGCTGAAGGGGAGCCACTAATACCTTTACTATACCATTTAAATTAGTACAGACTAGAAATTAGACTGCACCTTAAATACAGGATAGTAATATTAAAGAAAATTTAATGAGTGCAAACTTTTCATGCTATTAATTTATGCTTAGGTTGAAAAAAAAAAGAAGCATTGTTTACAGGGTTTGCTTTTACAAATAATACTTTCTTGCATGTATAACTACAAAATTAAGTCCTGACTCTGGGATTATTGAGTCAATAACTCTATACACTTTAACTTTTGATAGATAACACCAAATAGATGGTGTTTTATTCACAATAAATAATCAGTTATGTGTATCCAATAGCATTAAGTCCATCTGCATATAATTAAAAACCTAAAGTAACTGTGGCTTAACCACATAAAGGTTTATTCTTGTTTGATAAAATAAGCCCAGAGGTAGGCAGTTCCAAGTCACCAGAGTCCTCAGAAGGAGCACTAGGCTCCTCCTATCTTTCTGCTTGGCCACATGAGGTATGTGGGTTTCATCCTCAAGACCACCTCATGGTCCAGCATGCTTACTGGAACTCTATACCTCATGTTTGTATTCCAGGCATAAGGAAAAAGTGAAGGGAGAAGAAAAGAAGGACATACCACTCAGATGAGTCAGTTCCCTCTAAGGAGCCTTCCAGGAAGCCCCAGCTAACATTTCTGCTCACACTACATGGCCACACCTCATAAGGGAGGCTGGGAGATGTAGTCTTTATTTTGGGTAACAATGAAGCTTGCAAAACAAAGTTCAGCTACTAAGAAAGAAAAAGAGAAGGGAGGCAATTTTCCTCTCTGACAACATCATTACTCATCTTGGTTAATTCCAAAATGCTTCTTTTTTTTCCATTTTTTAACAGAAAGAGCTGAATATATACATTTAAAATAAACAAAAAAAGCTCTTCTACAACTCCCACCTTCTTGTAGCTGTTTCATCTATTATGTGCACATTTGGATGTCTTCATCCTAGTGCAATAGGAAAGTTACTCTACTTCAGCAGAACAGACCATGTAGCTCTGAAAGAAGTTTCTGGCACATGGCACTAGCAGTTGTCAACACAAATAAAGCCCCGGCTCCATGTATAAGGAGCTCAAGAACTCATCATGAAGCCTTAACAAATATCAACTCAAAGCCAATATTGTTTGCACTAGCCCCTTCCTACTCCCCAATATTTTTAAAGCAAACTCCAGTCATATAATTTCATTTGTAAGTATCTCAGCACATACCTCTAAAAGGACTCAAAAAAACCCACAATACTCTTATCACATGTAAAGTAATAATAATTTCTTAATGCAAAAAGTCACTGATCAATTTTCCAAGTCTCAAACTTTTTAACAATTTGCTTGAATCAAGGATCCAAATGATATTCCTGTGTTGCAAGTGGTAGCTATATTTAAGTCTCCTTTAACTTTTGGTTTCTCTTCTATCTCTTGTTTTCTTTTTTTTTTTTTTTTTTTACATATAGATATATTTTAATCTGTTTATAAAGTAGATATCTTTAACTGAATTGTACATGATCACTTTCCTTCCCTTTACACTAATATAGTTTCAGTACAGACGTTCATGCGTTCAGAACTGAAACTCTTAGAAAAGATGAGATAGAGAAAGGCCACTCACCCTTCACAGCTATAAAGAATCACTAATGCCTGGCTCCTACCATGAACTTAGAGAGGGCCCCTCATTAACCACGAACCAACAGAATCATAACCATAGAGAAGATTGTCCCCTCTCTTTTATGCATCATAAGTCCATCTCCTGCATTACAAGAACACTGGGCAAGCTGTTGAGGTGACTTCTTAAGACATAAAGGAAATAATTTAAAGATTCATTACATGCAAATCCTTTTTTCACTTCAGCTTCTTAAAGCAGACATGTGCATAACTACCTTTGTAATGTTGCTTTTTTTTTTTTTTCTTTTTTTTTTTTTTTTTCTTTTTTAATTATTATTATTATTATACTTTAAGTTTTAGGGTACATGTGCACATTGTGCAGGTTAGTTACATATGTATACATGTGCCATGCTGGTGCGCTGCACCCACTAACGTGTCATCTAGCATTAGGTATATCTCCCAATGCTATCCCTCCCCACTCCCCCGACCCCACCACAGTCCCCAGAGTGTGATATTCCCCTTCCTGTGTCCATGTGATCTCATTGTTCAATTCCCACCTATGAGTGAGAATATGTGGTGTTTGGTTTTTTGTTCTTGCGATAGTTTACTGAGAATGATGGTTTCCAATTTCATCCATGTCCCTACAAAGGACATGAACTCATCATTTTTTATGGCTGCATAGTATTCCATGGTGTATATGTGCCACATTTTCTTAATCCAGTCTATCATTGTTGGACATTTGGGTTGGTTCCAAGTCTTTGCTATTGTGAATAATGCCGCAACTACCATCAGAGTGAACAGGCAACCTACAACATGGGAGAAAATTTTCGCAACCTACTCATCTGACAAAGGGCTAATATCCAGAATCTACAATGAACTCAAACAAATTTACAAGAAAAAAACAAACAACCCCATCAAAAAGTGGGCGAAGGACATGAACAGACACTTCTCAAAAGAAGACATTTATACAGCCAAAAAACACATGAAAAAATGCTCATCATCACTGGCCATCAGAGAAATGCAAATCAAAACCACTATGAGATATCATCTCACACCAGTTAGAATGGCAATCATTAAAAAGTCAGGAAACAACAGGTGCTGGAGAGGATGTGGAGAAATAGGAACACTTTTACACTGTTGGTGGGACTGTAAACTAGTTCAACCATTGTGGAAGTCAGTGTGGCGATTCCTCAGGGATCTAGAACTATCTCTTGTTTTCTTACAATTAAAAACATTATTAAGGAAAATTTAAAACACAGACAGAAGCCTGTAGGCATTTGAATTTTGCAATCAATTGTCTAACTGGCACTCAACTCTGCTCCCTTTAATGCATCTCCAAACTCCTCCCCTCAACTCCTTGTCTGGGTCACCATCATCTCTTCTAGACCACTATAATGGCCTCCTAACAGGCATTCCAGGCACACTCCAACCTCTATCTGGCACAAATCTGGCCTTTCACCCCTCTGCTTAAATAGAAAGAGTAAAATTAATAAAGCCATTGACAAAGAACTCATGATATTTATTTTCTTGTGTTGTTCAAAAACTTGCCTCTGAAGGAAGTTTCCAAATGTGACTTCAGCAAACAACCTATGCTCACCTGAATACACATCAGATATCGAATACTACATTAAAATATTTGGGTGATAGAAACCCCTACCTGTTGCACAAACGGGGTCGATTGATCTGGGCCCTGGTGCATGCATTCTCTTTGCTAATGTTGGGGCTTCAGGAAATATCCAGGGTGTTTTCACAGTATAGCTTCCTGGTTCACATTCTGTATCCCTCCTGTTGTATGACAGCTCTTTCCTGATCTGGTTCCTGTCTTCTGGGTTTGACTCTACTCACATATCGGAGTGTCTCTGCTTTCAACATGCCTTTTGCTTGCTGGTTTTTACCTCCTGTTCCGAGATCCCAGCTTGTCTCTCCCCTTCCCAGGTTTGGACCTACCCCTTTTCAGAACTGTCATTTCTAACAGACTTCACTTACCCATTCTGCCAAAACATATACACACACAACCATCGCCACCACCAAAGACATACGTGTTCAGATCATTTTTCCTTAATTAGCTATATTGAATTATCACCATACCTCCTACTGTGTTCTGTCCTGAAGGAATTAATGGCCTAGGGAAGCAATAATACAGATCAGTATATACACAATAGCGGTGCCCCTTCTCTCACATGAATTTGAAAACAATGTCCAGCCTGGCTTGGAGATCTGGGATTTGGATTAATAGAGATTCCCCAGGGTGATGAGTCATCAGAATTTACTGTACTTACTAAGGTATAGTGTGTATTCAAATGTAAGTTTAGGTTGGTGGCAAAGACTTAATCATCAAGTCTTGTTTAATCAGGTATTGGATAAATTATACTTTTAAAATCCTAGGTTTGAATCTGTACAGCAGCCAAAGAAGGGTGACAACAGGGGAAATAGTTACTTTTCCAGTTTGTTTATTCTATTTTCTTCCCCTACCCTGATCCCGAATGTTCTTAAATTATCTGTGCAAAATAGCCTGCCAAAATAATTTTCTCCCTAGGAGTCTCTATCTCTGCTTCCCTCAGTGGCGTAAATGAGTGTCTTCCCAGTGGCTACTCTTCAGCTGAACTTTCTGCCTTCCAGAAATAGAGCTTGGCTCTAGCTTGCTAATCCTGTGTCCTGTGAAATACCGCAGCAGGGAGGGGCAGGCTACTGTGCCCGGGTATTATATAAGACTCTACACACCAGGAGCAGCGCCCAACAGACGCCAGACTGCCCCAGGCAGGGCCCTCACAGTGGTCCCAGAGCCTTCCCACCCTGTCAGCACTGGGACATGCCAGCTATTGGCCACACAGGGTGGGTCATTTAATATCCTGTTTGTTATTTTTACTACAGTGCTGGCTACTATTTTACTTGGAAATCTGAGGAAATGTATCCTTCCACCTGCTAAGTCCAGATTAGGAAAATAAGTAGCCTTTGAAAGAATAAAGGTCTTTATATGGCTGGGGAATTGGAACTGAAACCCAGTTCTCTCTCAGACTGTCAGGAGCAGCGCTTAAAAGGTTGCATGCACCCTGGGCCACACAAATGTCAATTATTTAGCCACAGAATCTTTGCGCTAGAGAGGACCTTAGTAAGAGAGATTATCCAGTGCTACCTTCTCATAGCTCTAGTTAAAGAATGTTGAGATAAGTGCCTAACAGACATTTCTACCTCCCCAGTGAATGCTGGATAGTGCTCACGTCCTCCTCCCCATGAGCACCCACAAGGACGGAGAAGGAGGGGCTAGAACAGCTGAACACACAGCCCGCACTCCATTTCAGACAAAGGCTTAAGAGGAAGACTCTGGAAGTAACAGCAACACGCAGATATGGGTGTAATCTGTAGTTCTGCTTCTTCTTTCTACTCCTAGCTTCCATTTCCATGGGAAATAAGGGGAGGTGATCCTATGGATAACATAAAAAATGCCATTTCTGGTTAATGTAGATGTAGTTGAAAAGGTAGATGATCTGACAAAATATTTTCCTCAAATGAATCCATTCATCTCCATCATTTGATTAATTTATTCATGTTATTATCTCTGATATGTTAAAATGTCAAGAAGGAAAAGGTCATTTGCACACACATGCAGTCTCCCTGTCACAATTTGAGCTGCCAGACCTCACCAAAGGAAACTAATCACAGTTCCTTTCTCTTGCAGGCACAGATGGCAGCTCTGGCGGCAAGGTGCTCTACAAGGCCTGGCAATAAGGAAGGGTCCAGTTACTCGCATCCAGTGGTCTAGAGCATGTTTGATTAGGCAACTTTTAGCAGTCGTCCTCAGCTGTGCATATTAAAATGGCTCCTTAATTCATGTATAATATCTAGGTATGTAGAATTAAGACATCCTTTTGAATACCATATTTCAGAAACAACTCTTCTTTGGCATATAAAATTTATGGAACAAAATGACAAACAGGGCTGGAATCAGCGGTATGTAGGTAAATGTTTAACAACTGGCTCTGCAAGAAAACAAAGCTCTGATTTGTAGTGTTTGCCATTTTCCATGGTGTAAATACTCCCATCTTGGCAAAGTTCAAGTTACCAACCAAAACTCATTGAATTGGATTTGGGAAGAGATGCACACAATTGGCTCTTGTGGGAAGGTATGTGGCAGTGCCAGCCAGCATCAGCACACTGCTAGCTAAAAGAGCCAACAACAAATCATTTCCTGTGCCTTCTAGGACGTCTTACTTTTCCTAAACAAGTACAGAATGGCTCCAAAAGGAAAATAACACTTCACCTCACTAAAGGAGCTACAGCTGTTTTTATTTTTATTTTATTTATTCTAGTCAAATAAAAGGAGCAAGTCAGGCACTTCTGGGCAACACTGTTGCATCCTGGTCTCTTCACTGCACAGGACTGATTTGATTTCTACTTTGGGATTCTGCTAAAGTCCGGATAACTTTGGGGTGACTTGATAAGAATCTGTGGACCCAAGAGAAGCAGAACAGCATAATGATTGAGTATAGAATTTAGATTCCAAACAAAGTTCCAAGTCAATTTTATCTAGAGAATACAATAAGCAGTTCAAGTAAGATCCACGGCCTCTCTAAACTGGAGTAAATTCATAATATAACAAATTCATAGTGCAGATGTGAAGGTTAAATAAGAAATGTATATAAAGCATTTAGCTCAGCATCTGGCACAGAGTGCTCCATAAACAGTAACTATGATGATGATTATTCCTATTACCTAGCCTGGTTTTTATTTCAGCATTGTCCCTACCTCACTTGTCTATTAAGTCCTGTCCTATAAGTGATCAAGGCATCTGCTTCTACTGCAGACTGCCAGGGCTCGTCTTCTGTCTCATGAGGCAAGAGAATTCTAAGGTGAGACATCAGCTATGTAGTCCATAGGTAGCTATTTTCTGTTGGGAAGAAACATGGCAACAGAATTATCAGCAGTAAGGCCTAGCTCTCAACAACAAACAGAGGGTCTTTAGAAGCGGGAGCGTCAGTGAGGAGTGGGGATGTGGACATATTAGGCTCTGAACTTCTAACACCCTAGCCTGAACTTGGTTGTTAGGCAGCAGCTCTTCCCCTGCATCCACTGGTTCTCTCATGGATCCCAACCTCACCTCCCTTCATAGCTCTGCCTAGACTCTCCCCTCTCCACTCCTGTGCTGAAATTCCCCAGCCCCTGCTTCCTCCCTAGACCCACCCTGCACAGGAGCAGAAACAACTTCCAAAGCTAATTGCAATCCTTCTGTTTATGAATCATTTTATGGTTTTCAAACTCTTTTGCTTCCATATATGTTTTGACCTTATCAAAACCACTAAGCAACGCAGGGCTGACTTTATTACCTTCTTTTCATATATATATATATATATATATATATATATATATATATATATACACACACACACATACATACACACACACACACACACACACACACAGAAATTGTGTCCCAGAGAGGGTGAGTGACTGGCCAAAGGTCAGATGATGTTTGTGGCAGAGCCACCTGCCCTTGTGTTTAGGTCTCCCTCTAGCATACCTTTTCATTACAGCAGGATTCTGAGCAAAAGCCAGTTTTATCTGTCAAGCCCCAAGCTGGAGAGCAACACCATCCCAGTGCCTGTATTATCAGGTTCATTAATTCTATCAGCTTTCCCTGCTCTGTGTCTGAACACACTGTCCCCACACTACCTTTGGCTGAAATAACTTTCTGAGCCTGACTAGTTCTTTGGTGATGAGAACAGAGCTGTGGCCCCTCTGCTTTCCCTAAATGGACTCTTAGCTGGGTGAGTCATGGAAAGACTTCTGGAATTCTCAGAGGAAAATTATTAAACAAACACTAGCTTGGAAGGACCTAAAAGATTATCTAGTCCAGCTTCGAATTGGATGAATGAATCAAGGCAGAGAGATTGAGGGACATGAAGTCCTTGGACTGGTTGGCCAGTGGCTGAAGATGGTAAATAGACCTCAACTCTCCTAACTCCCTGTGAAAAGCTCTTTCACCTTAGGCCAAGACTCTTTCTTGGATGTATAATCCTCTTCTAAAGACTTGGGATTTTCAGTTATTTAAGACGAAGAAAAACAAACAAACAAACAAACAAGAAAAAGGCAAGGTTGTAAACCCAAATGTGGAAAACAAATGTTGGCTCTTCTTTTTCTATCATAAGATCCTGCTGTTTCTTTATTCATTATGCGCAATGCAAAGATGAGAAAATAACAACTAAAGAAAACCACATTTTATACATAGAGCACTACACCTTTAAACATCCTGTGACATTTTTCTTGAAATATATGTGAGGACTAACTCTAAAATAATGAGATTTTCTTTTTCAAATGCGACCTAATGTCTGAATTAGTAGAAACATCAAGCTCAGAATGCTTCAGAACTCTTTGGAATTCTCTTCAGAACCTATGGCTCAGTCTTTTGCATGTCTTTGGTGAAACGAGGCTCCACCTTGGTGAAATTGGACTCTTAGCGCCTTCTTCTGCAAAAGCCCCCCAAAATACTTCTTTATCTTTCCATTGTGGCAATTCAGAAAATGTTGATGTGGATCTGAGACTTTTTAGCTGCAGGAAGTCAGTAGATTTTGAAAAACCCATTACGCCTCAGGTGGAGAGAGACTCAGAGCTGTGTATTATCCTTGCTGCTCATTCTCAAAAGAGCAAAATTAGTTTCCCTTCAAGACCAGGTAAATTATTCCAGTGAGGTTTAATAAGCGATCCCCTTCTAATATGGTTTGGTTCTGTGTCCCCACCCAAATCTCATGTCAAAATGTAATCCCCACGTGTCAGGGACAGACCTGATGGAAGGTGATTTGACTGTGTGGGCAGTTTCCCCCATGCTGTTCTCGTGACAGTGAGTGAGTTCTCATGGAATCTAATGGTTTAAAAGTGTGGCACTTTCTCCCTTGCTCTCTCTCTCCTGCTGCCTTGTGAAGAAAGTGCTTGCTTCTCCTTCACCTCCCGCCATGACTGTAAGTTTCCTGAGACCTCCCCAGCCATGCAGAACTGTGAGTCAATTAAACCTTACCCAGTCTCGGTAGTTTTTTATAGCAGTGTGAAAATGAACTAATACAACTTCTTCCCTCCTCCCAATCTTCTAAAATGCTTGCTGAGCCCAAAAATTTCTTTTAAAAGTGATTGCATATAGAAGAGGAAGGGTGAGACTGAGGAGGGAGAGAGATTCCCAAAGTAGGGAAGAATTTCATTCTGCAATAAAAGATTTTAAAATTAAAGGTAAACACCTGGCTGAGTAACCTAGTTAAGGGACTTCCAGGAGACAGCAGAGCAACACATTTTTGTGTAAATAAACTATTTGCAGAGCCTCCCTTGGTTTGGAGAGTGTGGAAAGCTGAAGACAAAATGAGAAACACCCTCATGAAAAGGAATAATGTCTACAAATGGTGGGGGAAGAGCCCTTTAGGGCTCTTTTTTTCCCCAGCTTACTCAGGACAAAATGTAATAACGACAGCAGAGGAGGGTGTATCATATAACTAACGAGGCCTAAGTTTCAGGTTTCCTGAATTGCACCAGCTCCTTTCAAGGCTCTCTAGCTAATTTTATATTTCTATATGTTTTCTTTTTCTTAAGGAAGGCCTCCCAGATTAAATAAATTTCAGTGGGCAAAATATGGTTTGGCCCCTGAGTGTGCCAGGTAGAGATTCTGTAGCAGAGTTACACAGGTAGGCCACTCTGATGTGAGTCATGGATGAAATGCTTAAATGTGCTTCTTTTACTTTGATGTGCAAGAAGGACCATATGTATTTTTTATAAATCAACCTGATTTCCATTTGGAAGCCCCACTCTGCTAGGTGGTACACACACACACATGCACATGCACACACACACACTACTCCCAGGATGGCTGCTCTGCCCATGCTTGAGACTCAGCAATTGCTGCTGGCACTGAGAACTCCAGAGCATGTGTCCTCGTCTCTTCCAGCACAGCATGCAACCATCTCCTTTGAGCATTAGCTGCTTCCTTGAGCTCTTAGAATGAAAGGCACATTCTCTGCTTGACATTCATAAACCTCTTCTGCTATGGGAGAATAATCTCCTCTTCTCTAACAGTATCCTCCAAGTCACTCGCCTCTTCTGTCAACCTTATCCTCTTTCTTATTCTTTTACGATAATCTTTTGGTGTATTATCCCATAGTATGATGATTAACAAATCAAATATTGGTTTGTCTTTCCATGTGGCAGAAGGCCCTGATCAGCAAACTCTCCCCAAAAGAGAGGAGACTTTACATTAAGTTCTTTTAGTGCAGACAAAAAAGAGAGGGGAAAGCAAACAGTATGATAGTTCCATAAGATAGAATGATTATTTTTAAAAGGCCACACGTCATCGTTTGTAGCTAATCTTGCCTCATCAGTTCTCCAACCACTGGGAGAAAAGGCTGTTTTAAGGCAGAAGAGAAAGCCTCTGATGAATTTAGATGGTGTGGGGGGATATTGCAATGGAAGACTACAGTTCACACAAAAGGAAGTGCTCATTTCTAGGCTTGATCCTGGGGCCAGTGAAAAACTCTCTAAGGGAGTACTCCCCTTGCTATATATGGTTGGCCCAAATATAAACCAGGCTTGTTTTTCAGCTTCATACTTAGTGAGTCAATATTTGCAAAAATGCTGCAAATATCACCTTATGGAAATGTTATTACAGTGTTCTTGTGGTTTACTTTTATTGTTTGCTTGTTGTTTTTCTACTCCAAGTTTATTATAAGGCCTCTTTCAGGCAGTTTTTCAGCCTAATGTAGAATGGTATGGTTCAGTGCATAAACAGCCATACACACCCTCTCATGTCCAGAATTGATCAAGTAAACTCTGACTTCTCATTTCCTTAGACAGGATTGCCCCAGTCCCAAAGGGAAGGAAAGCTGGCACAGTAGGTATTTACCCAGTGTGGTATGCAGGGGTAGTGCAACCATACTGTGCAAAGGCCCCAGCACAAAAAAGAAAAGTGCACTCTTTCTACAAATTGGGGCCAGTTCTCTGTTGTTTCTGTTCTGTTTGTTTTTGGCGCAGTTTCCTGATTCAGATGAATCCATTTTGCATTAACAGAACAAACAAGTGCATAGAAGGGACTTGTGCTCAAAGATGTGATGTTTAGATTCAGTGATGAATTAAATCTTTTAGGGAAAATGAGCCTCTCTTAGGGTTCCTCCTGAGGGCTATATAAACTCTGTGATACTAATCTAGCAGGGTGTCTATACTCCTGAGGATTGATAGCTTCCTGTTCAGGTTTGTGTGCCACCAACTCGCCCAAACAACTCTCTTGCTAATAATGTTTTAGATTCCCCTAATAATACCCAGCTTAGGCCTGAGCATACCAGATAAATTGAAACAATAGTTATCAGTTGATTCTACCTCTCTATATTCAGCTTGTAACTAACACCCCAGAAGAGAAATTCCTCCTGCATTAACCTGCTGACACTGGCCACGATTTCAAGCATACTTTGAGTTTTCTATCACTCTCATTGTTTTGTATCTCAGAAACCCACTGGTGCCTGTCTCTACATTTAATCATCTGACATTTGTAAGCCTTCAGTAATAGCACCATCAAGTTTACCCAGGATGTTTACCATCAGTTACTCATCACAGTACACCTGCAGGGCAGGTAGCTGTTGGGACTGCATTTTATAGGACAGGAAACATACCCCAAATGATGACACACAGGGAATCTGAGGCAGCACCATGATCCAAATTCTAGATACTAAAGCTGTACCTGACCCAATACAGTAAATGCTAATGCGTTAGGTGGATTTTCATCACTGTATAGTTGACCTGTTACTCAAAGCACTGCCTTCTCTAGAAAACCTTTTTCCAACCACTCCAGTCCACAGTTACTCTCTCTTGAAGCAACCTTCCCCAGCTCCTTCCCAAACTCCAGACATATTTTCTTTGTATATTATATTCATATTTAATCACATCCTCTCTGTATGGTCAATCGTTTTCAGGTTATATTACTTTCTTTCTGGAATATGATCTCCTCAAGGATACTTGGATTTGTATTCCTCCATCATTCCTAGCACTGTGCTTATTCCCAGATGGGCCTGAAAATGCACTCTCCCGTGGCCACTGCTGGCCTGGCTGGCTGCTGAAAACGATAAACTGAACTAGGATGTGCTTCTCAGCTTGACCCAAAAGGAACACATAGACTACCCACTGCCAGGTACTGCCTCCCTGGTGGACTCCTCTGAACCAAGCAGGTAACAGGCATTGCCTCCCTGCAGTCCTTGCAGAAGTCTTGTACTGTAACATGCCCTCTTGGCCTCACAAGTTCATGTGTAAGCAGTTCATGAGCTAACCTTGAAGTGAGCACCCATGAATTGCCAGCTTGCCCTGGGGAGCTGGGCAGCAAAGACAGAGCTGAGTAAGGCTGGCCTCTGTGTTCAAACCAACAAGCTCAAGAGTGTCTAATTATTTCTAGAGACGCTGCTCTGCTGTGGCAGGTCTACACCTGTCTACTCAGCAAGCATCCCATTTAACTTGTACATGCAGGGAAAGCAAAAAGGCATGTTCACTTTTACAAAAGGTAAACATGTTCAAAGTAGAACATTTGGGAAATAAGTCTATAAAATTATAAAGCTATCCATTTTATATTTAGCCAAATATAAAATTGATATTTATCCAAATATAAAATTACAACGCTATCTCTGGTTGTTTATCTCACCACGCAGAGATAAACAACATTAACATCTTGGTATATTCTTTCTAGCCTAATTTTTCTTTATAAAATATTTTTCTCACATAGCTGAAATTGTACAGTTTTATAACCTGATTTTTTTCACTTGACATTAGGATTTCACTTAGCATTTTCTCATGCTTCTGCTACTATATTGTTCATATGTCATGTTAATATTACTGGAGTGTGCTACTGAGAAACCTGTCCCAAATCATTCCACTGTAATTTTTTCAGGAAAGAGTCAAACCCTCTTCCTGCTGGAGAAAATAAATGTCATTTCTCATGACAAACCTAAGGTTTTCAGCTATATAAAAATGGCCTGTGTGGCTGACTACTGATGCCCCACTCTTATTTCTCTGGATCTAATCACTTGGAGAAATGGTAGACTTTTTTCTTGCCAGCTGACAGTTTCTCATCTAAAGCACCAAGACTTTCTTCTTCTCTGCCTTGGGGTTTTCTCCAAGATTCAAAGCCCCAGAAGCAATCTTCAACCAATGAGTGGAGAGTTGGTAGATAAGTACCCCATTTTCTTGAACCTCTTTGGCAAGGTTTGGAAGCCATTCTACTCAGTTACTCTAAGGTTCCTGGAAAGACCAATCCCCAGGTGCCCATTTGGGTGGAATTCACATACCATTGACATTTTCTCCTTTCCTGTCTCGCTGTTCCCACTTAGTCAGTGATGCACCCTGAGGCCCACTCCTGAATAACTACCCAAACTTGGCCTTGTTTCAGGTCTGTTTTGAGGGAGGATCAGACCCAAACAAAAACAGTTACCTAAAAGCTTATCAAGAAAGAATGTAGAGGAGAAAAATATTGTTTCACATCTGGCCAATAAATTATTTACTACTACTAATCAGGTGCCCTATGTGGAAAATATAAGAGCTTACATCACTAACTTAGACTGTCTGAAACCTTCCTTTCTGAGCCATCCTTATTCCCTTCCAGGTCCTTTGAAAATTCTGTCCATAATTTTACGCAAAAATAGAATGGTAGTTCCCATTTCTTTGGTGGTCATTCTTTAGAACACACTTATTGTTTGTCTTCAGAGCTATTTAGAAACAGCCCTGTCACCTTCAGTGGCTGTTCTGTGAAGAATCTGGAGGCACACTAATTTGAAATGTCAGTGGATTTAAACAGATTGAAGTGTCTGTTAAATCCAACCAATAGGTTAATAGTCTTTGTTTATACAGCTGTGGTTTGATATAAACCTGCAGGAGCAGTTGAGTACCACATAAATAACTTACTGAGGAGTGCTTAAGGCCAATTCATGAAGCAATAGATATTTCAAATAAATCAGAGAGCCAAAGAGTCTTTGAAACCTCAAACTGTTTACAAAAGAACTGAGACTTTGTCTTCCCTCACAAAATAATGTGAACCCTTACCACACTTCTGGACATTCTCTACTAAGAAGGATTTCATATCCCAATGATTTAAGAGCCCAGGGCCCTTCCCTATTGCCTTTTTCTTAGGACCCTCATTTCCTATACTAGTATGCCTTTTTCTCCTTCAGTACTTGCTTTTATGCTACTTGTTATTTAGAAACAGATCAAAATCTTTAGAGGCTAAGTTACAGGACATCACCCATTCCTCACTGATACATAATTGAAAATCAACACAATTCTGAATCACAAAATAAGTATAAGAAAGACAACAAAGTTCTGATATTTCTTGTGATGAGTATTTTGATACTTTTTTGAAATATCAAATATATTTCAAAAATATTTCTTTTCTACTACCTTCTGCATGTGCTGAGTTTGCCTATTCAATAACTTTGCCAGTGACACATCTGAGATTATGAATAAGTTTCCAATGTAGAATTATGAACTGAAAAGCTAACTGAAGTCCCAAGTCATATAATTAACTATACCTCATATATATGCTAAGAGTCAAAGATTAGAAGCAAAGGCAGGTGGTGAATTGATTTAACAGGAAAGTGGGATGTCTTGTCAGGAATTGTAACTGTGATCAAATGAGGGTGTTACCAGTGAAAAACAAATTAATCTCCACATCACCAAACAGGTATCCCCAGCAGCTTCTCTAATAGCTCCTGAAAACAAATTGACATTAAGATAGCAAGCAGAAAGGTCTGGTAGCACAGCTAATTAATCAGCACTCACATTGGGTTTGTTTGAAAAAAATCTTAGCTTTGTTTGACATAGATGAACGGTAGCAGAACTTCCAAGTAATTTAAATGGATTAAGATAAAACACCCAACCTTAGGGCTCTTTTAATTGACAAGGAGAGAAATCAAACTCAAATTATATCAAAGAACAAAAGAGGGTAGAAGTTTATGGATCATGTATCTAGGAAGCCCAATGTCTTTGGGGAAGTCCAGGGACTTTAGGCAAGGCTGGATCCAGGGGCTCCAACAGTGCCATCAGAGCAACATTTCTCTCTCTCCCTTCCTCCATTATGGGTGCTAGAGTTTATGAGTCATTCCACAGACTGAAGCCTCTTCTTCACAGTTCCAGTGAGACCCAGGACTTTCCCAACTGGGCAAAGATTGCACTACTTGCTCATCCCTTCATCTCAGACTCTTAGCCTGACAGTCATGCTCAGTCCTCAATCTGGAGGTCAGGCTGCCCATATACATATAACCAGAAATGAGAGAGGTATGGTTTCCCAAGAGATGCTGAGCAAGCAAGGAAAGATGTTCACTCTGATGTCTTGCCCCTCATTTATATTATACATTGATTGAAGGAGCAACCATGTAATGCATTTTCATGCTCAAAGCAGCTATCATGGATCCTTCTCTCTAGTAGGTACCCATCTCCACTTATTGACCAGTTGATTGACTGGTGTAGAACACTCAGCAACTAGTGGGTTTTCCTTTGAGCAAAACCCACACAATGGCACTTTGCAGCAAGAACCCAGAATCTCACCAAGCGTAATTCTTACATACACAGGTTACTAACGAGTCTTTGTAGATGCCTGCCTATCTTGGAAAGGATTTTAACTTCAAACATAAAGCCGAAAGGCAGATCAGATGTGATAACTGACTCCATTTGCATACGGATGCCCAGCAATCCATTTTTGAGTGGTGAGCATTTTTGAGTGAGAGCATTTTTGAGTGGTGAACTGTGGCTGGTCCTATATATAGGTAGTAGCAGCTACTTACATAATATTTTGACAACTCTCCCAAGCACTTTCAAGTCTCTAATTTCCCTGCCACCCATCAATCAAAGCCTGTGTGGTAGGGTATTATAGAAAAAACATATTTTGGGAGACGAAGCAGGAAGATGGTTTGAGTCTAGGAGTTCAAAACCAGCATAGGCAACATAGGGAGATCGCACCTCTACCAAAATAAAAGATTAGCTGGGTGTGGTGGTGCATGCCTGTGGTCCCAGCTACTCAGGAGACTGAAGTAGGAGGATCACTTGGGCCTGGGAGGTTGAGGCTGCAGTAGGCTGTGATTGCACCACTGCTCTCCAGCCTGAGCAACAGAATGAGACTCTGTCTCAAAAAAAGAAAAAGAAAAAACACTGGGTTGGGATGGGTTCTAGTGACCACCCTGCTATAAATGGGTTAATAAGATGTGTGATTTTGAGTAAGTCACTTTGTCCCTCTGAGTATCAGTGACCTCATCTATAAAGCAAGGAATTCATTCTCTTCAAGTTCTGGCATTCTGTAAGCTCTCCAGCAGAGTAGTAGCTCTCAACCTTGGCTTCATGTTAGAGAAAGCTTGAGAGCTTTAAAAATAACGCTGATTTCTAGCCATAACCTGTACAAATTACATAAGAATTTCTGGTGGTGGGATCCAGGCATCCATACATGTTTTAAATTTTTCCAGGTGATTCCAACGTGCAGCCAAGGTGAGAATCACTATTGTGTTTCACTCCGTAATCTTCTAGAAGAGCAAACTGACAGAATCAGAAAAGATCCCCAGCTAAATACTCCCCAATATCCTGTCTGCAGCCAATGTGGGCCTGCAGCTAGCAGCATCTGCCATCAGCATTTCACTTGCTGCATTAGAAATTATTTTCTTTTATTGATGCTCCCAGTGCCATCTGGCACTCAGCATATTCCAGGGAGAGCTTCCAGAATTAGGCCATCATTGTGGTTCGTGCTGGATTCTTAGCAAAAATGGTTTACCTTAAACCATTTCAGCCAAAGTATATTTTTCACTATTAAGAGAATAGAAAACTTCAAGGTACACTATATTTTGCATAATGACCTAGGAAATGAGACGCACCCAATTGATAGCTTAACCTTTTCCCTCCTCTTATGTAATAACACATATTTTTGTTCAATTACATGAATCATCAAATTCACTTTAACATCAGAATACATTGAAAAACAGGGGGAAGTATAATCCTTAGCAATGAGCTGCTTTTTAAAAGAAAAAAATCATAATTAGTTGAGCTTTCCATAGCTTGATAATACTAACCAGCACTTAAGTCACTTTCAATGAGAGGTTGGTCTGTTTCATTGAACCTTTTTTCCTAGGGGAAAAAAAAATTTGCTATACAATTTCATGAGTCACATCCATACCTCCTGCCACATAATCACATGTTCCATGCAAGCCTGTCTCCCACGTACAAGGGCTTGCTTTTCACCTTTGTTTGTTTCTTCTTGTCTCTGCTGTGTGAGCTCTGATGCCCTTTGAAAGTAGCAAGACAGAAATAACCTGGGTTGAAGTTTCAGAAAGTTACCTTGTCTTTATGAAGCTTTATTCACTTACAGGCTTCTAAAAATATATCCGACAGGATTCAAAAGCATAACATAAATGAAGTCAATGAAAAGATGAGCCCTCTTCACTCTTCACTTTTTTCCTAAGCCTTAAAACAAGCAAGCATTGTGGTGATTAAATAAAAATAAATGCCTCTTGATAACTTACTGAGGAGTGCTTGAGGCCAATTCATGAAGCAATAGATGTTTCAAATAAATTAGAGAGCCAAAGAGTCTTTGAAACCTCAAACTGTTTACAAAAGAACTGAGACTTTGTCTTCCCTCACAAAATAATGTGAACCTTATTGATAAACCTCTTGATAAACCATGTTAGCCTCATTTTTCTTCAGAGAGGCTCAAACTCATGACATTTCCCTCTTTGTGTAGGGAGGTCCCTGAATGTAAAAGGGGTCTTGTGCCTGATTTATATGGCTTCAAATCCAGTAAACCATACACATTATTGTAGATTGCAATTCTATGGGTATGCTCAAAATTTATGGTTCTGCAAAAACCCTCCCCATAGTGATTTCCCACAGTCATTTGGACTTTGGCTTCTCTTAATTAATCACACGAATAACACCAGACTCCCATTCTCCCATGGCAACACTTACATGCGGTTAAGTAGAAGTCACCCCTTTTGAAGGAGTTAGTTCACCTTTCTCTCTGCCACTACTTCACTCTCTTATGTCACCATTTCTTCTTTGGGGTATTATATTTAGGAAAGCCTCCTCTGCTCTCAGGTTTCCTGAAACCTTCTGGGAGTTTTAAGGGTCTTGTATTAGTTAGGGTTTTCTAGAGCAACAGAACCAATAGGATAGATTAAAATATAGATGTATATATATATATTCTATATGTACACACGTATATGTACACATACATATATGCATATATACACACACATGGGGAATGGCGAGGAGAGAGAATGATGTCAAGAAATAAGCTTTTGCAACTGTAGAGACCGGCAAGTTCAAAATATGTAGGGCAGGCTGGCATTTCAGGTAAGAGTTGAGCTTGCAGTCCTGAGTCTGCAGGTTAGGAACTAAGGCAGAGTTTCTATGTTAGTCTTTAGACAGGATTCCTTGGACATGAACAGACACTTCTCAAAAGAAGACATTTATGCAGCCAAAAAACATGTGAAAAAATGCTCACCATCACTGGCCATCAGAGAAATGCAAATCAAAACCACAATGAGATACTATCTCACGCCAGTTAGAATGGCAATCATTAAAAAGTCAGGAAAAAACAGGTGCTGGAGAGGATGTGGAGAAACAGGAACACTTTTACACTGTTGGTGGGACTGTAAACTAGTTCAACCATTGTGGAAGTCAGTGTGGCGATTCCTCAGGGATCTAGAACTAGAAATACCATTTGACCCAGCCACCCCATTACTGGGTATATACCCAAAGGAATATAAATCATGCTGCTATAAAGACACATGCACACGTATGCTTATTGTGGCATTATTCACAATAGCAAAGACTTGGAACCAACCCAAATGTCCAACAATGATAGACTGGATTAAGAAAATGTGGCACATATACACCATGGAATACTATGCAGCCATAAAAAATGATGAGTTCATGTCCTTTGTAGGGACATGGATGAAATTGGAAATCATCATTCTCAGTAAACTATCACAAGGACAAAAAACCAAACACCACATGTTCTCACTCACAGGTGGGAATTGAACAATGAGAACACATGGACACAGGAAGGGGAACATCACACTCTGGGACTGTTGTGGGGTGGGGGGAGGGGGGAGGGATAGCATTAGGAGATATACCTAATGCTAAATGACGACTTAATGGGTGCAGTACACCAGCATGGCACATGTATACATGTGTAACTAACCTGCAAATTGTGCACATGTACCCTAAAACTTAAAGTATAATAATAATAAAGTAAAATTAAATAAATAAATAAATAAATACGAAGACAGCTAAAACCAGCCAATATAGGGGGAAAAAAAAAAAGAAACTTCAGTATCTGCTTTTGAGGCCTTCAACTGATTGGATAAGGCCCATGCACATTATTATTCTGTAGTGGGTGCTAATAACTTTATGTTGCCTTGGCATCTATTTTTAAATATAAGTTTAACTTTCTCATACCAGAAGCAGGCCTCAGTCACCGCTGATGTAGTTTCCAATACTATATCCCACCCAAACATTTCTAGCCAGCGGTCAGAGATAGAATTCAGGGGTATCTCTCCTGCCTAGCAGGCTGGGTTTCCTGCTTTCCCACTGCTTCCTGTAAACAGACCAATTAAATATTTGTCCATGAACTTAAAGTGACCACCGCCCAGTCACACTGTAGAACTAGTGCCTGTTTTCTGTAAACCCACCAGTTAAAGCTCCCCACAGGAAACCTTTTTGAATAATGCCCTGGACCCAATAAAGGCATTGGCCCACTGGTTCCTTCACTCTCTCTGTCTCTTTGTCTTTTCTCCCTGACCTCCATGTGTGTGTGGCCTCCACATATGCTGTATATTCTCCAGGGTCTGTAAGTACTAAAAACTTTACAACTGGCCAGGCATGGTGGCTCACTCCTGTAATCCCAGCACTTTGAGGCCGAGGCAGGTGGATCACTTGAGGTCAGGAGACTAGCCTGGCCATCATGGTGAAACCCCATCTCTACTAAAAATACAAAAATTAGCCTGGAGGGAACCTGGGAGGCAGAGGTTGCAGTGAGCCAAGATTCCACCACTGCACTCCAGCCTGGACTATGAAGCGAGACTCTGTCTCAAAAATCAATCAATCAATCAAATAAAACTTACACATGATTGTTTTGTCATTGAAGCTGTGCCTACAATCAAACCCCTGATGGCAAGGCTGCCTGAAAGGGACCCATGCAAGTAGATTCCCTCCTGGTGCTCTTTTGTCTGGACCTCTCAGTTGCTGGGGACAGTAAATAGCAACTAACTTGGTAGAGTTTCATTCCAAACAGATTAGTCTGCCTTAATAAAAGTCTCCCGAGTATAAATGTTAACCACATTTTTAAAGTACTTTTACAGCAACATCTAATAACTTAACTTTGGTCACACAAAAATACTTGAAACTTTTTCTTCCCTCCTCCCCCGTTTGTATATTTTTTGCCTTACTTTAAGATCTTTACCTATTATTTGTTCCTTAGCCACTAATTATAACTGTTTTTTACATTTTTTATTTTAAATCTTCATAATAAAGGATTGAAAATTGTACATAGCACCATTACAGCAATGGGGTATTCTGAGTTTTATTATAAATTTACCTCTACTGGTGAGTTTTATACTTTCATGTGTTTTCATGATAGCAGTTATTATCCTTTTGTTTCCAGTTGAAACACCTTCTTAAGCATGTCTTGTAAATCCAGTCTAGTGGTGATAAATTCCCTTGGTTTTTGTTTGTCTGGGAAGGCTTGTATTTCTCCTTAATTTCTGAAAAACAAATTTGCTAGAAATAAAAATCTCGTCTGGTAGGTTTTTTTCTTTCAGGACTTGGAATACATCATCCCATTCTCTCCTAGCCCACAATGTTTCTGCTGAGAAATCTTCTGATAGTCTAACATGAATCCTCTTATATGTGACTTGACACTTTTACAGCTTTCTCTCTTTGTTTTTTGGCTGTTTGATTATAATCTGCCTCAGAGAGGGTCTTTTTGAGTTGAATCTAATTGAGGACTTTAAGCGTCCTGAATCTGGATGTCCATATCTCTCCTCAGATTTGGGATTTTTTTCAACTCTTATTTTGTTAGATTTTCTGTGCCCTTCTCCACCCTTCTCCCTCTGACTCTACTATAATGCAAAAATTTGTTTAATGGTGCCTCGTAAGTCCAATAACCTTTCTTCATTCTTTTTTATTCTTATTTTCTTCTTTTTGACTGGGTTATTTCAAAAGGTCTGTCTTCAAGTTCAAAAATTATTTCTTCTGCTTGACCTAGTCTGTTGTTGAAACTCTCAGTTGTATAATTTATTTATTGAATTCTTCAGATTCAAGATTTCTGTTTGGTTCTTTTTGTAATTTCTTTTTGTGGAATTTCTTACTCAGATCATGAATTGCTTTCCCGATTTCACTGAATTGCTTGTCTGTATTCCCTTGTATCTTGCTGAGTTTCCTTAAGATCATTATTTTGAATTCATTTCAGGCATTTTATAAACATCCTTTTATTTGGGGTCTACTGTTGGAGATTGCTCCTTTGGAGGTGTCATGTTTTCTTGCTTTTTAATATTTCTTGTTTTCCTATATTGATATTTGCATATCTAGCAGAATTGTCACTTTTTCTAATTTTATGGAGTAGTTTTCACAGGGAGAGACTTTTTCTTATGGATGGGTCCTACAGTACTGGTTGGTAATGATACATTGGCTTTGGTTCTGGGTGGACTTGGTGGTGTAGTCTCTGTGCAGTTTCTTCAGCTATAATGTTTGTAAGTGATAGCTGTGATTGCCTCAATGGCTTAGGCTATGGGAGTTTATGATGACAGCAGCATGGTTTTGCTGGGGGCAGGGGTGTTGGGCTGGTTGTTGGGGTACACCAGCCAACAGTATAGCTGTCTTTTCAGGGAGCAGGGTTGCTGACACTCTGGGTGAGGCAGGCCAGCTGGCTGTGCAGCAACTTCCCCACACTGCAGGTCTGCCTGTTCCCCAGGGGTGCCTTTCAGGTTTGGATGCCAGGGTCCCATTCATTCTGTCTAGCCTCTGGGCAGCTGAGGTCATGATGATTCATACACCTTTGTGAACTTGATGGAATGATGGTGGAGCAGAGAGAATCAGTGGCTACTGGCTGCCAGGGCAAAATGCAGTCTAACAGTGGTCTCTAGCAGTGGGTCTGCTTTCAAGATGGTGCCATGACACAGCAGCTTAGGTTACAGAGGTTACAGGATGCACAATGTGGGCTCCTATTCTGAGGCAATGCATTTACATGAACTCCTGGCAACTGTCCAAATGGGATTTGGGCCTGTAAGGATTAGGGGACTCTTCTATAGCAAGGACCACTGGCGTCTGTGGTAGCAATGGGGACCACAGAGGATCTCCAGCTCACTTTTTCCCCATAAGAATCTGCTCCCCACCACCCCCTAACACCAGGCTGCATCTGGTAGGGAAGACAGTGTAGCAGGGGCAGGGAGCCGTGCTCCCCTCTTTATGGTGCAATCTGGGAATTCTGTGCTTCACAGGTATATTGTTGCTCTGCTGGTACTCTACAGCATCATTCCTCAGTCCCTCCAGTCAAAATACAGTCTTTTACTTGTTTTCATCCCCTTTTGTTGGGGGACAAGTGCCAGGCAACTCTAGTTTGCCCTGTTGTTCACATTAGTCTCCCACTTACTCTTAAATGTTTTTGTCTCCTGACTTCTGTGCTACACTCCCATCTAACTGAAGCTGCTCACTGGAGATTTCTTGACGACTGATTAGTTATCAGATTCTCTTGGGGCCACACTGTCCTTGGCTTTCAGCTGCATTTGGGGTTGTTACTGCGTCTTTCTTCTTGGCTCTTTTGCTGATACTATATTTTCAGGATACTCTTCTTTATCTGACATCTTAAATGCAGGCATTTCCCTAAAGTTTTATCCTCAGTTGAATTCTCATCTCCCCCACAATCTTCTTACAAATTTTATCTACCCTTGGAGGTTCCAAGATGGCCAAATAGGAACAGCTCCAGTCTACAGCTTCCAGTGTGAGCAATGCAGAAGACGGGTGATTTCTGCATTTCCAAGTGAGGTACCGGGTTCATCTCACTGGGGCTTGTCAGACAGTTGGTGCAGCCCAAGGAGCGTAAGCCAAAGTAGGGTGGGGCATTGCCTCACCCAGGAAGTGCAAGGGGTCGGGGAATTCCCTTTCCTAGCCAAGGGAAGCCGTGACAGATGGTACCTGGAAAATTGGGACACTCCTACCCTAATACTACGCTTTTCCAACGGTCTTAGCAAACAGCACACCAGGAGATTATATCCCACGCATGGCTCAGAGTGTCCCACGCCCATGGAGCCTCACTCACTGCTAGCACAGCAGTCTGAGATGGAACTGCAAGGTGGCAGTGAGACTTGGGGAGGGGCATCCACCATTGCTGAGGCTTGAGAAGGTAAACAAAGTGGCCAGGAAGCTCAAACTGGTTAAAGCCCACCACAGCTCAAGGAGGCCTGCCTGCCTCTGTAGACTCCACCTCTGGGGGCTGAGCATAGCTGAACAAAAGGCAGCAGAAACTTCTGCAGACTTAAACGTCCCTGTCTGACAGCTTTGAAGAGAGTAGTGGTCCTCCCAGCACAGAGTTTGAGATCTGAGAATGGACAGACTGCCTCCTCAAGTGGGTCCCTGACCCCCGAGTAGCCTAACTGGGAGGCACCTCCCAGTAGGGGCCAACTGATACCTCATACTGCTGGGTGACCCTCTGAGATGAAGTTTCCAAGGGAAGGATCAGGCAGCAACATTTGGCATTCTACAATATTTGCTGTTCTGCAGCCTCCACTGGTGATACCCAGGCAAACAGCGTCTGGAGTGGACCTCCAGCAAACTCCAACAGACCTTCAGCTAAGGGTCCTGACTGTTAGAAGGAAAACTAACAAACAGAAAGGACATCCACACCAAAACCCCCTCTGTACTTCACCATCATCAAAGACCAAAGGTAGATAAAACCACAAAGATGGGGAGAAACCAGAGCAGAAAAGCTGACAATTCTAAAAATCAGAGCTCCTCTTCTCCTTCAAAGGAACACAGCCCCTTACCAGCAACAGAACAAAGATGACGGAGAATAACTTTGATGAGTTCAGAGAAGAAGGCTTCAGACGATCGGTAATAACAAACTTCTCAGAGCTAAAGGAGGATGTTTGAACCCATCGCAAAGAAGCTAAAACCCTCTAAAAAAGATTAGATGAATGGCTAACTAGAATAAACAGTGTAGAGAAGACCTTAAATGACCCAATGGAGCTGAAAACCACGGCATGAGAACTTTGTGATGCATGCACAAGCTTCGGTAGCCAATTCGATCAAGTGGAAAAAAGGGTATCAGTGATTGAAGATCAAATGAATGAAGTGAAGCGAGAAGAGAAGTTTAGAGAAAAAAGAGTAAAAAGAAATGAATAAAGCCTCCAAGAAATATGGGACTATGTAAAAAGACAAAATCTACGTCTGATTGGTGTGCCTGAAAGTGATGGGAAGAATGGAACCAGGTTGGAAAACACTCTTCAGGATATTATCCTGGAGAACTTCCCCAACCTAGCAAGGCAGGCCAACATTCAAATTCAGGAAATACAGAGAACGCCACAAAGACACTCCTCGAGAAGAGCAACTCCAAGACACATAATTGTCAGATTCACCAAAGTTGAACTGAAGGGAAAAAATGTTAAGGGCAGCCAGAGAGAAAGGTCGGGTTACCCACAAAGGGAAGCCCATCAGACTAACAGCAGATCTCTCAGCAGAAACTCTACAAGCCAGAAAAGAGTGGAGGCCAATATTCAACATTCCTGAAGAAAAGAATTTTCAACCCAGAATTTCATATCCAGCCAAACTAAGCTTCAAAAGTGAAGGAGAAATAAAATCCTTTACAGACAAGCAAATGCTGAGAGATTTTGTCACCACGAGGCCTGTCTTACAAGAGCTCCTGAAGGAAGCACTAAACATGGAAAGGAACAACAGGTACCAGCCACTGCAAAAACATGCCAAATTGTAAAGACCATCGATGCAGTAGAAACTGCATCAACTAATGAGCAAAATAACCAGCTAACATCATAGTGACAGGATCAAATTCACACATAACAATATTAACCTTAAAGGTAAATAGGCTAAATGTTCCAATTAAAAGACACCGACTGGCAAATTGGATAAAGAGTCAAGACCCAACAGTGTGCTATATTCAGGAGACCCATCTCACATGAAGAGAAACACATAGGCTCAAAATAAAGGGATGGAGGAAGATCTACCAAGCAAATGGAAAACAAAAAAAAAGCAGCAGTTGCAATCCTAGTCTAGAGGGGCACCCAGCTGTATGAGGTGTCAGTCTCTGTCCTAGTCTCTGATAAAAGAGACTTTAAACCAACAAAGATCAAAAGAGACAAAGAAGGCCATTACATAATGGTAAAGGGATCAATTCAACAAGAAGAGCTAACTCTCCTAAATATCTATGTACCCAATACAGGAGCACCCAGATTCATAAAGCAAGTCCTTAGAGACCTACAAAGAGACTTAGACTCCCACACAATAATAATGGGAGACTTTAACACCCCACTGTCAACATTAGACAGATCAACAAGACAGAAAGTTAACAAGGATATCCAGGAATTGAACTCAGCTCTGCACCAAGTGGACCTAACAGATATCTACAGAACTCTCCACCCCAAATCAACAGAATTTAAATTCTTCTCAGCACTACATTGCACTTATTCAAAAATTGAACACATAGTTGGAAGTAAAGCACTCCTCAGCAAATTTAAAGAAGAGAAATGATAACAAACTGTCTCTCAGATGACAGTGCAATCAAACTGGAACTCAGGATTAAGAAACTTACTCAAAACCACTCAACTACATGGAAACTGAACAACCTGCTCCCGAATGACTATGAAGTCAGAATGATGTCATGACTTCAGACAAAATGAAGGCAGAAATAAAGATGTTCTTTGAAACCAGTGAGAACACACAACATACCAGAATCTCTGGGACACATTTAAAGCAGGGAGTAGAGGGAAATTTATAGCACTAAATGCCCACAAGAGAAAGCAGGAAAGATCTAAAATTGACACCCTAACATCATAATTAAAAGAACTAGAGAAGCAAGAGCAAACACATTCAAAAGCTAGCAGAAGGCAAGAAATAACTAAGATCAGAGCAGAACTGAAGGAGATAGAGACACAAAAAAAACCCTTCAAAAACTCAATGAATCCAGGAGCTGGTTTTTTGAAAAGATCAACAAAATTGATAGACTGCTAGCAAGACTAATACAGAAGAAAAGAGAGAAGAATCAAATAGATGCAATAAAAAATGATAAAGGGGATATCACAACCGATCCCACAGAAATACAAACTACCATCAGAGAATAGTATAAACACCTCTACACAAATAAACTAGAAAATATAGAAGAAATGGATAAATTCCTGGACACATACACCCTCCCAAGACTAAATCAGGAAGAAGTTGAATCCCTGAATAGACCAATAACAGATTCTGAAATTGAGGCAAAAATTAATAGCCTACCAATCAAAAAAAGTCCAGGACCAAATGGATTCACAGCCAAATTCTACCAGAGGTAGAAGGAAATAAAGGGTATTCAATTAGGAAAAGAGGAAGTCAAATTGTCCCTGTTTGCAGACAACATGATTGTATATTTAGAAAACCTCATTGTCTCAGCCCAAAAGAGGAGCTGGTACCATTGCTTCTGACACTATTCTAATCAATAGAAAAAGAGGGAATCCTCCCTAACTCATTTTATGAGGCCAGCATCATCCTGATACCAAAGCCTGGCAGAGACACAACCAAAAAAAAGAGAATTTTAGACCAATATCCCCGATGAACATCGATGCAAAAATCCTCAATAAAATACTGGCAAACTGAATCCAACAGCACATCAGGAAGCTTATCCACCATGATCAAGTTGGCTTCATTCCTGGGATGCAAGGCTGGTAAAACATACACAAATAAATAAATGTAATCCATCATATAAACAGAACCAAAGACAAAAACCACATGATTATCTCAATAGATGCAGAAAAGGCCTTTGACAAAATTCAACAGCCCTTCATGCTAAAAACTCTCAATAAGCTAGGTATTGATGGGACATATCTCAAAATAATAAGAGCTATTTATGATAAGCCCACAGCCAATATCATACTGAGTGGGCAAAAACTGGAAGCATTTCCTTTGAAAACTGGCACAAGACAGGGATGCCCTCTCTCGCCGCTCCTATTCAACATAGTGTTGGAAGTTCTGGCCAGGGCAATCAGGCAGGGGAAAGAAATAAATGGTATTCATTTAGGAAAAGAGGAAGTCAAATTGTCCCTGTTTGCAGATGACATGATTGTATGTTTAGAAAACCTCATCATCTCAGCCCAAAATCTCCTTAAGTTGATAAGC
Source organism: Homo sapiens (assembly GCF_000001405.40). Taxonomy (NCBI): domain Eukaryota; kingdom Metazoa; phylum Chordata; class Mammalia; order Primates; family Hominidae; genus Homo; species Homo sapiens. The sequence goes on from NC_000005.10 coordinate 115,446,339, forward strand.
AACTTCAGCAAAGTCTTAGGATACAAAATCAATGTGCAAAAATCACAAGCATTCTTATACACCAATAACAGACAAACAGAGAGCCAAATCATGAGTGAACTCCCATTCACAATTGCTTCAAAGAGAATAAAATACCTAGGAATCCATCTTACAAGGGATGTGAAGGACCTCTTCAAGGAGAACTACAAAGCACTGCTCAACGAAATAAAAGAGGACACAAACAAATGGAAGAACATTCCATGCTCATGGATAGGAAGAATCAATATCGTGAAAATGGCCATACTGCCCAAGGTAATTTATAGATTCAATGCCATCCCCATCAAGCTACCAATGACTTTCTTCAAAGAATTGGAAAAAACTACTTTAAAGTTCATATGGAACCAAAAAAGAGCCCGCATCACCAAGTCAATCCTAAGCCAAAAGAACAAAGCTGGAGGCATCACGCTACCTGACTTCAAACTACACTGCAAGGCTACAGTAACCAAAACAGCATGGTACTGGTATCAAAACAGAGATATAGACCAATAGAACAGAACAGAGGCATCAGAAATAACACCACACATCTACAACCATCTGATCTCTGACAAACCTGACAAAAACAAGGAATGGGGAAAGGATTCCTTATTTAATAAATGGTGTTGGGAAAACTGGCTAGCCATATGCAGAAAGTGGAAACTGGATCCCTTCCTTACACCTTATACAAAAATTAATTCAAGAGGGATTAAAGACTTAAATTTAAGACCTAAAACCATAAAAACCCTAGAAGAAAACCTAGGCAATACCATTCAGGACATAGGCATGAGCAAAGACTTAATAACTAAAACACCAAAAGCAATGGCAACAAAAGCCAAAATTGACTAATGGGATCTAAATAAACTAAAGAGCTTCTGCACAGCAAAAGAAACTACCATTAGAGTGAACAGGCAACCTACAGAATGGGAGAAAATTTTTACACTCTACCCATCTGACAAAGGACTAATAACCAGAATCTACAAAGAACTTACACAAATTTACAAGAAAAAAATCAAACAACCCCATCAAAAAGTGGGCGAAGGATATGAATAGACACTTCTCAAAACAAGACATTTATACAACCAACAGACACATGAAAAAATGCTCATCATCACTGACCATCAGAGAAATGCAAATCAAAACCACAATGAGATACCATCTCACACCAGTTAGAACAGTGATCATTAAAAAGTCAGGAAACAACAGGTGCTGGAGAGGATGTGGAGAAATAGGAACACTTTTACTCTGTTGGTGGGACTGTAAACTAGTTCAACCATTGCAGAAGACAGTGTGGCGATTCCTCAAGAATCTAGAACTGGAAATACCATTTGACCCAGCCATCCCATTACTGGGTATATGCCCAACGGATTATAAATTATTCTGCTATAAAGACACATGCACACATATATTTATTGCAGCACTATTCACAATAGCAAAGACTTGGAACCAATGCAAATGTCTATCAATGATGGACTGGATTAAGAAAACGTGGCACATATATACCATGGAATACTATGCAGCCATAAAAAGGATGAGTTCATGTCCTTTGTAGAGACATGGATGAAACTGGAAACCATCATTCTGAGCAAACTATCGCAAGGGCAGAAAACCAAACACCGCATGTTCTCACTCATAGGTGGGAACTGAACAGTGAGAACACTTGGATACAGGGTGAGGAACATCACATACTGGGACCTGTTGTGGGGTGGGGGGAGTGGGGAGGGATAGCATTAGGGGATATACTTAATGTAAATGATGAGTCAATGGGTGCAGCACGCCAACATGCACATGGACACATATGTAACAAACCTGCACGTTGTGCACATGTACCCTAGAACTTAAAGTATAATTGAAGAAAAAAGAAAAAAAATTTTTGTCTACCCTCTGACTTCATCATCTTGATAAAAAAGACTCCAAAATGTGCATCTCTAATTTCAAACTTTCTCAGTAGCTCTAGACTAATAGGTATTTTTAAAATATTCAGGACCTTTTCACCTGACTGCCAGCCTAAATCTCAGTATGCCAAAAATTCATTGTGTAGGGAAAAGAAAGAGAGATCAGACTGTTATTGTGTCTATGTAGAAATGGAAGACATAAGAAACTCCATTTTGACCTGTACCCTGAACAATTGCTGTGCCCTGAGATGCTGTTAATCTGTAACTTTGCTCCAACCTTGAGCTCACAGAAACATGTGTTATATGGAATCAAGGTTTAAGGGATCTAGGGCTGTGCAAGATGTGCCTTGTTAACAAAATGTTTACAGGCAGTATGCTTGGTAAAAGTCATCACCATTCTCCAGTCTCGATAAACCAGGGCACAATGCACTGCGGAAAGCTGCAGGGACCTCTGCCCTGGAAAGCCAGGTATTGTCCAAGGTTTCTCCCCATGTGATAGTCTGAAATATGGCCTCATGGGATGGGAAAGACCTGACCATCCCCCAGCTCAACACCCGTGAAGGGTCTGTGCTGAGGAGGATTAGTAAAAGAGGAAGTCCTCTTGCAGTTGAGATAGAGGAAGGCCACTGTCTCCTGCTTGCCCCTGGGAACTGAATGTCTCGGTATAAAACCCGATTGTACATTTGTTAAATTCTGAGATAGGAGAAAAGCCTCCCTGTGGCGGGAGGCGAGACTTGTTGGCAGCAATGCTGCTCTGTTACTCTTTACTCCACTGAGATGTTTGAGTGGAGAAAAGCATAAATCTGGCCTACGTGCGCATCCAGGCACAGTACCTTCCCTTGAACTTATTTGTGACACAGATTCCTTTGCTCATGTGTTTTCTTGCTGACCTTCTCCCCACTATCACCCTGCTCTTCTGCCGCATTCCTCTTGCTGAGATAGTGAAAATAGTAATTAATAAATACTGAGGGAACTCAGAGACCGGTGCCGGTGCAGGTCCTGCATATGCTGGGCTGGTCCCCTGGGCCCACTTTTCTTTCTCTATACTTTGTGTCTTACTTCTTTTCTCAGTCTCTCGTCCCGCCTGATGAGAAATACCCACAGGTATGGAAGGGCTGGCCCCCTTCACATTGTCCACCTCCTTGCTAAATTGTGTGTGTATATGTATATATATATATGTATTTTCCAAGAACTCAGGCTTAAACTCTAGGGAATTTTCTGATCACTTACTGCCTTAGCCCCAACATTGACCCTGTTTCCAAGCACTATTGATTCTACCAGTCCAGTGTTTCAGTCTCTCACGTGGTCCTCTTCTTTCATGTTCTCACTGTCACCAATCTGGTAAAGGCTCTTCATTCTCTTCTTTCTTGTAATAGCGACCTCATTGTTCTTGCTCCACCTGGCAAATGAGCCTCTTGGATGCTTCCAATCACATTGGTTTCTCATTCTCCACACCTTTACTCAGGTGCTTTCCTCAGCATCCCCTTTTCAGTAAGTTACCCTGGAATCCATAGACTTTTCTCTGCCATTTTGGCATTTTACCACGTTACTTTGTTGCAATTTGTGCACCTCTAACTTTTCATTATTACCTTAGTTTGTCTTGGAAGCCCCTGAAGTGATGAAGAGTTTACAATCTGAGAGGACAAATAAGCTACATCCACAACTATAAAGCCCTTGTAGAAAGTAATAATATGTGTTCATCTTGCTTCCTCTTCTAAATATAAACTTAGGGTAATAATTTTGCCTTATATTCTTCTATTCCCACCCTCATTCAAAGTTCAGGATAGTGTGGGACAGAGATTTCAATAAACCTCTGCTACTTAAGGGACTCGTAGACTTGAAAAATATCTGAAGAGAACAAATCTGTCTTGAGCCAGAAGATGTCCCAACTAGAGGTAGCAAACTGGTGGCCATGGGGCCATATACTGATTGCAAATATATTTTAATGATCCTCCTAAGGTTTTAAATATTTAAATTAATTTCTCAATCTTTATTAGGTTGAAAGATTACATACAAAAATCTGGATTTCCAGCTTCTCTTGAAAAACAATTACAGTTAGCAACACTAGACCCACTGAATGACCCTGGACAACAATTGGCTGGGGCTGACATACGTGCCTTTTTGGGACACAGCCAAGACTCTCCAGGTAGCCACAAGTTTTTCCCACCCTATTTAAGTTACCAGCCTGGTCCCTGTAGGCAGAGTTTGGAATCCCTGATTGTACCCCACCCACCAGTCAGGTTCTTCCTCCAGCACCATGCTAAAAAATATTTCAGATTTCTCAATGACCTCTATTTCCCAGGCTGATAAATGAAGGCCCATTTCGCAGGGGTCCTGTGGAGCCATTTCCTAGACCAATTACTGCCTGTGACCTCATTCCAGTTCCTCCTGCCTTTCTTCCCCTCTGTTTAAAATGAAAGTAAGCCAAGACCCTAAACAAAAACAGGCTTTCATCCTCAACCTCCTTAAAGAACAAATTAGAGCCTAAGCTTTAAGAGCAACTATTGTCAGCCCATCTCAAGCCAGAGTGTCTCCCCAGAACAAACATCAGCAACTTTTACATGGCCCAGAGGTCCAGGGCCATGGGGAAATAGAGGGAATTTCCCAAGTTAAGCAAGAATTCAGTGCTACCAGTTCTGAAAGGGTTTTTAAATACAATGTGAAAGTTCCAGAAGGCCTCTGAATTTTGTTTGTAAAGCAGATATGCAGCAACTTCTGGGAAGCTTCCAGATGATTAATGGAATCCACACTTTCTATGTGGCTATCCCATTTACTATAGACTCAGCCTCCAGAACTGAGCAAAATCGTACCATCTGTGAATCAACTGAACTCCCCTTGATACCCATTATCATAGCAGAAATACTAATGATGAATATGAAATGTAATTGCTGGGTGGGGCCGAGCTAGGATGAGACGTGAAATGAGGCAATGCTTCAAGTGAAAATGTGTGTTCAATTAATGTGGCATTAAATTCCTCAGGTTTTATTGTAATCTTATTCATTCCCCACAGTCGATCTTTTCTGAGAAAATTAAAAAAAAAATACATTACAATTGCACATTGGTTCTGATGTGACTATGCTATCGTTCTCAAACTTTTGAGAAACACTATTAGATGTGTCAGGAGTGTGTTTCCTAGATTGTTTGTAATACAACTAAGGGGCAGGAGGCTATCACCTTGAGAGGTGCCACAACTCTAAACAAGCAGGGGCCTTCCTTGTTTAAACTGTCTTCTTTGACTGATTTGTGACTAGAAATTTACCAAATGCAGCTTCATAGGGGTGTGTGTGTGTGTGTGTGTGTGTGTGTGTGTGTGATGACGAGGAGCTCTAGCTGTGCAGCTGAGCAGGTGTTGGAGAAGCTGAAGGTTAATGATTTAATTCATCAAGTGTCCCAGCCTCCCATGTGCACAACAGCAGCCCACACCCAGCCACTCCCATTGTTCTGGTGGGTGGGACGGAGGGCTCTGGGCACAGACTCAGGTGGGCCAGTCCGAGGGCTGTGGCAGGCAAGGTGAGCAGTTCTGGCAACGGGGTGTGGGTGGGCTCCCACAGACCTAGACAAAGGCTCTGCTCCTACATGCAGTATCTGGTGAAAATAATAACAACATTAAAGAATAACATGAGCATATAGAGTTCCAGGCCTCAGCAGGACTGACAGTGCTTCTCAGCAGGGGCCCCTTGCTTCAGAGCCAGATTAGCTAAGTGCTAACCTGAGTAGGGGTCGCTCAGCACTCAGACCCTCTCCCCGCAAGGGCACTGAATCCTGCACATCTACTGGAAGCCCCAAAAGTCGTGACCCCTGCTATTTCCCTTTCCCCACCTCTCTGTGTCTGTACAGACCTATTAGCCCAGAGGTCACAAATTGCAGCCAAGGGCTGGGGTCTGCCTGCAGGGGGGTTTTGTTCATCTAGCAAAGTTTGATCTTTTTTTCTTTACCCTGAAAACCTTCACTATGGCCCTCATCAGCTCACTGGCTTGCATTGACCACTTCACATGCTCTTATCTGCCCTGCAGGTGAATGTGATCCCTAGACCTTTAACACCTGGCTCTGAGTCCTGCCCGCACCTTCCAGGCACCACTCACTCCAATGGCTCCACTCCTGGGCTCCTTGATACAGGTACTCACAGTCCTACCACACGACTTGATTCTTGTTGATGGTTTAGTGTATGCTTATCTCAGTATTATTTTTGTCAGTATACATGTGCTCTGTCTCTTTTCTGTTGTAAACAGTGAGCTCCTTAAAGACATGGATTACAGGTATTTCTCCACAGGTTCTCTTAGTAGTGGGTAGGAAAGGAAAACAGTTGTGAAGATCCAGCTCATTTCTTCTCATAACATCCTTCAAGACGTAACAAAAGAGATCTGTTACACCCATTCCACAGGTAGGGTATCAAGGCCCACAGACTGATGAAATCAATCACAGACCATCAGTGGGCAGGGCCTGAATCTGAGCCTAGACTTTCAACTCAGAGCTCTATTAAGTTTCTTATCTTCCTTTGACCTATCTAGGCCTTTTTCCTACAAGTGAAATGAAACAAAACAAATACTTCTTTCATCTAAGTGAAGAGAAAATAGAAGAAACCAGTTAAAATTTTCCTTTCTGTTACTCATGGTGGAGGCAAATGAACAGTGAAGCAAATTAGCCAAGTTGAGCCACTTTTCTCAGCAAAGCCGTACTCTCTGTATGCTTCTATTATGCTTGTAGGAAGAGTCCAGAGTTTCCTGTACACCTCACTGAGTTCCTGAGCCCTTACTGAATGCTCAGGGGAGCTTAGGGTATGCTGAGGCATGGTTCAAAATTCCACATAAATGCAGCCAACTTGGAGGTGTTTTGAGCTGTGGAATGCAAGTGTGTCTTTGCTTGGCAGGAAAAAATTGCTCCTTTATATCTTATTCTCACTGCTCTAGGAAAATTGTAAAAATGACAAAGTTACTCCAACACCTGTCCCCACCCTGCAGTGAAGTGGAAGTGGGGAAGGAGAATCATTGATGATGACCACGGTTTACTGCCAGCTCTGCTGGTAGAGGCAGGGCTCATTTTTATGTTGTCTAGTAAAATCGAGCATGCAAGTGTTCTTGAAATGAATATACCAATAACAAGGAAAGAAGGGCATATTTGGGAAGGGCAGAGGCTGTTAGGAGAGAGGGGAGCTGGTGCAATTAAACTGCTTAATTTCCTCTGAGTAGAGCCAGAGCAGTCAGGCACTTGGTTGTTGCTGAGTGGGAAACCTCTCTGTCCTTGGGGTGGTTTAAGGTCTCCAGCATATCCCACATAATGGGGTGGAGCAATCGGTGCTGAGACCTTACTCTTAGAAGCCAATTCAAGCCAGGCCTCATTCCAGGTGAGGTCGTACCTGCAGCTGAGCTAGCATTAGAATATCTACTGATTCTTAGATTGGCCTATCTCAGTGCCACAGGACTGGCTTGAGGCCTAGAACACAGTAGGAAGATAACCTGGTAATTCACCTGAGCTCCAAAAGGGGAGGCCTTAATTTCCACAAAATCCCAAAGTCATTCAAACAACTTTGGAAAGCCTTTCAATCCTCCAAGCAATCCTTCCACCCTGCCCAGCCTCAGGACACCTCCTCACTTTTTCTGTATCTCCACTTGAGGTGACACATTCTCACCTGACTGGGTCTTTTTAGGTGATAGTATCTTCCAGTGACTTCATGAGATGCCTGAGCAATGGCCCAAGACTTAACAATATAGATTCCATTCAAATACCTCTAGGAAGCCTCCAAGGTAGAAATTCAATGGCAAGAGGTCAGCACACCTTGGCTGGCTCCTAGGGGCAAGTGGATTAGATTTAATTTAATAACATGAATAGATAATTCATTAACATGCTTCAAAACTCAAAATGATGTCAGAAGTGCCCTTTAAAAAGTCTAGGTCCCTCTCCCTCACCACTAGCTCATCTATCCCAGTCTCTACTTCTCAAAAGTAACCATTTTATGAGTTCCCTGAATATCCTTCCAGTGTTCCTTTATGCAAACACAGGCAAATACGTACTCTTTCCCATCCCTTACACAAAATGTAGCAAATTATATACAAAGTTTTGCATTTTGCTTTTCCACTTAATAATATATCCTGGCAATTTGTATTAATTTACTGAAAACTTCCTCACTCATTTTTGTAGCTGCATAGTGTTTATGTGGTTCTGCTATAATTTATTTAACTGGTTTCCTACAGATGAACCCTTAGATTGAATTTAATCTTTATTATTACAAAACAGAGCTGCAGCTGAAAACCTTGTACATACATCTTATTATACATATATAGGTATGTATGTAGGTAAATCCCCAGAAGTGAGATTGTTTGGAATGCAACTGTCAATGCATTTGTAATTTTAAGGAATATAACACAACTGTCCTCCATAGACCTGGCCTGTTTGACCCCTCACAAGTATTGTAGGAAAGTGCCTGTTTGTCAAGTGAAATGTTGGAGAGGAAACAGTTCCTTGTGCCAGGGCAGCCCTCAAGACTCCACGTGAAAGAGAGGTGAAAGACAGGAGACGGTTTGTGTTGCACTGCGTGGCACTCAGAAGAACACTGGAATGAGTTTCAGAGAAGCGAAATCCACTTGAGTTCCTGTGGGCCTTAGAAAGTGTTCTGCAATGGGATTGCCCTTTGGGAGACCTCTTTCAGAGCAGAAGTTGAACAACTGCCTTACTCCTTTGATGAAGGACTCAAACATTATTTGAGTTTTTGAGCATATGATACTTGCAGTGTCAATAATTCAAATCCTGGTTATAGCAGGAGGGCAAAGGGGCCATGCAGCAGAGCCCTGGCCTGGGAGTTGGGATTTGTGTGTTCTAAGTTCACATCTGCCTTTCTGTGACTGAACTCACCTCTCAGCTTCAGATGCCTCACTTGTGCAATGGTTAAATGATTCTTGCCCTTCCTTTCTTTCGGGATCATTGAAGAAATCAGATAATGTGGACAGAAGCCCCCACAAACTGGAAACTGCTCTTTAAATGTAGGAGTTATTATTCCTGAAAGGCAGTGTCCAATCAGAATGCCAAGAACTGTGGGTCTGGCAAGGCAAATGAATGAAAAGTAGGTCATGAGAAACCGAGTCCGTTGGTTCATGGAGGGTAATCTGGGTCGTCTGTGGTGAATGCACACGTCAACCTGTTCTACCCATTGCAGACAAGGGCTCTGATTGGAAACCCTCTGACTCCTCCGTGCTTCTTGGCCTTTGACAAGTTTATCACAGATGGGAGAAGGACATTCTGTTTCTTCAGTGTTATGGGCTGACTCACTTCCCTCTTCTCTGCAATAAGCACAAAGGCCAAAGTCAGTCCACTCTACCAAGAAACAGCAAAATGGCTCTGAGAGTGGTGTCCTTCCGGATTGGTGGTAAGGAAAATATGTCTATGAATATTCATTCACTGCTCATTTAGGAGTGTTCTGTGTAAAGACTCTTTGAAAGCTGATGAGAATGGGCATAAAAGGTTTGATTAATTCCTGAGTCAGCTGGCCCCTACCCCAAAACACATGCAATGATTGTCACAGAGAGCTGGTTTACAAAGAAAATGTTTCTGCAGATGTGTGGGCTTGGTACTGCCACCGCCACCCACTCTCCAACAAGAATAAAACAGACTCTGGGATTGGGCTGGGCCCTTTAGGGTTAAGCCACAGATCCTAAAGTCAAATTAAATATCAGCTCCTGAAGGGAACATCCCCAATGCTCACATTTTCCAAGATGTCAGGTCTGAGTATAGGGGACCTCTATCTGAAATTCCTCCCCTTTCCTCTCTGTGTATTCAGGTCCCATCTATCCTTACAGACATCGCAGGCTCTACTGGCCCTGGTGAAGTCTCGCCTGACTGCTTCATCTCACAGGGATATTTCATTCTTTTGCAATCAATGAACTCTTGTAGGTCCCTCCCTCTAGAGAGTTAATTACACACACTTGCCACCCTGTCACGTCTCCCTGCATTGTTGGCTTACTATAATAATGATCTTCATTATCATTACCTGTTTATATGTTCTTTCTCTGCTCAAGCGATCCCACATTCATTTTCCCTCAACAACATATACTGATCACGCAACATGTACCCTGACTCACTGATGAGGAATCAAATATAAAGATAATAATAATGATGATGTAATAACCCCAAAACAATATTTACAGAGTACTATACCCCAGCTTCTGGGCTACACACTATCTTATTTAATTCTCACAACAACCATTTGAAGAAAGGTTTGTCATTATCCCCATTTTACAGATGAGGAAACAGGCTCAGAAAATCTAATAAATCTGTCTGAGGCTACACAGCTAGCGTTTGATGAAGTGATTGGTAAATCCTCAAGAAACAAGGTTAGTGGGGAAGAAAAACAAATGGCCCTGCAATTTCAGCCCGTGGAAGAGCTTCTTTGGTCAAGGGCAGAGTGCCGTGGGAGCACAGAACTATCAGAACTGTGGACAGGTGTCAGGGCAGGCTCTAAGAGGAAGGCAGAGCCTGAGCCGAGTCACAGAGGATCAACAGGAGACGGCAAAAAAGGAGGATCCACTTCCTAGGAACAAAGGTCTGGGTGTCTCCAGGGGCCAAGTTGCCTCATCTGTTCGCCTAACTCCTCACCTTCAGCTCCACCCTCCAGGGGACCCCTTCTAAATCAAGCCTGTTCTTCCGGGAGGGAAACTGGGGTGTCTACCCTGAGCCCTAGGTTTGGTGGTGGCAGTGGGTGCCCCAGGATGTTGCAGTTATTTTTGATGGCTATTAATTTACATTACAAGCATACATACTTTCATAACATCTGGCGCATGCTGGCTGCATTGCTCTGGGCTCTGCAGCCCTCAAGGATTTGCCCTCCCTGGAATTCTTCCTGCAGTTTCCCCACAGTTCCCCTTAGGAGTCTAAACTTTTGTGGAGCTTTATTGATCCTGGCCCCAGACCATTCAGAAAAGGCACTAATTCAATTACAGCTGCGTGAAATCCTTCAGAGGCAGCCTAAGGAGACTGATTTTGATTCTCCTTTTCTGTGTCAGTGGTTTCCAATAGACAGTGTTTGAGAGGCAGAGCATATTCTCTTTAAATTATAAATAACCAGAACAGGGAAAAGAGGTGGCACTGGGAACGGGGCAGGAATGGGTAAATTTAAAAAAAAGCTGCAGCAAAATGATAAAACCCTGTGGCTTCAAAAATGTTTTATGAGTTTCTATAAGGCAATAACACAGAAGGGAAGGTCCTTTTTAAAATCTATTTTCTGAGATGGTCTGTGCTGTATACACTGTATACACATTGTGGCTAAATCTCTGAATTCCTAATACAGAGATTGAAACTAAAATCAAGAAAGCAGAGGGGATTCCACCAAAATCATGCAGACCATCAGGGGTCAGTTTGGAAACCACCAATCCTGTTTAGATATACAACCAACTGCTTCCCCCATTCATGGTGTCAGGCCTCTTTCACATTTATAGCGCCTGGAAAACTCCAAGAAAAGAAGATAACCTTACGTCGCAGACCCTGTTAAATTACAACCAGCAATGAGTCACCTGCCACCTGCTTTCTAACAGAACTCAAATTTTGCCTACTCTCCCAAGGATCCATGCACTTTAGGGATTGGCCTAAGCCTCTGGGAATTGGTTTGGCATGGACATAGGAACCAATGCTGGCCAACGAGACACACGGGCAGACTCCCGGGGAGGCTCCTTGGAAAGAGATCTTCCCATCTCTTCAAAAGATAAATAGACATAGATAGGTATAGGCATAAGCATACAGTAGAACTAAAATGAGAACATTTTGACTCATGTAACTGAAAAGTAGAGGCACTGCATGGGAAGAAGGATTGTGCTGGACTCAGAGTCCACAAAACTTGGTCTTTCTCCATTCCCAGTCTCCTTTGTTCTGAGTTGGCTTCGCACTCAGGAAGCCTCCTCCCACAGATGGTTCCCTATTAACTCCAAGTATGCATAATTTTACAGCCAGCAGTTCCCAGGTGATATGGTTTGGACGTGGTTCTCTCCAAATCTCATGCTGAAATGTGATCCCCACTGCTGAAGGGGGAGCCTAGTGGGAGGTGTTTGGGTCATGGGGGCGGATCCCTCATGAATGGCTTAGTGCTGTCCTTGCCGCATTGAGTGAGTTCTTAGTCTGTGATTTCATGTGAGAGCTGGTTGTTTAGAGTAGCATGCCACTCCTCCTCTCTCTCTTGCTTTGTCTCTCACCGTGTGACATTCTGGCTCCCCTTCGCTCCACCATGATTGTAATATTCTTTAGGCCCTCACCAGAAGCACCAGTGTTCTAGTAAAAGATCTAGGCTTGAGTTTTATCCAATCAACTTAGGAGATGTGTTCATCTCTCAGACAACCACTGTAACATGGGGAAAGAATATGCTAATTGTCCATGCTGGAGTTACTTGCTGGCTGCTGAAACAGGACATGGGGTGGAATCAGCCCACACAGACCACTTGCAGGAAGAATCAGGGAGGGGTAGTTCCCCTAAAGAAAAATGGAGAATCTGCTAGTAGAAGAAGTTGCATGGATGCTGGCCAGGCATGGGAGGTGTCCACAAAGCAGGGTGATGTAGATCATGGTGAGGAGTTGGGATTTTATACTATGAGCACTGGGAAGCGATCAAAGCATTTTAAACAGAAGAGTGATCCACTGACATATGTTCTGATGACATTTCAAAAACAAAATTCTTACTGCAGGTTACAGAAAGTACTTCAGGGAGCTAAGCTTGGAAGGATTGAAATCAGGGGCTATGATAGAATGACAGGCAGGAGAGCTTGGTGCCTTGAACCAGGGTGGTATTTGTAGAAATCAGAAAAACATGAACATATTTGAGATACTCTTGTGGAAGAGCTGATGTCACTTGTTGATGGATCAGAGATGGGCTAGTAAATGAAAGAAGTCAAGCATGATTCCCAGGGCTTGGGCTTGATCACCTGAGTAAATCATGATGCCATTTACCAACAGGAGAAAGACATGGGAAGTGGGAAGACAGGGATGAGCTGGGAGGGCAAAAATCAAGAGTTCTGTCATGAATACAGAAGAACAGTCTGTGCTGGAATTATAAATCCAGGAATCATCAGCATATAGACATTATTTAAATGAGAAAGACGGAATGAGATCACTCAGGAAATCATGTAGAGAAAAGAAGTGGGGGCACTCATACTACTTCACCAACAATTTCTCCACTCTGTCCAACCCGGTCCTCTTGGGTTCTGAGCAAATAGGGGTTCTCTCACCCCTGGACTTCTTTCTTGTGCCATTCTCATTGCCTGCAATGCCTTCCTCCCTTTTCCTAGTATCCCTGAATGCTCATTCTTTAAGGATCAGCTCAAATCTACCCTCTCCAGGAATCATGGGCCTTGTTTAGCCCCACTGCCAATGTCGGCCTCCTTGCTTCCCGTAACTTTGTTTATTCACTGCACATTTGGCATTTGTAAGTCAATGTCTTCTGCTCTGTGTATATGTCATATTTCTCCCAATTAGAGTATAAGCTCAGAGAAGGCAGTCTGGATGCCTTTACACTCCCCAGTATTTGGCAGGTTTTCCAGAAAAGAGTTAAAACAAACATCTGTTGATCAATGACCACATTCACTCTTATCTTCTCTTGCTACTTTTGTGCCAGTGGTTGAGAATTAATCTCAAATTCTGAGCAGCTCAGCAAGGGTGTTTCAATCAATTTCTTGAAAATAAGGCAGCAATTGTCAAATGCTTTAAGACACTTATGGCAAATAAATGCTTGTGGCAAATAAAAAGAATATGACTCACTTCATATTGAAAAGAACCAGATGAAAGTAGTTTCCCACAGAGGAAAGTCATAGAATTAAAATGAATGTCTATGAACCACTTCAACTATTTTTGCATCTACCCCTGAATAATATTCCACTTAACTGGAACATATCTCAGTGTGTTTGTGCCCATTTAACACTCCCTGTCTTCCCAACCCAGCATCTGTAACTTACAGCCTGTAGTCATTCCAAAATGCTTCCACGTGGCTAACCTGGGTTGCCAAGCCCCATCTGGCTCAATTAGCACTGGAGATTCTGGAGAGCCCCAAATTATCATTCTTTTCTGGTTGTACTACCAAAGACCTTCCCATCCTATCTCTTCCTCAAACTCCCTAAGTTCCATAGTTGTATTTGTTCCAATTTTGAATCCCAATAGTCCCCAGCTGTTTTAGATGCCCCGCCTCCCCACCCCCATCTGGGCTCTCCTGGCTGGGCTTCCCATGACAGTATTCTCCAATTAGGCAAATCACCCTTCAATCCCCAAATTTTCTTTAAAGCTGTAGCAAGTACACCCACAGTCGTGACAATACTGAATAAAATGGAATAGGTCTGATTCACTTTCCCAAAGCTGACTTTTGCTGCTGATTGACTCATATCTGTTTACCAGAGGTCATTTGATTTCCTCCTTTTGACTCATGCTCAACTTCAAAACTGATATAACTTGAGTGTGCCACTCGAATGTGACCTTCCTTTTTGCCTGCAGAACCTCCAGCTCCACTCAGCTCCTGGGGCTCAGCCAGCAGAGCTGTGCAGTGGAAAGGAATCCACCTTGGAACAGGATCCCTGGCTTTACCACTTCAATTGCTGAGTGATCTCCAGCTAGTTAGTTTCAGCCTATTTCCTCATGTGAAAAATTGAGGTAAAAATACTTGGAAATATTGTTGTAAAGGTTAAGTAACGTAAGAAAAATGCCTGGAACCATGTCTTCCACCAAAGTAGGTAGGGGCTCAACAAATATTGAATTGATTCATATGACATTGCCATTTATATAGGTCAAAAATGGCCAAATATTGACAATTTCATATGGTTCAACCTGCCATCAGCCTATTACTCAAGCACCTAAGAAATCAGTGTCCAATTGGTTGGAGTATTGGGTACAAACAAGGTAGAACCTTAGAGGTAGAACCCCAGTGTTGACTTTTATTTACATTATCAAAGAATCAAGGAAGGCCAGCACCCTACTATGCACTTTAAATTCTGGAAGATTTTCTTCACTCTTAGCTAGTTAAACAAAGCCGATTTAAGAGACAGGATAAAATTGTGGTTTAGAGCCTAGACTCTGGGGAGAGATTGTCTGGGATTAAATTCCAGCTCTGCTACTGACGAGCATTGTGAAACTGAGCAAGTTTGTTAATCAACCTGGGTCTCAGTTTTGTTCCCCGTGACATAGGATATTACAGGGTGTTGTGCAGATGAAATAAGTTAAAACATGTAACATTCTTAGAATCTGGAAGTGTTAACGATCATTATCTTGATTTAAAATAGGTGGTTTGGCCTGACTAGTTAGTGAAATCTCTTTCACAACAAAGCACCCATTGGGTAGAAATCAGAACTCCAGCAATGGAGAATCAGCCTCCCCTTGTTGATCAGTCCCAGTTTAGCAGCTGGGATACTCCTTGGGAAGCTCAAAGATGGTAGGTGTCACCACCCATGATAGCTCAGTGAGAATCCACCCAGCCAGTGATGAGTGCTTCAAGGGTGGGGCAGAGAATATCACACAGTCATTTGGAGCAGTGGTGATTCATGCACACCCTGAAAACCTCAACAGAAAAGAGATGGTAGCAGATGAAAAGGAAGAGGGATACAATTTCCACAACCAAGAAGAAACAGACACTGCTCATTCTGGTGAGAAATGAGAGCATAATTTGAATTCAGCATTTATTTAGAAAATCAGATTAATGAGGACAAAGACATCATAAGGAAAATAATGATAAAGACCTCTAGGCTTTCCCACAATCACTTTCATGTATATTATCAAACTATATCCACACACAAAAAGTCTCTGAGTCAGATAGGCAAAGCCAGCATTATTTTCATGTATGGATGAGGAACTGATGAATCATGGAGTTTGAATGGCTAACTAGAGTCTAAAAGAATGTAGAAACCCATAAAAGACAAAGAGAATAAAGAAAACAAGCAGACAAGAGAATTCCACACAAGTTTGAAAGATAGGACCAGATGGAGGTAAGTGGTTTAGTAAGACAGAGGAAGCAAGGATTTAAGTCACCTGAAGACAAGTTACCACAAATGAATTAGCTCATTCATCCCAATGGAAAACCTGAGATGCTCAAGATTTGGAGACAGCAGGTACAATGAAGGGTTGGGGTGAGGTAAGGAGCTAAAAATAGAAGTTGAAAGTTCGTTTGTGAAGCAGTCATGTTCTTCTCTCACCTTGCACAGTCAGGCCACTAGTTTCCCAGGCTGGTGATGAAAGAGTTTTTTTGTGTGTAATTTGAATGGGAAAGGCTTTGACTTGGGGCTACAGAGATAGGGGCAACAGAGGGGAGGGACATGGAAGTCTGCAAACTTAACCAACTTCTCTTCATTTCTCCCTCCCTACTACTCTTCTCCGCCTCACTTCTCTAAAGAAGATATACAAATGGCTAACAGGTATGTGAAAAAATGCTCAACGTCACTAATTGTTAGGGAA
Organism: Homo sapiens; assembly: GCF_000001405.40. Classification (NCBI taxonomy): domain Eukaryota; kingdom Metazoa; phylum Chordata; class Mammalia; order Primates; family Hominidae; genus Homo; species Homo sapiens. The sequence continues at coordinate 115,462,639 of NC_000005.10, forward strand.
ATGCAAGTCAAAACCACAATGAGATATCATCCCACCCCAGTTAGAATGGCTGTTATCAAAAAGACAAAAACTAAATGTTGGTGAGGATGTGAAGAAAGGGGAATGCTTATACACTGCTGATGAGAATGTAAATTAGTACAACTATTATGGAAACAATATAAAGGTTCCTCAAAAATCTTAAAATGGAACTACCATATGATCCAGCAATCCCACGATTGGGAATATATCCAAAAGAAAGGAAATCAGAATATTGAAGAAATATCTGTACCCCCATGTTTATTGTGGCACTATTCACAATAGCCAAGATAAGGAATCAACCTGTGTCCATCAACAAATAAATGGATAAAGAAAATGAGGTCTGTATATACAATGGAATGCTATTGTATATAAATACATTTTCAGCCATAAAAAACGAAATCCTGTCTTTTGAAGAAATGTGGATGGAACTAGGGGATGTTATGTTAAGTGAAATAAGCTCGGCAAAGAAAGACAAATATTGTATATTCTCACTTATATGTGAAACTGAAAAAAGTTGATGTCTTGGAGGTAGCGAGTAGAATGATGGTTATCAGATTATCTTTTGACAAATTAAATTATCCTAAAGAAAAAGTTTCCAGCTTTATTGATTGACCGATTTGCATTTATGAACTCCATGTTCAATCACCCACATTGTGCACACGTACCCTAAAACTTAAAGTATAATAATAATAAAATAAAAAAAGAAAGAAATAATAAATAACTTATTTACCTTTAAAAAAAAAAAAAAGATCATCATCACACCACTGCACTCCAGCCTGGGTAACAGAGTGAGATCTTGTCTCAAAAAAATAAATAAATAAATAAAAATAAAAAGAGAGAGAGAAAAAAAGTAAAGTGACAATAAAATTTCCCAGGAGTAAAAAAAAAATCTCCAGATTGAACACATTGCTTTTATGAACAGAAAAATAAATTAATTAAGGCCCACCCTATGCCAAACTATGTAATTGTGAGATTATGTGTTACCCCCAAATTATGTGAGAAACATTATGAGATAATTGTGTCCCCAAAGAGAGGGGAAAAGTCACTTACAAGAAAATAAGCATGAGGAAGGAATAGGATTATACAACACTTACAATAAATGTTAGAAGAGATCAATAAGATAGTGCCTTCAAATATGTGAAGGAAAATTAAGTTTCAACCTAGACTTTGAATCTCAGCCAGACTATAACTCCAGAGAGTTGATAAAATAAAGACATTTTCAGAAGAGTAGGAATGCAAAAACACTACCCCTATTTCTTTTTTTTAAAAGCAACTGGAGGACTTTCAGTTATCTTAATGGCAGTCTAGACCAATCCTCCTGATGAGGTTGACTAAAACAGCTATATATGTATATTGAGTAACGTAGAGGATGAATATATACATACATACTTTTTTTCTTAAAATCCTTAAAAAGCAAACTAGTGAGGGATTACCATGCCAAAAACTTGGGAGAATATAAGAAGGAAAAAGCAAGTACTCACAGATGCACTGGCCCTGATTAGGAAGAAACAGCTGCAGTATGGAGCTGTGGTATTTGGCAGCCTCACTGAACAAAATAGATAAAAGGACCTGCCAAGTGGAAAGTCTGATAAATACCCACACATTAAATGAAGGTCCTGAAGGGCTTTACTCTTAGGGCAGAGCTTCCCAAACTTGTGGGCACATTAGAATCACTGGAGAGCTTTTAAAAATTCCAAAGCCCAGGTAACACCAGAGACCATTCAAATCACAATCTCTGACTGTAGGAAACAAGCATCAGTACATTTTAAAGTTTCCCAGGTGACTCAAATGTACAAACAAGTTTGAGAATCGCTGCTGTTAGAGAAAGAATAAATTGAAATCAACACTGTTCTCATATGGATGATCCAGGGAATCTCAAGCCTGAAATTTCAATTAAGGTAGTCTAGAGTGTCAGAAGCAAATTAAAATTTTCTGTGGAGGTAGATGTTTTCAATCTATGCCCAAATTATTTCTACGAATAAGATTTCAAATACAATGTTAAGCATAAGGTCTGTATGAGACATAACCAGGGAGTAAAAAAAGACAACAGAAACAAGCCCACAAAGATTTCAGATAGTGAAAGTATTGGGCACAGCCACCAAAATCATGTTTTCTGTCTTCAGACTGAAAAAGAAAATCTTGAACATTTCAATTGGGAAGTGGAAACTTTAAAAAGTTGCTTTTATTTGAAAAAGGACTGAGTAGAAATTCTAGAACTAAAAAATACAGTAACTATAGTTAAGAATTCTACAGGTTTACCAGATATACAGGTAGAACAGATATAGCCAAATATTAGATTAGGGAACTGGAATATAAATTAGAAGAAAGTATCCAGAAAAAAACGAAAGGATGAGTATTGATTGCCAAATATTTGTTTGCATGGCCAGAGAGTCAATATTTCAGATCATGCAGGCCATACTGTCTCTGTGGTAACTAGTCAATTCTGCCACTATAGTTCAAAAAAAGCCATAGACAACAAGCAACTGAATAATCATGACTATATTCAAAACTTTATTTACAAAAACAGGTGACTACCTCCAAAGCCACAGTTTATCAACACTTAACATAGAATGAAAATTTTAACATATGTATGTTATGTCTTGGAGACATAGGTCTCCAAATAGACCATAAGGAGAGTAATGGGGTACAGACAGTAAATGAAAAAAAAAATTACCAAGAGTTTTTTAAAACTGATGAATGACACCAATTCAAAAAATTCAGGAGTTCAATAAATCCCTAATATGATAAATATAAAGAAACCCATACCTTGGTTTGCAAGAAAAGCAAAGAGAAAGGGAAAATCATAAGCTAGAGAAAAAGAACACTTTCAAAGTTGTGACAGAGTGGCAACTAACTTCTCAGTATCAAAAAACAAAGACTGAAAGGTAAGACCTCAAACTGTAAGAATCCTAGAAGAAAACCTAGGAAATACCATTCTGGACACTGGCCTTGGGGAGGAATTCATGACTAATCCTCAAAAGTAATTGCAACAGAAACAAAGATTGACAAATTGGACCTAATTAAACCAAACACCCTCTGCACAGCAAAAGAAACTACCAACAGAGTGAAAAGAAGACCTACAGAATGGGAGAAAATATTCACAAACTATGCATCGGACAAAAAAGATCTAATATCCAGAATCTAAAAGAAACTTAAATCAGCAAGCAAAGACAACTCCGTTAAAAAATGAGCAAAGGACATGAACAGACACTACTAAAAAGACATACAAGTGGCCAACAAACATATGAAAATATGCTTAACATCACTAATAATCAGAAAAATGCAAATCAAAAGCACAAAGAGGTACCATCTCCCACCAGTCAGAATGGCTATTACTAAAAAGTCAAAAAACAATAGACGCTGGCAAGGCTGCAGAGATAAGGGAACACTTATACACTGTTAGTAGGAATGTAAATTACTTCAGCCCCTTTGGAAAGCAGTTTGGAGATTTCTCAAAGAACTAAAAACAGAATTACCATTAAACTCAGCAATCCTATTTCTTTTATTTAAAAAAAAGATTCTTCTAACAAAAAGATACCTGCACTTGTATGTTCATTGCAGCACTATTCACAAAAATGAAGACACAGAATCAACCTAGGTTCCCATCAACAGTGGATTGGACAAGGAAAATGTAGTATATACATACCATGCAATACTACACAGCCATAGAAAAGAATGCAATCATGTCCTTTGCAGCAACATGGATACAGCTGGAGGCCACTATCCTAAGTGATTTAACACAAGAACAGAAAACCAAATACTGCGTGTTCTCACTTAGAACTGGGAGCTAAACTCATGGACATAAAAATGTCAAGAATAGACACTGGGGACTACTAGATGGGGGAGGGGCACAGGGGTTGAAAAACTGTTGGGTACTATACCCGCTATGTGAGTGATGGGATCATTAATACCCAAACCTCAGCATCATGCAATATACCCATGCAACAAACCTGCACATGTACCCGTGAATCTAAAAGTTAAAAAAAAAAAAAAAACAGCACGAGGGAATGTCTTCAACACAGTAATAGAAAATAACTGCCTACTTAGAATTCTACACTCATCAAAAATATACCTCAAAATTTAAAGCAATATGATGACTCTATTTGACAAGTAAAAACAGGGTGTCTTCTGTAGATCTGCACTAAAAGATATTCTAGAGCATGTAGTTCAGACATAAGGAAAATGATCATTGGTGAAAGGTAAAGCTGAGGGAAAAAAAGGAAAGCAAGAAAAATGGTAAATATGTGGGTAAATCCAAATGAATGCTATGTAAAATAATAACATGTTTTATAGTGTTTTAAATATATAGAGAATTTAAATACACTGTAATAATAGTTTTGAATTTGGGAAAGTGGTATTGAATTTGTGTTGTCTAGGAGGAGGGTAAAGGTAATAATTAACATTTGGTAAGTCAAGGATGTGAATCATAATTTCTAGAATAACCACTAAGAAAATAGAAACAAAGTGTACAACTTCCAAATTAATGAAGGGGAAGAAACTTCAAACTAGAAAAATCAAAAAGAAGGCGAAGAAGAGAGAAAAAATAGAACAGCAGGTATGATGGAAAGTACAAAATAAAATGGTAGATTTAAACACAAAGGTACAGTTAATACATTAAGTATAAATAGACTAATTGCTGCAATTAGAAGTCTAAGATTGTCCTTCTGGATCAAAAAAAAAAGACAAACTAATGAACAAATTCCAAATACAGGTTGTTTAAAAGTAACATATCTAAGACATAAAAATAAAAATCAATTTTAAAGGGGCAAAAAATAAAACATAAAAATAAAGAAATGTTTACAGCAACTAGAAAATATGCTCCAACAAAATGAGAAAATAAATTAAGGAAAAAATAACACATGGGATTGAGGAGACAGGGGACTGGCATTGGAAGTCAAAGGGTTATGGGAAGAAAGTTTCCAGGTAAAGTAGAGAATTAATAAACACTTTGATGCCTCTGAGTATGGGGAAAAATAACAGCTGATTGATATATGGTGTCTCTGATGGAATATTTAGAAAAATGTGGATATTAGCTTTTTAAAACTACAGTGAAAATAGAAGCAATTAATAATTCTAAAAAATCCCATGAAAGGTTTCTTTCAGACAAGAAAGGAAATGCAATCATACCCTGTGGATTGATTTCACAATTTAAAAGTGTTTGCCCAATCTCAATGTAAACACTATTTAATAATTGAGCTAAAATTTGTTATATACACTGCTGAGCAGAAGAGGGAGGAGAGTGGAATGTAAGAGAGAGGAATACTTACTGTGTAAAATAGAAGTCACTAAATGAGGTCTAAAAAATGTAAATCAAGAATTGGTAGCATAATCCTATTACTTAGAATTATAGAGGTAAGTGCCAGAAAGATCAGCTAAAATAAATGCAAGTGACTATCTCTGAGAAGAAGGAGGTAAGGGATGAAGAGTAGTGAGGCAAGTGCTGTTTATAATTATGAGCCTTCTTGTTTTATTTGGTTTTTAAACTATGTACGTGCATTACTTTGTTAAAATTGAAATGACAAAAATGAAATCAAAACAAACCAGAAAATAGAAGCAATGAAGGGGCCCTTTTCCTATCAGATATAACAATTAAAATGGAAATTAAAATTGTCATTACACAGAAATACATAAGTAGATATCAAAATACATTATAAATTATGTAAGTTAAACAATAATTGTCACAGAAATAAACAAATAGTTCCATGAAACAGGATAAATATTCAAATTAATATGGAAATTCATTTCATGATAAAGGCAGCCTTTTAACAGGAGTATTTTAAATTAGTAGGGATATTTAATTGATGACTGGCAATTCATTTTGAAAAATCAGTGTTAGATCCCTGTCTCACACCATACAAAGAAAGAAATTTCAGTCAGATCCAAAAGCTAAATGCAAAACCCAAAATTTAAAAAAGAGAATGAGATAATATCTGTATGTACTAACTTTGAAATAGGTCTATAAGCTATTTTTAGGTGAAAAAAGAAAATAGGAGTACAGTATGATTAGCATAATTCTATTTTTTAAGTAAAAATATATATGTGAATTTGTGTGTGTGCATGTGTGTGTGTGTGTATGCATGTGTGAGAGAAGTGCAGGGGAAGGAGCAATTGAGAACAATAGCCTAGAATATCCACTAAATTGTTAGTAACTAGATTTTGGTGGTGGTGATGATGGAGAGATCATAACTAAAAATGTGGGAAAGTTGTCAGTGATTATTACTTTCATTTTCTCCTTTTTTCACATTTTTCAAATAAAAGCTGTTAAAAAGAAAAAGGTTAAAAGAGTTCCAAGTGAAGGTTTAGTCTTAACCTTTAAATCTATCCCTCTATTACTTACCCTGGGATTTATAAAAACTGTGCTCACACATAAATCCTGCATATATTTCTATCTGCTAAAGCTTCTGTGATCTTTCTTTTTCTAAAAAAAAAAAAATACTTTATCCAGCTTTTGTAAATAGGAAATGTTCTATTTAAGTAACATTTGTTGAATGATTATAATATGTGGAACAAATAACTAGATATGTTATATAATTTTTCCTAACACCCTGGGTTCAATCTAGAAAATTTTGTAAGGAAAATTACAAGGCAAGTTAAAAAGAGGGGAGTACTCTTTCTAAGATTATATCAAATAACTCCAAGGCAATAATGACAATTTTTAAATTGATTCCTGTACTGTGGAGAAACTAAAAAAAAAAAAAAAAAAAAAAAAAAAAAAAAAAAAAAAAAAGATAAAAACAGCATCCCTATATGTTATCAGATGTAAGACCTGCAAAGAAAAAAATGCATTGAGAAATATTTCTGAAAGCATTTTATTAAGAATAAATCCTGGTTGCCTCTTGTTTTTAAGCTGCAATGCCAAGATCCTTTTTTTTTCTCTATAGGGTAGAAAGCAGATTAACAAAATCAAATTGAAAGCAATAGAAAAATGAGAGAATAGAGTTTTTATATTATCTTGGAGAATCCACATGGATATTTGAGACCTTGAAGAACATGGAGTCTATATCTTAACCTTTGTATATGCCAGCTCAGTGTCATTTTCATCTTGCTCCTTCATTTAATTAGATTTACTTTTTTGCCTGGCATTGCATTGGACACTGGGCATGTGACAACCTCAAGTTGCTGTTAGCAGAGGGAGTGGGAGAGACATAAGCCAACAGCAATTACAATTCAGAACTTAAATGCCATTCTGGAGGTGTGTGCGAGGGCATGGGAAGCCTGAGCTCAGACTTCTTCCCGAAGACATCCATTATCTCTCCAAAGGTAAGGAGCCACACAAAGGAACACAATAGCAACAGAAAGCAAAAACATTTTTGCTTGTGATTGCAATGGAAAAACCCTCTTAAGGTCACTCAGGTGGGAAAGAGTGAACGTGGACTTGGGAAGGTGAGTAAAGTTCTCAGAGCCAGCGCTGCATTCACAGATGGCTCAGGTCCTTGGCAAGCCAGCCATGGCCACTACCCATGCCCCTCCCCCTGCCTCTTCTTACTTGGTCCCTGGGCTCTGCCTTGTCTGCACCAGTGTCTTGGTGCTGCTGTCATCTGCTGCCTCTTGTCCTGCCCACTCCCGGGAGGTAAGTCCCCCAGACTCTTCTGTGCCCAGCACAATCACAAACATCTCTGATTTTTATGTGCAGGTTCCTTAAACGTTGCCACCTGGACATTTGGCAGGGTGGTAATGTTTAAGGAACCATAATTGGCCGGGTGCGTTGGCTCATGCCTGTAATCCTAGCACTTTGGGAGGCCAAGGTGGGTGGATTGCTTGAGGCCAAGGGTTCGAGACTAGCCTGGCCAACATGGTAAAACCTCGTCTCCACTAAAAATACAAAAATTGGCTGGGAGTTGTGGCAGGCCTGTAATCTCAGCTACTAGGGAGGCTGAGGCATGAGAATTGCTTGAACCCAGGAGTTTGAGGCTACAGTGAGCTGTGATCGCGCCACTGCACTCCAGCCTGGGCAATAGAGTGAGACTATGCCTCATAAATATATATAATGGATAATGAATCAGAAGTACAATTCAGGGAGTAGCTTCTAGTAAGTGCCAAGACCCAGACCTGCCCTCAGGGTCCATTATGTCCCTGTTCTTCTCTAGGGCCCATTGTGGCAGGGAAGTGCTCCAGGCTTCTACCTCCCAGCCCAGAGAGGCAGTATTTTCCCTTATCTCACCTCTTAGTACTGTAAGAGGAGAATGACCATCCGTCCCAGTTTACACTTGATGTCTCAGTGTAATTATTAGTAATTATTAATAGTTCCCCCCTCACTCCCCAAATAGCCCCAATTTGATTTTCAGCTTCATGGTCACATTGTCTAGAAATAATCTGCTCTAGGAAGACTGGTCATGAGGATATCCATTCTTTTCTGGGAAATCCCATCCCAACACCAAGGGACTGATCCAGCCTTATGGAGCCCAATAATGGTCATATACCAAGAGTCTGGAAGTAGTGCATTTACCAATGTCTGACTCATTCCACCTTACAAAATACCATATGTGGGCATCACTAGTCCAATCCAAGTTGCACGGTGGCAGGATCAGTGCTCTCTCTTTTCAGTCACACCTCTAGTGAGAGGTGAGTCCTCTGCTGATTGGGAGTCCAAACAACCTTAAAGTCCAGCCTGACAGAATCCCTTGTTATACAACATTCAGACTTATGAGCCACTTGTCCACAGGACAGTTTATAAGGCATGGTTCCCCCTCAATGATAGGAGCCCCATGGTGTTAGAGGACTAAGCAATTTTAGCAAATATACAAGCAACTAAATATACAAATAAATAAACCAAATAAACCTCTGACCTAACTCTCAACTCTGTTAGGAAAGGAAAGCAAATATCAGCTCTATCAGCTCAGAAGTAAGACTCTTTCTGTCTGCGACACTTGGGTGTGAACAGCCATATGCAAAGTGTATCAGACAAGCAAGTTTATGCTATTGGCATGGAAGTGATGCAAATCCCAGGCCAATGAAAAAATCCAGCTTTGTATTCCCCATTCACCCTCAAGCCCAATCAAACTGAATCGAGATGTGGCAGGTGTGAGCTGTAAAGGAACAGACCCTGGTGCCCAGCTGGTCTGGGGTCTATGCACCATGTTTTTCCATTCACTCCCCATTCCCATGTTTATACTGCAACTGTTGATGCTTCTCCTGCTTTCAAAGCCTCCTGGCACAGGAGACGAGTATTGCACAAGGGAACATCGGTTATGTCTGGGCTGCCCGAGGGCCTCACAGGCTGTGAGTGGCTAAGTTTTCAAGACAACCCAACTCAGCTCATGCCAGATTTTAAAAGTGCACTGCCAGCACAGAGTGGCATCCAGATACCCTGAGGGCGTGTAACACTCCAACTTTCCCCATATGTCTGGAGCTATGTGGAGTTTCTCATTTGCTAAATTGGGCCAAGTCAGAAAATTTAGACCTGAGTTCTAATTCTAGCTTCGCTTCTAAATAGCTCACTTAACTCTCTAGGCCTTAATATCCTCAACCAGAAAATATAGAAGTTGGCCTAGGAAGCTACCAACATCCCTCCTGCTCTGACATTCTGTGGGACTGCACTTCTCATGGCAATTACCATCTGGTGGTTGTACCTCAGAAAATATTCTCTCTGGGCCTCAGTTTCCTCATTTGCAAAAGTGGTGCCCATACAATAGACACCTCACAAAGAGGTTGTGGATTTCAAGCGGGACTGTGTACATAGAAGCAGACAGCACAGTGAGTGCACACAGTAGGAACTCAATAACTCTTAATTTGTAACATCTCCCAGAGTCTCCATCTGTGAAACAGAAATAATACTTGCCAATCTAGCTTGTGAAAATGTATATAGAGCAATGAATAGAGAACGAAAGGGGCTTGGAATTAAGAAAAGCAAATGCAAATGACAGGAGCTATTATTATGCAAAAATGGACTGAAGTCAGAGTTTAAGAGCAGGAGCAGATTTGATGTGCCTGATTAATTTATTAAACAGACTAAAACCATAATTAGAGAAGTCTGCTTAAACCCCTGGACTTGTCTCAGATAAGATTAAAAGAGGGAAGGCAAAAGAGGAATCTCAGATGTTTCCACGGCTTGCTGGGCCCAGAAACGAGGCCAAGAGGAGAGAGGGAGGCCAAGGGAGGGGCAAGGGTGCTAAAATGACTGTTAGAGGAAAGGAGCTGCCGAAGCCAAGGGAGCAGCTGGGAGTAGAGGCGATGACAGCTGAAGAAAGGGATTATTTCAGAACTGTTCCCTGTGGCCTCTTTAGCTTTGGCTCTCATTAAAATGAGGGGAATGAGCTAGAGGAAATCTTGCTTCCCTTTTTATGAGAAAGGGTGAGCCTTGTTTGCCCAGGAGGGGAATTGCCACAAAAGAAGAGTGTGCCTGTCTCAGCTTAGAAGTCCTACAGAGAAGGAGCACTCATACCCTTAGGCAATGGGTCCTCTCATGGAGGCCCCGAGGGAAGCAGGTGCCATGGGCTGATCGAAGCTCTTGGGCAGAAATCCAGGCTTGGCTCTAGGTTATTTTTTTCTAACATTTTATTATGAAAAATCTCATATGGCACAGTTGAGGGCACTTTTTAGTGAACACTGGCATAGCCCCACCTAAATTCTATCATTATAGTTTTACTATCTGTGCTTTGTTGCATCTGTCCATTCAGCTATCCCTCTACCCATCCATTACTTCTTCCTAATTTTGGTGCATTTTGAAGTAAATTACAGGCTTCAATATGTTTCCATCTAAACACTTCATTTGATGTAAAATTTACATGTTATGAAATGCACAAATACTAAGTCTACAGGTGCCTCATTTTGACAAACATATGCACCTGTGTAACCCAAACCCGTATCAAGATACAGAACACCATCACCTCAGGCTTGACTACAGATTTGCTACATGACCCTGGACAAGATCTTGCTTAACTTTGATCCCAGCCTGTCCCCAGCCTTTCTGATCATGGAACGCTTTTTCCAAGTGCCATGTTCAAAAATTTTGTCTTAAACAATTAAGCCTACATGGAACCTTAAATACCATTTAGTTCAAGCCCCCATATTCTAGTCAAAGGAATCTGAAGATTGGATATATTATTTATCCAAAGTCTCTAAATTGGTGGCACAGTTATAACAGGAAATTAATATTTATTGAGCAACTTCTCCAAACCAGGAAATATACTAGGTGCTCTATATGTGAATGTGAACCCTCACCACAACCTGCCTCACAGGACTATTGTAAAGATGAAATAAGATTAAATATGCAGAGTGCCTGGCACAGAGCAGACACCAAATGTCATCACTGCTTTTCTCTTGAGCCCCACATTTACATTTTAACACGTTCATACCGCTGAGATAGTAAATGTAGATGCTTCATCCCATTTAGTTATCACAATAACCCTGTGCATGCTTTACAGGTGACGATATTGCTTGTTTCTGATCATTATTAGTGAATGATGGTAGCACTAGGACTCAGACTCAGTCTCCTGACCTCAAATAATTTCAGGCAGTGAGATTTAGGAGCTTTGTTTATGTTCCTCCCAGGCCATCTGGAGCTAGAGTGGAAGGGCAATTTGAAAATGCTATGAAAGATATATTTGGTTTAAGTGACAGAAACCCAACTTAAACTGGCTAAATAGAAGAAAAGGGAATGTGTTGGTGCCTATAAGAGAAAGTTTTGGTAATGATCTAGCTTTAGGCATGGCATTGATTGATTTAGGGCTTTACATGATGTTACCAGGGATCTGACTTTCTCTCTCTCTGCACTCCCATCCCCTCAAATTTTCTCGTATCTCGGCTCCGTTCTCAAGCAGCCCCACCCTCATGGAGGCAAGATGGCCATCAGCAGGCCATGGTTTACATCTCTCCAGATTAGCAATCTCAAAAGAAAAAGAAAATTTCTTTTGCAATATCTGGCAAAAATCCAAGGATTGGTTTTACTGAACCAGGTTGTTTTATGTGTCTATTCTTGAAACAATCACTTTTTCAAAAAGGACAGAATCTATTAACTGGCCACCACGGGTTATGAGCTACTGCTGTAACCAGAGGTGGGGTCACCTCCTCCGGAGCCCCACAGACTGAAAAGAAGAAAGAGATGGTGTCCCCTATGAAAATCAACATGCTATTATCAGAAGAAAGGGAAAAGGGATGCTGGGAAGCAAAGTCTAGTTAACAAAAACAAGTTCAACAAAACTAGTTGGTGACCTGGATCAACTTGAACTATTGAAAGTGGGTTTTCCAGAAAAGTTTCTCCCAGATATGATTGCTCATCCAAATCTCTGGAAGAGTTGTTTCAATACAGATTCCATGGCCCCACCCAAGGCCTACAGAATCAGAATCCCTGCTGCCAGGGGTCTTTATGGAGTTTTGCTTTATTTTTAACACAGGCATGATTGATTCTATCACTGGCCATTGGTGATTGAATTCACTCTCTAGGGCCTCTTCCTTCCCAGAGTGGGGAGCATTGAAAGCTGCAAACTTCTAATTACCTGTTTGGTCTTCCTGGCCTCCTGCCCCATCCTGAAGCTATCTAGGGGCCCATGAAAGGTCACATCATTAGCATAAACTCAGGTATAGTTGAAAGGGGCTCATTATGAATAACAAGATACACTCCTATCACTCAGGAAATTCCAAGGGTTTTAGAAACTGAAGACAAAGACCAAATTTTTTTTTATTTTTTTATTGTCTTAAACAAGCCTACATGGAACCTTGAATACCATTTAGTTCAAGCCCCCATATTATAGTCAAAGGAATCTGAAGATTGGCGATATTATTTATCCAAAGTCACTGAACTGGTGGCACAGTTACAACAGGAAATTAATATTTATTGAGAAACTCTATAAGAACACAGTTCTTATTAGAGGTTTATAGATCATGCCTAAAAAGGGAAGCTCAAATGACAATCCATTAGGGTAAAGTCCAGCTGAAGTTCTTACTGCCTCATATAACCACTAAGAAAATGCTGAGCCATTCCCTTATTCCCTGATTTAATAAAGGATTTGGAGTCAAAGAATCAATGCATTCATGTGTTGACCTTCCAGGGAACTTACCTGATTTGTCTCAGGCATCCTTAGTGCCTTAGCCCAGGGATCCCAAGATACATGAGGTCCACTCCAAACCCTTCCCAGGAAGGTCTCTAACCATCTATCCCCAAGGATGCCCAGTGTCATGCCCCACCCCCTCGCAGTACTCTCTTACTTCCCTCAGAGATGTTCAGGCATCAGTGAAATTCTCAATAACAACTCCATTTTAGAGGTGTTTTTCCCCCAGAGGAATTACTATGATGGTAGCCATTTTGAATGTCAGGCCATGAGGGAGCTACTTCTGCTTACATGGGCCTTGTGGCCATCATTCCTGGGGCATGTGAGGTAGGATGTGAAAGGGCATGTGCTCATAGCTTCTCTTTTTCTTAGCACAGATGACTGAAATAAGAAAAGGTTGAGGCAAAAATTAGAAGAAGTCAGCAAAGTTTCTTTGGGCCATCCATCTCCTGTTTTGGTTCCCTTCTCCCACAGTCTTTCCCTTCCCCTTTACAGGTTCCCAGTGACTTCCTCCTTTCATACCTCACTGGAAGCAACATAGGAAAGGGACAGGGAAAGGAAGGACAAAAGAGAAGACAGAGCCCAGGGACACTCAGCATGGTGCAGCCAAGGGAAGCATGAAGTTGAGAAGAACCAGGACAAGTGACTTTTGATTGAGTTGACGTTGATATTGCTCATACATGAAAATGATATCAGAAAAAATTACCGGAAAGCAAATTGCAGATTCTTCAAAACTCAATATGTGGGAAGAAAAGAACCAAAAATGCATTTTTGCTGAGTAAAATGAATAGAAAAGTCATCTTGTTCTATAATCCCAAAGTAGACTCTAAAATTGGTCTCCATATCATTGGCACCACCCAGGTCTGTCCCAGCCACTGTCACCTGGACTCTCTGTGCCTATTCTTTTCCCATCTATGGCATTCATTAGAGAGGCTAAAATTTGTGTGGGATCTTAGAGGGAAGAATGGCATGTAGAGAAAAGCATCATGAGACAGGGACTCAAAATGCAGGCTCTAGTCTCAAAAAAAAAAAAAAAAAAAAAATGCAGGCTCTAGTCCCCCCCTGACAGTGATTAGTGTGAACTGGGATAAATCAAATCCCCATTCTGGGCCATAGTCTCCTAAGCTTGGATGATAATCTTTAAGATTACTTCCAGCTTTTATGTTTCAAGAGACAATGCATTCTGTGTTCATTCCCCCCCGATTCAATAATTTCTCCTAAAGTGCTCTAAAGTAAACGTACTCGTCTTAGCTTAGACACATGAGTGACAGAGAACTCTGCCTCCCAGGGCATTTACTCCTTGTTGGTCGATTTGTGGTTTCAGAATATGCCTCTCTGTAGTTTCCTCCCATTGATCTTAGTCTGGACACTAGAATAATCCAGAACAAGAGACCCTACCTGTCCACATGATAGCAGTTTAAATATTTAAAGACATTATCCTGACCTCCATTCTCAAGTTACCCTCTCCACTTCCTTTCACTCTATGTAAATGATTTTCAGACACCTCAACATCTTTCTTGCCTATGCGGGGCTCCTCCCTAGTTTATCAATGCCCATCTTAAAATGTAGTTGCCCAAATTAAATTGTATATCCTTGTGATCTCAGCAGATAGCTCAAAGACTATCTCTAGTAATCTCAGAAACTGCTTCTCCGAATGTTTTGGTTTTATTAGTAGTGAAACAACAGCATGCACTGGCTGTTGATGTGGTGCTGATGGTGGTGGCTGATGTTTAAACCAGCTACATTATACTGTTGCTTCTCAGAGGTGGGGTTCCAGCTGAGCCTGAACTGGATTCAAAAGTTGCAAGTACAGTATATGAAGGATGGCTATTAATGGTGACCCACCGGCATTGATCATTCTGTAGCAGGTGATTTTCATGGAGGAAGAAGCCTGTGGGAGGGGTCTGGTGCCAGAGTGCCTGGGGATGGAAATGTGAAGTAGTGAGGACACGAGAAGTCAGTCAAAATTGTAGCCTTTAAGATAGCTTAGATCTGCGGAGAGTGGGGTTGGGAGTTAAATTAGGGTATACACAAGACTATGTGGGCCCGGGCACAACAGCCGACAGAAACTGGAGGAGGCAGCACCCTCCCTATTTCTGCTCATGACCTAGTGGAGTCCCATGGAACACCCTGCAGGCAGTAAGCAATAGGCAAGGGGGCAGGGGCAGGATCTGTTCCTAATGTAGCATGGGTGACATTTGGAGGATTCCAAGGAAAGCTTATGGGCTCTCTGAAGATGAACATGATCCCGTCTTTGGCACTGCCGGGGAAAACTGAGCTGGTAAGGTTCAATTATTACCGGTAATGAGAGCTCATTGGAACCAATAAACTGATGATGCAAATACTATTTGGGGTATATTAATATTAACTAACAGTTAATGTGACCTCTTTCAAATTCATGTCAATTTAAGACATTCAAGACTTCTCTGAAAAGTTCCCAGTAATGTCAAATATGCTGGCTTGCCTACTATACTTTGAGTAACAAGGAATTATAACACATGGCCATAGATCTCTAAAAGAATAGTATTGAGCTAAACAGTGCCCTGAACTTGAACTACAGGGTTGGTTTCATTGCTCTCTGCTTTGCTTCCATTTTTATAAATCCTCAGAAACTTCCCCTTACTTGCTAAAATTTAGACCCTGCTCACAACATTTTTGCCATCTTTGTGTGGTTACTGAAAATAAAGAGAAAACCTCATTTGTAAAGGAAATGCCTAGGAAGCAAAGCTGTCTACTTTTGGGAAGGGAAGAAATCTCCTTTTCTGAAGGACATATTAAAATTAATCATAGAAACAGATTTTGAACTTTCATCATATTTGACCTGACATTTGATTTTCCAGAATGACTAATAAATGAGAGAAGAGAGAAAAAGCGAAGTCATTTGAATATGATCCCTTCCCTTCCTTAATCTCAATATAAACTATCTAGGGTTGTGAAGAGACTTTAAAACGTAAAATCAAAACATGTGCTGGTGAGCTTCTAAATCTTATCATTTTGGATCCAGGGTGGTGCAGAAATGAGAGGGGTAGATGAGGGACTACAAAGAACAGAGGTTGTTTTCACCCTGGGTGACACACCCTGTTCTCACTCAGGTCCCAGCCCAAGAGGTTCGTTTTTCTTCTTTAAGTTTTGTCAGAGAATATTTTTAAAAAATAAAACATCTTTTTTTTTTATTTTTCCATAAGTTATTGGGGTACAGGTGGTATTTGGTTACATGAGTTCTTTAGTGATGATTTGTGAGATCCTGGTGAACCCATCACCTGAGCAGTATACACTGCACCATATTTGTAGTCTTTTATCCCTCACCTCCCCTCCCACTCTTCCCCCGAAGTCCGTAAAGTCCACTGTATCATTCTTACACCTTTGCATCCTCATAGCTTAGCTCCCACTTATCAGTGAGAACATACAATGTTTGGTTTTCCATTCCTGAGTTACTTCCCTTTAAATAGTAGTCTCCAATCTCATCCAGGTCATTGCAAATGCTGTTAATACATTCATTTTTATGGCTGAGTAGTATTCCATCGTGTGTGTGTGTGTGTGTCTGTGTGTGTGTATACATATATACATATATAACAGAGTTTCTTTATCCACTCATTGATTCATGGGCATTTGGGTTAGTTCCACGATTTTGCAATTGTGAATTGTGCTGCAATAAACATGTGTGTACAAGTATCTTTTTCGAATAATGACTTCTTTTCCTATGGGTAGATACCCAGCACTGTGATTTCTGGGTCAAATGGTAGTTCTGCTTTTAGTTCTTTAAGGAATCTCCACACTGTTTTTCATAGTGGCTGTACTAGTTTACATTCCCACCAGCAGTGCAGGATTGTTCCCTGATCACTGCATCCATGCCAACATTTACTGTTTTTGATTTTTTGATTATGGCCATTCTTGCAGGAGTAAGGTGGTATCACATTGTGGTTTTGATTTGCATTTCCCTGATCATTAGTGATGTTGAGAATTTTTTCATAAGTTTGTTGGCCATTTGTATATCTTCTTTTGAGAATTGTCTATTCATGTCTTTAACCCACTTTTTGATGGGATTGTTTTTTCTTACTTATTTGAGTTCATTGTAGATGCTGGATATTAGTCCTTTGTCAGATGGCTAGATTGTGAAGATTTTCTCCCACTCTGTGGGTTGTCTGTTTACTCTGCTGACTGTTCCTTTTGCTGTGCAAAAGCTATTTAGTTTAATTAGGTCCCAGCTATTTATCTTTGTTTTTATTGCATTTGCTTTTGGGTTTTTGGTCATGAAATCCTTGCCTAAGCCAATGTCTAGAAGGGTTTTTCCAATGTTATCCTCTAGAAATTTTAGTTTCAGATCTTAGGTTTAAGTCCTTAATCCACCTTGAGCTGATTTTTGTATAAGGTGAGAGATGAGGACCCAGTTTCGTTCTCCTACATGTGGGTAGCCAATTATCCCAGCACCTACTCCCCTCAAGCATCACACTCTAAAATCTCACACAGAAAACTCTTCCCCACAACCAACCTAAAACATAAGGCAGACACTCAGGGGCTAGAACACAAGCAGAAAGAAGCTTTACATTACACTCAGGGGTCGGGGGTACACAGGCACACCCACCATCATTAGAAGGCCATCTCTGACAAAGACAGCATCAACTCAGGCTCAACCTCCAGGGCAAGCTCGGCAGGGCTGGCCTTCCTCCTGCTTCTGCTACTATCTTGAAGCCCTGGGCTTGGCCCCTCCACCAGCAGTACCTTGGTAACCCTGCCCACTCGGGCTCAACTGACTTTTCTTCTGACAGTATGTGAAGAGCAGGTATGTTACACAGCACTTCCCCTCCAACAGAGGCTCTCTAAGCACTCTATACCAATATTAGCTTCAGAAGGTGAAGACCAGCTTCTTCTTTCAGCTAGCCAGGCCCAAGCAAGTCACGGATGAGAGAACACATAACTTGCATACAGATAGTAGAAAAGCAGCTAACTCAAGTAAAGCGTAGCCAGGCAGGAATCTAAACTGGGATGGGTGACTGATAAAGAATTTACTATGCCCTTCTATTTCAGCCTGCCAGTCAAGTGGTTGTTCTGTCCTTCCATTTACTTATATTCTATTCCTTACCTATTTAAAAAAATGAGGACGTTTATGACAAAAATCAAAAATCCAACTGACCCATTAAAACAAAAGTGGAAGAACCAAGACTTGGATTGAAAAACTAGGAAAACACTGACTTATGAAGCCTAAGCTATAGACAAATCATTGCAATCATCCCCCAAATTAGCTCTGTGCTCCTGGTAGTCAAGGTGAAAAAAGGAAAACTATTAATTTAAAAACTGTCATCTAATAAAAGGAAACACATTTTTTCATTAAAAGAAACAAAAATTTTTCTACCTGTAAACTCTAAGATGACCTCTCTACATATTGGGTTTTCCTAGTTATGATTAAATCATAATAAGAATGTCTTGTTATTTTGGGAACTGATACTGCTGTATGCCAGAGAGTCAGAGGCCACTGTCTTGCTTCTGGGTTTTACATATGCTGCTATGTAGGGAATATGTAATGACATTATGATGTTTAAAATTATACTTCTGAAATGAAAATGAAATATTGAACCTGAAAATCCAAACAACTCTAAAAATTAGCATCTCTTAGAATATCAATCATTTCCATATTACAGTCCCAGTGTCTTATGGAAGGAAGGTCCTTGCATGTTAAATATGGGGTAGGTGAAGCTCATCTCCTGAAATCTACTTTCCTATTTTTTCCCCACAGATGATGATGTTTAATTTTTAATGTTTTATTTTGGTAAATTAAAAAATTGTGATAAAATATACATAACATTAAAATGACCATTTTGACAATTTTAAGTGTACAATTCAGTGGCATTATGTACACTCATTTTCCCTTCCATTGATGCAGCCCCATCTCCACCCTAGACCCTCCTATAAGGAGAAAACCGATAGGCATTATTATTTTTATTGGAACTTTATATCTATTTACCTCTTAAAAAGAAGTTTTTCTCAAAAAGTGATGTTGATAATAAAGGAATGCATGAGGGATTTTCAGAGATGAGAGACAATGAGGCAAAGAAGTCTGGGTAAGAAGCCCTTCCATATGTCCTTAATAGAATACTTTCTTTCCCCCTGCCATCTTGGGGGTATAAGGAAGAAGGATGAGATTTAGAATTGCTACTTTGCCATGTGTCAGTTGCATAGGCTTTTAACCAGCATCTTTCAGTCTTGATGTCCTTATCTGTAAAATGGATGGTAGTAATACTGATATCACTGTTACTGTATACGTTAAATGAGGTAATACACAACAAGAGGTAACATTAAAATTGCTATGCCTGAATTGGTTATTACTTACGTGAAATTCTGCTTCTAATTAATACCATTAGGTTGCAAGCTCATTGAGGGTAGAGTCTAGTCTGAGCCCGAGCCTGAGCACATGTTGGCACTGAACAAACATTGGTTAAATGTATGGAAGGACCAAGATACTTGCATTCCACAGAAAATTCATAATGTATCTAGGATAATGAGAAGCAAAACTACAAAGAAGTAAATAGATTGAAAAAGAAAGTGAGTCTGTGTGATTTGTTGTGCTCCAGCCCCAAAGTGGGTGGAATGATCATTAGTTCATGAAAACTGGTACTCAGGTAACGGACACTCATAAATGAGTAGCACAACCTTCTGTAGAACAATTTGACAAAGTCATCAAAACCTTAAAAACAAACATATTAAGCCACAAAATTTCAATTCCAATTCAAGAAAGCTATGAGAAATATTCAAAGATGTACACAAACATGTAACTACACGGAGGTTATTATACTGAATACAGGAAAATCAGAAGCCACTTTCTTGCCCAGCAAAAAGGACTGGCAAAAAATATCACGTATATCCAGACAATAGGACACAATGCAGCCAACCTTTAAAATGATTGTATAGAAGAGTATTTATTGATAAGAAAAGGTGTCTAGAATATACTCAATTTTAAAAAAGAGGCTAACAAGCAATAAACACAAAAAGAAAAAATTGTCATGCACCACATGATGGATGGCGATGAACCGTATATATGACTGTGGTCCGGTAAGATTATAATACAGCAGAAAAATTTCTCACCTGGTGATATCATAACCATCCTAACATTATAGCACAGTATATTATTCATGTGTTTCTAGTGATGCTGGTGTAAACCTACTGTGCTGCCAGTCATATAAAAGCATAGCACATACAATTATGTATGGTACATAATACTTGATCATGATAATAAATAACTGTTACTGGTTTATGTATTTACTATACCATACTTTTAATTGTCATTTTAGGTTATACTCCTACTTATATATATTTTTTAAGTTAACTGTAAAACAGCCTCAGACAGATCTTTCAAAAGGTATTCCTGAGGAACGCATTGTTATCACAGGAGACGACAGCTCCATGCATGATACTGCCCTGAAGACTTCAAAGCAACAAGATGTGGAAGAGGAAGATGGTGATTTTGTTGATCCTGACCCCATGCAGGCCTAGGCTAGTGTGTGTGTGTGTGTGTGTGTGTGTGTGTGTGTGTGTGTGTCTTAGTTTTTAACAAAAAAGTTTTCAAAATTTAAAAAAGTTTTAAATAGAAAATGGCTTATAGAATAAGGATATAAAGAAAGAACACATTATAGAGTGGTATAGTATGTTTGTGTTTTAAGTTGTATTATTAAATGAGTCAAAAAGTTTAAAAAATTAAGAAGTTTATAAAGTAAGCTACAGTAAGCTAAGGCTAATTTATTACTGAATAAAAATATTTTAAGATAAATTTAGTATAGCCTAAGTGTACAGTGTTTATAGAGTCTACAATAGTATACAGTAATGTCCTAAACTTTCACATTTACTCCATTCATCCACCGACTCACTCAGAATAACTTCCAGTTCTGAAAGCTCCATTCATGGTAAGTGCCCTATATAGGTGTACTATTTCTAAAATCTTTTATACTGTATCTTTACTCTATCCTTTCTATGTTTAGATATGTTTAGACAAACACCATTGTATTCTAATTACCTACTGTATTCAGTGCAGTCACATGCTGTATAGGTTTGAAGCCTAGGAGCAATAGGCTATACCATGTAGCCTAAGTGTGTAGTAGGCTGTACCATCTAGGTTTGCGTAAGTACACTCTATGATGTTCATACAAGGACAAAATCTCCGTTGTTAATCAACACATGACTGCACATGTAACAATATGTTAACAATGATTAACACGATTGTACATGTAACAAAATGTTAACAACAAAATGTTAACAATGGGCTTATACTTACTCTTTCATGTTGTTTTTCTGAATTTTCTCATGTTTCTATGGTTAAGCATGAATTCTTGGTGTAATTTTAAGAAAAAAGAGTTAACAAGAGGAAAAGAAAAAAACTGGCCTAAAATACATTTCAAGGAATTTGGGAGGCTTGGGAAACACAGAAAAAGTCTTACAGCAGAAAGACCTATATTTCGATTCCACTGAGGCAACTGAAAGGGTGAGGTGGAGCCTAAAGGTACCAAGTCACCTGGTAGTTGGCTAGTATTTGTCCAGTGTCACGTGGTTAAGGAAAATGCCAATAATCCCGATCTCCAGCTTCCCCAGACAATGCCACACCAGCCTCCAGCCAGCCTCACTTAGAAACCTGTCAGCATCAGAGCCTTTTCCCTCCTATTTGAGGTCTGGCGATCTGCACAAAGCAAAGTGACCCATGCTCTGTGTCACTGGGCCAAGTTTCAAGGATGGAGCCCACTGTACCTCTTTCCCACCCCCAAGAGGGAAAGGTGAGGCAGGGGGCTTCAGGGCAAACATTCCAGCCAGTGCTCCCCAAACCATCAACGAGGCACCACCACCAAGTCTCGGGGCCTAATGAGGAACGATTGCTAAACAATCTGATTACTCAATTTTTTAACTTTGCTACACACACAAACACACACATGTTCACACAATATAAGCAGCAGAGAAGTATCAGTTCTGGGTTTCTGCAGTTGCTACATTTTTATATTTTCCGGTTGAAAATTGCTTCATTCTCTGCAAATATCCTTCCCACTTCATCTCTAGCCTTCCTGCTTTACTGAGAGCCCTGAAACTCCCCATGCCTGGAGTTTCTTTCTATTTTACTTTCTTTTATTTTATTACTTTCTATTTTACTTATTTTATTACTTTCTATTTTACTTTCTTTCTATTCTACTTTCTTTCTATTGAGTTTTTTAGTTCCTTATATATTTTGGATACTAACCTCTTATGAGACGTATGATTTGCAAACATTTTCTTTAGGTTGTCTCTTCACTCTGTTGATTGTTTCCTGTGCTATGCAGAAACCTTTTAGTTTGGTGCAATCCCAGTTGTCTATTTTGCTTTTGTTGCCTGTGCTTTGGGGATCACTTCCAAAAATCATTGCCCAGACCAATGTCAAGAAGATTTTTCCCTATATTTTTCTTTAATAGTTTTACAATTTCAGGTCTTACATTTAAGTCTTTAATCCACTTTGAATTGATTTTTTATATAGTGTGAGATAAATGTCATATTTTATTCTTATACACAGGTAGATATCTAGTTTTCCCAACATCCTTTACTAAAGAGACTATCCTTTCCCCATTGTATATTATTGACACCTTGTCAAAGATCAATTAATGGTAAATACATTAATTTATTTCTGGGCTCTCTATTCTATGTATCTGTTTTTATGGCAGGATCATGCTGTTTGATTGCTGTAATTTTGTAGTAGATTTTGAAATCAGGTAGTGTGATGCCTCTGGCTTTATTTCTTTTTTGCTCAAGATTGCTTTGGCCATTCAGAGTCTTTCATGGTTCCATATAAATTTTAGGATCGTTTTCCCTATTTCTGTATAAAATGCCACTGGAATTTTGATAGGCATTCCAATGAATCTGTAGATTGCTTGGGGTAGTTAACAATATTAATTATTTCTAACCATGAACATGGAATATCTTTCCATTTATTTGTGTCTTCTTCAAATTTTTTCATCAGAGTCTTACAGTTTTCCATGTACAGGTCTTTCACCTCCTTGGTTAAGTTTATTTCTAAGTATTTTTTTTTTTTTTTTTTTTGAGACGGAGTCTCTCTCTGTCGCCCAGGCTGGAGTGCAATGGCGTGATCTCGGCTCACTGCAACCTTTGCCTCCTGGGTTCAAGCAATTCTCCCACCTCAGCCTCCTGAGTAGCTGGGACTACAGGTGCATGCCACCACATCTGGCTAAGTTTTGTATTTTTTGTAGAAACAGAATTTCACCATGTTGGCCAGGCTGGTCTCAAACTCCTGACCTCAAGTGATCTGCCCACCTCGGCCTCCCAAACTGCTGGAATTAACAGGCATGAGCCACCATGACTTACCCATTCTTTCCTTTTAAACAGCTCCATATAAATCTCATAGAGATTCCTGTTGGACTGGCCTGAATGATATGCTCTCTGCACAAATCAGATGACTTGGGAGATAAATAAGCTTATTGACTAAAACTTGGGTCACATGCCTTCCCCTAGCTACTCCAAAGAAAAATTGAGGTGATGTTATCAGAAGAAGACAGAAAGGATGGAGGTCAGGCAAAACACTAGACAGGTGTGTGGTGGTCTTAGAAAGACTGCTGAGGGTATAGGTAAGGACTCCTCAAGGGTCAGCAGTTCTAAGGACCAATCATGTCAATAGCTCAGAAGCTCAAAGGTTTTAGAGAAAGTGGTGGAAACAACTTTCAGAAGCATCCACACTCCGGAGCTGAATCATCACAACTCCTAAATTCAGGGAAATATAGACTCATGTAAGCAGATGTGTTTCAAAAAGGCCTCATGGAGAATGTAGGACTTGCACTGAGTCTTCAAGAATGGTTAGGATTTGGGCTGAAAGATGGGGAGGGAGAGTAGCAGTAATAATCCGGGCCTGCATGAATAAAGGCAAGGAGTCTGGCTCAAATGCGGAAAACCATGGTGGGAGAGGAAGAGCCACAGCCTCACTATGAGATCAGCCTATAGGAGATGAGGAGGCATACTGGGCAAGAGGAGCAAGGGGTTTGAGTCTCCGGACTAAATTGACATTACTGAAAGTAGTGATTAACTTTCCCTCTGTCCTCCTCCTCTTTTTGCCTCTGAAGTTTTAACATTGTCAATATTTTGATTCTCCCTTGGTCTAAATTTAGGGGCTTTCTGTATTCCATTCTAATTGTTCCAAGGAGCAGGGTTGCAGAGCCCATGAGCCACATACAGGAAAGCATTCCCTCCAGCCCCTTCCCCTGATCCACCCCAAGCACATGCTTTACCCTATCAAGTGTCTTTTATGCCACAAGCCTGAGGTATCCATCCTCTCAGCAAGGTGTCCATGCTGCCGAGCAACAGGTGCGTGTTGACAAAGTTAAGGAACTCAGTTCCTAGGAGATGTAGTAGCTTAATTAGATCACTAGTAAGTAGAGATAAATATCTATTGTCATTCAGGAGAAAGCAAGGGGCTTGCAGACTGGGGCACAAAACAGGTAAGGAATGGAGAAGAAAGAGTTAAAGAAAAGTCTGAGAACAAGGAATCTTTTCAGAGTCTGGGAAGGCGGTCAAGTGAGAAGCCTGAACATACAGCGAAAAACACAGGCTTGGAATCAGAGAAACCTCAGTTTGAATCTTTCACTTACTAGCTGGGGGCAGAACTTAATCTCTTTTTGTAGATGAGGAACTGCAGGTTCCTTATCAACAAAACAAGGATAATAAAACTTGTGGTTTATTGCAGTTTTAATAAAGATGAAGGAAATAGAGTGCCTTGTTCTTCAGATCATTGTTCTGCCACTTCCCTGCTGTGAGTCCTTGGTCAGATTAACCTCTTTAAACTGCAGTTTCCTCATCTGTAAAGTAGAAATTATAAAAGCCCGTAGCTCCTAGGGTTGTGGTGAGGATTAAATAAGAAGATGCACATAACGAGCTCAATACAGTGGCTATTGTAAGCACCCAATACGTGTTAATGATTATGATGGTGATGCTGAATATATTAATTAAATCAGTTAGGATGCTTGCAACTGTATGTGACAGAAAACCCGGCAGAAGTGACTTAAACAGCAAGGATATGTTATTATTCACATGACAAGAAGTCCTGAGTTCAAGATGTTCCCGAATGGATAATTCATTGGTTCAAAGATTTCATCAAGGACTTAAGTTCTTTCCTGTCTTCACTCAGAGTTTCTCAGCAAGTTGGCTGTTTCTAACTTGGGTTGTCCCCTCATGGTTGCAAGATGACTGCCACTACTCCAGATATGATATCTTCTAACACCCTCCCACAGTGGAAGAAGGAAGAGAGCACTCTTTTCTTTTTAAGACAAAAGAAAATTTTTCTGGAAACCACCATGCACCAGCAGACTTTCCCTCATATCTCATTAACCAGAATTCCTATACATGCTGATGCCTGAACCTATCACTGGCCTCTGAAGAGATGAACAAAATCATGCCTCTGTGAGCAAGCAAGAAGGTGGTTGTGGTGGTTGAGAAGGCAACTGACATCAACCACCTCCATAATGGTGATGAAAACTATGGGCTCTTAGAGGACAGAGTTCTGGGAGGGAAGAGAGCCACATCTGGGACAGAGGTGAAGAGGACACTACAGTCATTTAATGGAGCTCCTAAGAGAAGAGTCTTTTGAGTCACAAAATTTGGAGTCACAAACTGAACTCTTGGCTCTGCCATTTCCTAACTGTGCAAACAAGTTATTTACCCTCTATGCCTTTGTTTCCACAGCTATCGAAGGCCAACATCTAATGGAAGCTTGAAAATAAAATTAAGCCACACAGAGTATGTGATTAATAAGTGAAACTATCATTAGTACTTCTGGCTGAGCAACAGGCACAGGCATCAGATTGGTTGTTATACCAACAGTCATTGAAATTATTGAATACAAACATTAAGTCTAGATGCAGTGCTTCAATAGACTCTTTCTTCTCCAGGATGAGAAAGCTTGCTCAGAATGAAGAGACAAGAAGTGGTTGTGGAGACAAACAGGATTCAAAATCAGATCCCACTGCTACCATTTAGGGAAAGTTATTGGGAAAGTTACTGAATCTTGGGAAAGTTATTGAACTGCCTTGTGCTCAGTTTTCTCATCTGCAACAGAGAGTAACAGCTCATTAAGTTATGAAGATTAAACAAGTTAATACAAATGCACGTGTAAACTGTGAATAAGGGCAGCCATTGTTAGCATGTTTACTGTTTTCATATAAAGATGCAGTTACTCTATTCTGTCTTTTATTTACTTTGCTAATTGTCACTACAAGAGGAGCAGTGAAAAATCTGGCTTCAATTCTTGTTCTTTCTCTTAGGAGCCACATGGCCTCCGAGTATCAGGTACTCCTTCAGTAAAAAGATTGGCCCACTTTTCTCTCCAGAGATGAGAGGTTCCAAATAAAATGTTTTGAAGACTGAAACTCAACATATGATGTCTCATTATTTATACGTATTATCTCCTGCGATTCCAATTTTTGTCTCATTCTTTCTTATCACCTACGCTTTTCTTTGGCTTCCTGCCTGGAACTTTTTCCTATACTATTTCACTACTTACCATAATCTCCAATATCTCTACTTTCTCTTCTATCCAAATCTTTATGCATCATTACTTACAATCTCTTAAATGTGCCTTAAACTTTTCTTATAGGATAGTGGTGTGTATATACATACATTTAAATTTATTTTAAATTTAATCTCTCCTTCTCAGCCCCACAGAGACTGGTATTAAATTAGCATATGTAAAACGCCAAAGAAGCATATAGTAGTGATTACTATAAACGCTAAATAAAATATGATTTCAACACCTGTTTGCTGAGGTCCTACTGTGTGTATAACACTGTGCTACAGAGATGACTGTAACAAGAGTTCCTGGCCTCAAAGAGGTGACATATTCCAGTTTGGGAGTTAAGACTTGTAAATAAGTAAGCACTATACATAAAACACTTCTAAAATAGTAAAGGCCTTTTAGAAAGATTGATGGGTTTATGTGACCCAGGTGGCAACACAGCACCCTCTCTGCCCACCAAGATGGTGTTCAACCCCAGCAGCAACTAAGACATGTCGAAAAAGATGTTCTGATGCCTAACATAATGAGAAAAATGGCCAGAGAGAGGTATTCTGAAAAAGTTCAAGATTTTACCAAGTGTTGCAAGAACTCTGGAATCCTTATGGTGGTAAAATACTGGAAATAAAATTCTGCATTGAAAGACTGTCTTAACTGCTTACTATAATGATCCAGTCTTTTACAAAGAATACAAAATGGAATACCTGAAGGAATGTAAGAACTCAGAAAAACTGGAATTTCTACTAAGTTAAAGCTACAGAAGCTTCCCATAAGCATGTAGGCAAATATTTGAATGTCACTCAGAACTCTAATACTCATGGAAGTCATTTCTAGTATAAATCACCTGAAATAATAAACTCAAGATAAGAATGTGTGTTTGCTTTATCCTAATTATAGAAATATTAATTTTATCTGAAATCAAGATCTTTTATTAAAAAGAAATTGATGGATTTCAGAGACTTTGAAGTGGATGTATCTGGAAAAAAAAAACCACTAAAAGCATTAACTAAAAAAAGGTGAATTTTCTTTAACAACATTTAATATCTTAAATGTTTCAGATTATGTCATTTTTCCAGAACAAATGAAACCTGGATGACAACTTGCTATAACTGTATTTAGATATTTATCAATTCCATCTGTTCATTCTTTCTTGATCCTTCCTGAGGAGGAAGCAGACTCTGGTTGTGTGTCACAGGGTGGGATTGTGGCCCCTAACCTGGGTGTTTAACTCCCAGAAAACAGAATGCTCACCAGGGTGCTTTATTAACAGTCTTTATTGGATGGAAGGTAGAATGAATTCCCTTTAACATTTCTGTTTCAGTCTGTGTTCTTGATGATAAACAACAGAAACCAACTCTGACTATATTAAGGAACAACATTTATTAGAAGGTTCTTAGGGGCTCACAGTCTACAGCAGGCTAAAGGTCAGGCTTGGAACACAGGCGGGAATCAAGGCTTCTCCACACAGACTAAGGCATCAAGACCACAGCCAGTCTCCCTCCTAACATTCATGAGGCCCAGAACAAGAGCACAAATAGAGCCCATGGTTGAGCTCACAACCTACTCACTTTTTCATCCTAGCCCCGCCCCATTTCACACCACAAGGGCCCTTAAGCACACTGGTGAGAACACTCAGCCCTCTTGTCTAAGCTCTTTCTACACATTGCTCACATTCCCAAACAGATGCTCCTGCCACTCTGAGGACCTGTGATTGCAAACAGTGGTGGCCTGATCTGCTCTCACAGGCTTTGGCCCCTTTGGGCAGGGAATCCCAGGATTCTGGGTACCCAGAGTATAGTCTAGGAGGATAGTCTAGAGAATATGGACTCTAGGTGAGCAGAGGTGAAGCCAGAAGAGATCACAGTGGGGCCCTCTATAGCCCAGGGGGGCCCTCCTGTCCAGGTCTAAAGAAGATCCTGCCTACAGCAAAGGTCTGTCACACAGCAAGACTCATTGGGGCTGCCTGGAACCACACTACTGGCATGAATGTCTACTGTTAGCAATGCAACAATGGGACACCACTCTCTCAAGAGGCCACATACAGGTGGCATCATCCAATGGCCAAGCGCAAGTCACCTGTCTCCCCCAGGCTATTCTAGGCAGGAAGAGGCCTCAGCTAGGCCCTTGGGCTTCCTCCCAGGACCATCACACAGAGTACAAAAGAAAATTAGGGTGCTATAAACCAGGATGATTCATTGGATAACCCTTAAGCATCAAACATTTATAGCTGTCCCTTACGACTCCACTACTTTTTTTTTTTTTCTTAAATAGAGTTCAGGCTGGTCTCAAACTCCTGGGCTCAAATGATCCTCCCAGCTCAGCCTCCCAAAGTGCTGGGATTACAGGCTTGAGCCACCTCACCAGGACTTCTATTACTCTTAATAGCTGTTTATTCTGTGCTGGATCTGGAAACATGACCACTGTCAAATACACCTAAGAAACAAATCTCTAGTTAATGTCAATTTGTGTGTGTGTGTGTTGGGTGGCGGGGTGGGATATACCCATCCATAAGATCACAGGACAAAAAAACCCATTTATTTTATTTAATTATTGTTGGCATTGATCTACCTTCCTACTCTTACTCATGTTCCTCACCCCACCTCAAAGATCTCTACTTGCTTGGAAGTTGTAAGTAAGCAAGACGACAGTCATGCACGGTGTAACAACATTTCAGTCAATGACAGACCATATATATTATAGCGGTCCTATAAGGTTATAATACTGTATTTGACTGTACCTTTTCTATGTTTAGATACATTTAGATACACAAACACTTACAATTGTGTTATGATTGCCTATAGTATTTAGTATAGTAATCTGCCTTATAGCATATAGCCTAGGTGTGTAGTACTTACACCATCTAGGATTGTGTAAGTACACGCTATGGTGTTTGCACAACAATGAAATTGTCTAACTACACATTTCTCAGAATGTATTCCTGCTGTTAAGCAATACATGACTGTACTAAGAAAGGTATCACAGACTATTAGATCAAAAATTCCTCTGATGGCATGAGACTCCAAGAGTCCTTTGAATATGGCAAAGAGGAAAACCCCAGTTCTAGGATCAAATTGTGCTGGAGTGGGACCAGAAACAGACCCTTCCACAATGACCCTCTCCTGAAAATAACCATCCTGGACACATGTTCAAGAGTTAAGTCACAGAGGGAAGCAGCAGACAATAATTTGGAGCAGCACAGAATCCTCACTGTATTAGTTTGCTCAGGTTATCATAACAAAATACCACAGAATGGGTGGTTTAAATGACAGACATTTATTTTCTCCCAGTTCTGGAGGCTGAAAGTCTAAGATCAAGGTGCCAGCTGATTCTGTTAATGAGGGCTATCATCTCAGAAAGGGAGAGAGAGAGAATTCTCTGATTTATCTTCTTATAAGGAAATGAATTCTATGGGATCAGGACACAACCCTCAGGATCTCATTTAACATTAATTACTTCCTTAGAGATCCCGTCTCCAAAAATAACCACACTGGGGGTTAAGACACCATATAGACATCATAGTAGGAATTTGTGGAGGGGACACAAACATTAAATCCATAACACTCACTAAACAGCCAGGGATCTTAAATTTTATGTTTATTCTCCTATTTATTAAAAGTGAGAGGTCCAGGCATTAATTGCACGCACATAAAAAATCATTGAGTGAAAGCTTTACACACAGATGCACATACAAGAGGAGGGGATAAAAACCCATCCTTTAGAAACATGGAAAGCTATGTGTGCTGACTTACAATACTGTAATGACCAAAACTTATTATTAAATGAGAAAAGCAAGTTGCTGAACATTGTGATGGATATGGTACTGACTGTGTAAAAGTAAGGAGGAATTATGTATACATCCATACTTGCATATGTCTGAACTATCTCGGAAGGGATATATGAGCGAACTGATAGACGTGGTGGCAGGGACCGATGGTTGGGGACTGGGAATGATGACTTTTCATCAATTTCCCCCGTGCAGTTTTTCCTGAAGGAAGTGTTGTGGAAGCAAACAAAAGTTGAGGTGCACTAGTTTATGATGTTGTCCCGCAGATCCACAAAAGAATGGAACATGTACAGGTATTATCTATTCAAAATTTTTACAGGGAAAAATAGAGAAATACATTGTGCAATTAAGCCAATAGGGAAGTAAGCTACAATGCAGTTAACAGCTATACCTAAACCCTCTCAGAGGACACAAGACTTTTACCCCACTCTCATAGAAGCAAAGTCTTAGGCAGATGATATAG
Source organism: Homo sapiens (assembly GCF_000001405.40). Lineage (NCBI taxonomy): Eukaryota > Metazoa > Chordata > Mammalia > Primates > Hominidae > Homo > Homo sapiens. The sequence goes on from NC_000005.10 coordinate 115,493,400, forward strand.
TTTTAAAGAAATCACTGGGAAATCTATACTTAATTGAAGCCTGGAATTTGCTTCTGGAATTTGTTTCCTTTGTTTCTCTTGCTTCCTGTTTATTTCTTAAGTAATGGAAGCACAAGAATCAGCAACATTATTTTCTAACCTTTGGAGAAATAACTAAACATGGACAAAGGAGATCCTAAGAAGCCCAGAGTCAAAATGTTATCATAAACTTTTTGGTGCAAAGTTGTTGGGAGAAGCACAAGAAGAAGCACCAAATGTTTTAGTCAGCATTTTGGAAATTTCTGAAACATGCTTTTAAGTGTAGAAGAACAGATCTAAACAGAAAAGAAATTTGAAAGCATAGCAAAGGTGAACAAGGACCATTATGAAAGAGGAATGAAAATTCATATTTTTCCCAAAGGAGAAAGAAACAAAAAATCCAAATAATTGTGCCGCTGACCAAATACTAGTTTGTAACTGAAAAACAAAGTTGTAGGAATTTCAGTGACATTCTTAATGTATCTAAATAAATACATTTTTAACTAGTAAAAAGGTAAAAAGATGATACCTGCTGTTTGAAAAAACAGTGGAATCCTCCAACATTGTTTGAATAATTGTTTTAAAAGATTTGCTTTTATCTGTTGAAAATGTGAGTTGAGGAACTAAAGCACATTTGGTGCTTAGCCCTAGAATACGTTCAGGGAGGAAAGCAAGCTTTCAGAATGCCAAAGTGGTAACAGACAGGAATGGCCTGACTTCCATCATCACACTTGATCTTGAGATTCCTCCAGGATCCCTGGCTTGTTAACTGATTTCTAGCAATTGCCATGTTAAGCAAGAACTAGGGGATTTTTGAGTTCAGTATTAGCATACAGGTACCTTTTCTCTCAAAAGAAATCTATTCTGGTGCATCAGCCCTTACCATTACACAGAAAAAGAAGGTGAGTACAGAGAAAAATGGGAAACAAGCATAAAGCAGAACTAGAGATGCTTCCTGAAGAGTACGCCTCCCAGAAGGAAAGGGGAGGAGGGGACAGCGACCTCTTTGTGACACGTGTGTGCAGGCACCTTATAAGCATCGTCTGATTTAATCCTTTCAACAACTCAATGAGGCAGGTACTGTTATTGTCCCTATTTTTCCAATGAGGAATCGGGAAACCCTTGCCCAAAGCTGCTCAGCTTTGAAGGTGTGTAAATTGCTGTGTTGAGCAGAGGTGAGAAAGGAGTGCTGATGGGGGTTGGGGGAGCTCAAAATCTCCTGCTTGCTCATAAGCTCACTTCTATTGCGGTCAACCTAATTTCACACATGGCCTGTATTCCCTTGTGCTAAAATTAATTTGTAAGATTGTCCCACATTTTTCTTCAGAGAGTGACTCAATTTGAAGGCACTTCGTCACCAGGGCACAAACATCTTTTCTAAGTGGGTACTGTTTCTGCTAATTAAGGAAGAGTGAACACTGGAACAAGCCAGGAGGGCAGTCTCTGACTCACCCTCTTTGGCTTCATCTGTGAAAATGGACTCGGGGGATTCAAAAGAAGAGAAATGATAAAAAGCAGGGCCAGGCACGACCCTTCAGCTTGTTGGAAAACATTTGAACGTGGCTTCTGTCTGACCCAGAAATAACATTTCTACAACTGAAATCTGTTTAGACAGTCATCAGAAATATCTCTGCCTCTTCTGTCTCCCAAAGTGCCTCTAGAGCCACAGCAAATCTCAACTCAGATTCTAGAACACCTCCTCCCATTGGCAAAGGAGGACCAAAGCTGTCTAATTTTAGGGTCTAACAGTTGGCATGCAATTAAAACTATATTTATTATGGGCCTCAGAGGAGAATAATTTATTTATGGGTAAATTAGAATCATTGCAATATAAACATGCTCCCACGGATCAGGAATTTGCTATGCTCAACCAGGGACCATAAGAACTCTGCCACTTTTACAATATGGAGCTCATTGTTTCAAAACAAGCAAAAGATCAGACATCTCTAATCCATATTTTAACATCAGTCTCAAATGCTACAGTAGGGATTCGGTCAATACTATCCATATTTTACCATTGGTCATGATTTGAGGTATTTGATCTTAAGAAACTAAGGGCAAAAAAAAAAAAAAAAGAAAGAGAGAAAGAAAAGAAAATGTTCTTCTTCCTGAAAAGAAATTATATTGGTATTAAAGTTCAGACTAAGGGTATTTTTGGTTTCATTTGGTTTTGGCTTTGAAAACTTTGCTGACCAGAGATTTAGATTGGGATAAATGAGTTTAATTATGCTGGTTTATTTTGTGTCATGAATTTGCTAAAATAAACTAAAGGAAAACATACCTTATATTTAAACAAGGAAAAACAGAAAAATAAATAAGATTTCTCTCCTGAGAAGAGGGTTACTATAATACTTCTGTCTGCCAATTCAGTATCACTGTTAATTTTCTCTTTAGGAGTTTTCCATCCTTATGAGAGCATGTCCCCACCTCCTACAGTGCAGCTTTATAAAAAGATATAAAGCATATAGAAAACACACAAAAGCATGTGTTGCTCCCAACTCTTCAAAACTATATCACAATGTTCTATGTGAGGTAAGTTATTTTTTTTTCTTCAACTTATTTTTGTGTTCTGCTGTAGAAAAAAAGTCTAAAACACACAGCTAGGATTTAGTTGTGTAGCTCTGTTATTTGACCTATTTTTCCAAGATTGAGGACTTCAAATTTTTGTAACCTGTGACTATGTTCTCTGGGTTATGTATTTATGCTCCTTTTCCTGACCCCCACCCCTCACCGCACTATCATGAATTGGCCCTGGCATAAGTACTTACACACGATCTCTAACTATACTCTTTTGTGGTCAAACCCATTCCACAGAAAGAGAAATGAAGAGCTGAAAATTATCCCTGAGCACCTCTCCTAAATGAGGACACAGTCACCCTCCCCTTGGATCAGTCTTCAGTAAAGCACCTATTGGTTTTTCATGGAAACATTCATTACTACATAAAATAATATTATTTATTTATTCATTTACTTGTTACTGTCTGTCTCCTCTCACTGGAACATGCATTGTATGAACTTAGGAAACTTGTTTTTCTAATTCATTCCTATATTCCCAGTCCCCAGAAGAGAGCCTGGCACATAATAGGGATTCAGTAAATGTTTGCTGAAGGAATGAATTTCCCATCGACTTTGGGAGTGCAAACAGTGGATCTATTAAGCAAATCCTTAAAGGTATCACTCAAGGATTTTTAGAATCATCTAGATAGAAGGAATCCCTTAGGTCATTCAGAGTTGGCAAACTTATTTTGTTAAAGAACCAGACAGTAAATATTTTCAGCTTTATAGGCCATATGGTCACTGCCTTGACTACTCAAGTCTGTCACTGCAGCATTACAGCAGCCATAGACATTATGTAAATGAATAAGCAAGACCGTATCCCAACGAAACTTTATTACAAAAATAGCCAGTGGTGGAGTGAAGCTTGCTGACCCCTCCTAGACCAATGGTTTCCCAATAATTTTCTATGAATGAGTTTTACCAAGGACAATAAAAAGAAGACATAAGGATTTACTGTGAGATTTTTCATCAAGTAAGATTATTTCAACTTGAAAATTATTTTTTTCTGAGTGTATGTTCTTTCCATCTTTTAGTCTTCGAAACATTTCTTTAGCTAAGTTATAGTGATAATAAATTGTGTATTGTTAAAATCCTTTCTTGGAAAAACAAAATGTTGGCAACTTTAACAAAGTTCCAAAATATTTTGTTGAAATTTTACTATCCAACAAATTCAAACGTCTGCCAACTCCCATGGCTCTAGTCCATACATCTTATTCTACAGTCCAGTTCTTATTTGCAGTCAAGTGAGTCCTTTCTGTCTAGGGTAAACAAAGGGGTTCATGAAAAGATCTGAGAAGCTTATAGAATCTGGGAGGACCAGAGACCTGAGCCCTAGGAGAAAGCCACCCCACACCACATGACTGTTTTGGCAGAACACACACTCCTGCTGTCTGTGGCACTGCATCTACATTGATAAGGGCTGATGCCAGAAACGCTGCCTCGGCTGCCCCCAAAGAACAGATGGCTCTAGCACCATGCCTGTCAAAAGAACTGTTTCCCATCCCACTCCTGTGCCCAGCCAATGCCTTACTATACTCCACCTCCGAGTCTCACAAAGAACCATCACCTTAGCTGAAGCAAGGTCACATGCAGAACCCCCACTTCAAGGGATGTGGAAAAATGAATGTTTAGCTCTCTACCCTCTTTGAACTGGAAGCCAAGCTAAAAGATGGCTGGAATGGGTGCTAAGCAAAACAGTTTATAGCATCTTCCAAGAGAATCCTGAGGCCTAGAGCCCTTCACCTTCAAGGGAGGGGAGTTTCAGCCCAACGATGGCTAAACTACATTTTTGGGAGGAAAAAGTAGCATTTGGAAAGGTTGTCTAGTGATTGACACAACGGGAACATTTTTAGCCCATTAGTGAAAGCCACAAAAGTAGAAAAGTGAAGAGCTTCCAGATAACTCAGATCTCAAAACAACTTTGCCTGATCACCAAAGCAAAAGGTAAGAAACACACAAAGAAAACCTTCTCAATCATTCAAATAATTGCTTTAGTGGGGTTTTTTGTTTTGTTTTGTTTTTCACTTACGGCACATCCTCAAACCCTGAAGTTCAATAGGGTAGGGTTGGGGTTGCTTCTCCTGAGTGATGAACCTTAGCTTCTGCAGGCACCTTTCGAATTTAAACAGTAATGTCAATGAAGCCACTCACCCCTGAATCCAGAGAGGATTCTCTTTAAATAAAATAAATATGAGAAATAACATTAGCTTCTTTGTATCTATTAACACATAATTGCAGTGAGATAAGAGCTAGAAACAATACAATTATACCAGAAACATTCCACTTACAAAAACAGTTGTTTACTGTGATTTTCCAGTAATCAGAGACTAAACACATCAAAATTTTAGTAGTGGTTATATGTGAATAGTGAAATTACAATGACATTCATTTTTGTAAAATATTTTAAAAAACCGTTTATACTAAGTATATAGTCCCTTTTTAAAAGAAAGCAATTTACTTTCAAACAATATGTTAATGTATAGATATAATGCATTTATTATTTTTACCCCTTCACCAAATAATTATAGTTCTTTAAGCGCAGGATGTTATCTAAAACATATAAGCCTAACAGTTATTTGTGATATTATCCCTTTCTCAAGCAGTTTATAATTAAATGATCAAAATTTAATAACAAATGATATCATCACAAATACTATAAAAGCGTAAGTATTCTTATAAATACTAGAAACTTCATTTTTGAGGAGAAAATGTGAATGCTGGTATGCACATGTAATTCTTGGAGGTACAAAGTTTATGATTCTGTGAGGGGATGAGGGGCTTGGGAAAGAGATGAAAGAACATTGCACTACAGAGGAGGAAAAAAAAGATTTGCACACAGAGTGGTTCATGTCTGCTGAGAATCTCTGTTCAGTGGTGTCCTCAATTTCTTACTAGAGCCCAGTGGCCAAAAATATCATTTGTGCAGATTTGTGTAACCAGTCCTCCTCAGGATTAAAAATACATTTTTAAAAGTTATAGCTACTGAATTTTCTAATGAAACAAATCAGGACAAAAGATGTTATGTCCTAGTCTGTGCAAACAGCAGATGTCTTAGCCCATTAGGGCTGCCATAACAAAAACATCATAGACTAGAGGGCTTAAACAAAAGAAATGTATTTCTCAGAGTTCTGGAGGCTGGGAAGTCCAAGATCAAGGTGCCACTATATCTGGTATCTGGTTAGGGCCCACTTCCTTGTTTTTAGATGTGTCTTCTCACTGTGTCCTCACATGGCAGAAGGGGTGAGGGAGCTCTCTAGGGTCTTTTTTATCAGGGCACTAATCCCATTCATGAGGGCTCCACCTCATGACCCACTCATCTCTCAAAGGTCCCACCTCCAAATACCACCACATTGGGGATTTGATTTCAATAAATGGATTTTGGGGGGACATATGTAATCCACAATAGAAAGCTAAAATAAAAAAGAAATAGAAAGCTAAAAATACTCGAGATTTGCCAGCCATGTTCTGAATAAGCTAATCCCCTCCAGAATATTATTTATTCAGTTTTTCACTTCTTAAAGTAGAAAGCAAAGCTTTAAAGAGGTTGGGCCATGCCCCGTATTAATCTTTTTTGTTTTAACTAACACATAATAATTATATGTATTTATGAGGTATAAAGTGATGTCTCAAAATATATATACATTACATAATGATCAAATCATCATGTAGCACATCCATCACCTCAAACATTTATCATTTCTATGTGATGGGAACATTCAAAATCCTCTAAGTATTTTAAGATATACCTTAGTGTTTACTATAATCACCCTACTGTGCAATAGGATACCTAACTTATTCTTTCTAATTTTAACTTTGCACCTACTGGGCAACCTCTCTCCAATCCTTCCCTTCTCAGCCTCTGTTAACCCCTATTCTATTCACTATTTCTATGAGATCAACTTTTTAAGATCCAAAATATGAGTAAGAACATGTAGCATTTATATTTCTGTGTCTGACTTATTTCATGTAACATTATGTCCTCCAGGTTTACCCATGTTGTCACAAATGACAGGATTTCATTTTTTTTAATGGCCAAATAGTATTCTGTTGTGTGCAAGTACTACATTTTCTTTATCCATTCATCTGTTTTTGAACATTTAGGTTGATTCCATATTTTGGCTATTGTGAATAGTGCTGCAATAAACATGAGAGTGAGGCATCTCTTTGACATACTGATTTTATTTCCTTTGGATATATACCCAGCAGCAGGATTGCTGGATCATATGGTAGTTCTATTTTTAATTTTTTGAGGGACCTCCATATTGTTTTCCACAGTGGCTATACTAGTTTACATTCCCACCAACTGTGTGTGAGGGTTTACTTTTCTTCATATCCTTGCCAACACTTGTATCTTTTGTCTTTTTGATAATAGCCATTCTAACTATAGTGAAGTGGTATCTCATTGTGGTTTTGATTTGCATTTCCCTGATGATTAGTGATGTTGAGCATTTTTTTCATATGCATATTGGCCCTTTGCATGCCTTCTTTTGAGAAATGTCTATTCAGGTCTTTTGCTCATTTTTAATTGGATTATTTGGGACTTTTGGGGGTGGGTTTGTTGCTACTGAGTTCCTTATATATCCTGACTATTGACTCCTTTTCAGATGTATAGTTTGCAGATATTTTCTCCTATTCTGTAGGTTCTCTTCACTCTGCTGATTGTTTCCTTTGCTGTGCAGAAACTTTTCAGTGTGATATACTCCCATTTGTCTAATTTTTTGCTGTTGCTTTTGGTCTTATCCAAAAAAAAGTAATTGCCCAGTCTAGTGTCATGAAGCATTTCCCATGTGTTTTCTTCCAGGAGTTTTATAGTTTTGGGTCTTACATTTGTCTTTAACCCATTTTGAGTTGAATTTTCTATATGGTGAAAGACAGGGGTCCAGATTCATTCTTCTGCATGTGGATATCCAATTTTCTGAGCATCATTTATTGAAGAGACTGTCCTTTCTCCATTGCGTGTTCTTGACATCTTTGTTGAAAATCAGTAGATTTTCTTGGCTGTAGATGCATGGATTTATTTCTGGACTTTCTATTCTGTAATCCTCTTTCTTTGGACTAACTTGAATATTCTCTTGTGGCCAATTTCCCATCAGAGATTTTTAAAGAGCAGCATCTACACAGTGTTCTGAAACCTGCTTCTCCACCAACATTGAAAACACTGGTCTTCTGGTAGCCTCTCAGCTGGGTTTATATTCAGGAGATTCATTTACAAAGAAATAGTCTTGTTCGTCAATGTCTAGGTTGCAATTTAATCACATTTTCATAAAAATAGAGTTAGTATTAGAACAAAGTTGTGTTCTGACTACAGAGTAAAAAGGAGATGTGTCGCCAGGGGACAAAACTGGGACCAATGTGTGGTCATTCCAACTAAAGCATTTTAGCCAGAATGGAGCTAATACTTAAATATGTATTTGGAGTTGGACCACACCCCTTTCTCCTCATATCTATTTATGTCTACTGATCTAAATGTAAGCTGGAAAAAAAAATGTGTCTACAGTTGGGTCCAGACATATACAGACAAGGCTGACAGCCTTTAGGACTTTGACAGAAGCCAGCTTATGGGATCAGAGAGGCCTGTAAGAGTGAATTTACCACTTTGAGGCAGCCTGGCAGAGTCGGCAGCAAGACTTGCATGTCAGAGACAAGTGGTTTCAGATAAACAATATTTGAATCCATCCTGACCCAACTATGTGGGGGCATGTTTGTGCCCTGGGAAAAAATATATTTGTAGTCCAGGACTGATAGAGCTGTCCCCAAACTCTGCAATGCTCCAGAACTGGCAAAGTCCTCTGCAGTAGTGGTGCTTCAGAGTTAACACATTCAGATGTTAATGTTAATGGGCTGTGCCCTTACTACATGCTAGAGAAGCTGAGGGATATTCAGGCTTCATGAGCACGATTTTTTCCTCAATATAATTGTTTAATAGAGACTCACATTAACAGAACTTTTTGCCTTATAATAAATATAGTTACCTCCCCAGCACTGGAAGTATTTAAACAGAGACTGAAAAATCTTCATTGAATGGAAAGTTGGCCTAGCCAGACTTAATGTCCCTTCCAGGCAGCTGTGCTTCTAGTTAAAATGTGGGCTTAAATGTGCCTTTTTTTTTCTTTTTTTTTTTTTTTTTGCTGCCTTTGTTCAGCTCACATGCAAAGGAGAAAGTGTTAAAATCGTATCAAGAAGCCAACTTTCCTACTTCACTGTATTGCTATGATGGTTAATTTTATTTGTCAACTTAGCTGGGCCATGGAGTGCCCACATATTTGGTCAGACATTATTATGGGTGTTTCTGTTCTAAGTTGGGGTGTTTCAGGAAGAGATAAACATTTAAATTGGTAAATTTTAACATGAGAGTGACATTTGAATTGCTGGAGTAAAGAAAATTGCCTTCCATAATATAGGTGGGCCTCATTCAGTCAGTTGAAGGCCTGAATAGAACAAAAAGACCAACTTGCCCCTGAGTAGGAGAGAATTTTCCAGTAGACCTGCCCTTGAACTTCATCTGTACCATTGACTCTCCTGGGTCTTGAGCCTGCTAACCTGCACTGCAGGTGTAGACTTCCCAGCCTCTACAATCCTGTGAGCCAATTCCTTATCATAAATTATATATATAATTATGGAATTATGCATATATATCACACACGAGATCTATATCTATTTACCTATCTATCTAATTTGATCTCTTTCTTTGGAGAACTAACAGAATGCAACTGCTTTCTCAGTCTCCTTTGTTAACTCTGTCTCAATTTTCCAATCTCTACTCATGCCTTTACCTCTGTCTCTTATCTTATATCCTACCACTCTCCCACCATGGCCTTTCTGCTATTCCTGGAAAATCCAAGCCTAGAAAATTCAGGCTAGTTCTCACCTCAAGCCCTTCACATTTGCTCTATCCTCTGCCTGAAGCAGTATGTCCCCAAATCTTCACAATGGCTTTCTCCTTTATAGCATTCATGTCTCAGCTTAAATGTCACCTCCTCAGAGGGGCTTTCCCTGAATACACTGCCTATCCTCTTTTCTCCCCTACCTACATCCCCTTACACTGGTTTGATTTCTTCATAGTACTGACCAAAATCCATCTGCAGAAGAGGCTGAGCCTCCAGACCATGCAAAGCCTACCTATTCTGCTACAGAGGAAATTGCTGCCTCGTACCTGTTTAGCCCAGATAGCAAAGACAGAGAGACAGAGATACCCAGAAGTGCCTGCAGAAGGTAGGTTTGGGGCCTGACCCAGGTGTGCTTACTGCATGGGGGGCAGGAGTGAATGGAGAATGCAACTATCTTAGAGCAGGCTGGCCAGAGAGACACCTGACAGGTCTAAGTCAACAAGCTTCACAGTCGGGTAATTATATCTCCTTTGGAGTAAGGAATGGAGAGAAGGGCTGGTAATGGAAGAACCTTTGTGGAAAGATGAAGGCTGGGGAACAGGGATCTGACAATTTAGGGTAATAAAAAATATTGCTTGAAGTGATTGGCAGAAAAGCAAGTAAAGTGACTAGTGTGTCTCTCAGAGATCTCCTCCAACCATAACTCAATGCTGGAAGAAAATGCAGCATCAGTGATGACATCCAACACCTTATTTTTTAATATAGAGCATTGCTCACACTCTACTGGTACCTTGCCTATGACAAATAAAAGCAGGCATTGCCCCACCCTTAGCTCAACATCCCTTCTGCATGAACTTGGTTGCATAAGTTAATTATCTTCCTACTCCTCCTGCCATTCATGTCATTTACAACTTAGGTTGCTTTTCTCTTGAGCAGCTTTATTCTCCTTCTGCATCTCTGTGAATATCTTGTTTAAATCGTAGTTTCTTCATTTCAAACAAGGAGGCAATATGAAAGCAACAGGCTTATTGTGCAGAATCACACATGTTAAAGGTGTTAAAAAATACTAGAGAAAAGAAAAGATGAACACCCTTTTCTTCTTTCATCTTCCAAAATGAGTTCATCCATCTCTGCATGGATCAGCCATCCAGAGATGTGAGCCTGGGCAGGGCTGGCCTAGCATTCCACACGTGAATTCACTAGGCCAGGCCCTGCCCACGCTCACATCTCTGCTTGGCTGATCCCCCGTGTGTGCCTTGGCTGATTCCCCCATGTGTGCCTTCTACTGTTTCTCTTGACAGCAAATCACAAGTGAAAAAGTGGCATTCTGGCAAATTTTAATAAATTTTGAACACTTCCAAAGACAAAAAAGGCAACGACAACTGAATATGAACCTTCAAAAACCGTACAGGACACATAGTTGTTTTAAACCATATAAAAAGAAAACTTGTAGGAATAATAGCAGCATATGTTTGAATGAACACTCATATCACACTGTGTCTCCCTGAGAAAGCCATGAGAACTGATTGGGAATCTAAAGTCATTCTTAAATACACAGATTCTTAACACAATTGCCTTCTAAAGTCTTAGCTATAACTAGGTATTTAAAGAGCACAGAAGTCTCTTCAAGCGTTCTTTTGCAAAACAGTGAAACAATTTTTATTGAAGCAAGGATTTATTACTAAAAAGATAAAATTTAACTGTGTTTCAGTTAGGATTCTTCAGCTGCAAGCATTAGAAACTAACCCCAGATAACTTAGCAAATAATAGGATTTATTAAGGGCATATGGTAGCAGATACTTGCTGAGGGAAAGCTGAAGAACCAGGTCTCAACAGGCACAGGAACCAGGCTGCTCTGGGAATCTAGGTAGTTGAAACCAATAGCAGGGATTTCTTCAAGATGCCATTGTTGAGTTGAATGAGTGCCAGCCATTTTTTAATGTTTGTATTACATCAAGATTCTAATCAGGAGATAGTGCATCTGATTGCCCCACCTTGATCAGTGTTAGCAGAACAACCCCACTAAGGCTGTAACCACCAGGGGAGGAATTAGTCTCAAACAAAATCATAAGGCTGTTTCAAGAAGACAAGAACAGATGATGCTAGGGTGGTGGTGGGAAGGAGAATAAATGTCCACTCCAGACCACCAGGTGACTCACTGATAAAAGTGTTTTCATCTCTGTTACGTACTTTTAAGTATTAATTTGATGACAGCATCTAACATAATACATTATGTCAATGTAATGTAACACAATATTGACTTAGCAATCCAGGATGACTTCTTTGCATGGTGATTGTCATAAATTTATACCAGAAGGAATATCGTATATTCCAACGGAGATACTGTCTCCCTTTCATTTAGAGAGCAATGAAAAAGAGTGCATGCCATATATTTATTTTGGCATGTATTTCTCACAGTGTGTATGCCATATATTCGTGTTCTCTTTTTTTGTTTTAATACTCAGGTGTATGTAAATTTCTGCACTCCTTGAAGACCCATAAGCTAAATAGTCTTGCTTTTTTTCACTTTTGAGCTATTAATATTATTTTGAGGAGACACATGTACTCCAACCATAGATAGTTAAATTGTCTTAATATTTCCTATGAATCTCTAAATGGCCAATGTTTAACAAAAATTTTTTTCATTGTAGATTTTATTTTTATGTTCCATGTTGCATTAGGCCATTCTTGCATTGCTATAAAAAAATACCTGAAGCTGGGTAATTTATAAAGAAAAAGAGGTTCAATTGACTCACAGTTCTGCAGGTTATACCTCATGGCTCCAGTACCTGCTTCTGGCGAGGGCTTCAGGAACCTTACAATCATGGCAGAAGGTGAAGGGGAAGCAGGCATATAACATGGCAGAAACAGGAGCGAGAGAGCGAGGAGAGGTGCGACATACTTTAAACAACCAGATCTCATGAGAACTCACTTTCAAAAGGACAGCACCAAAACATTTATGAGGGATCTGCCTCATGACCCAAACACGTCTCACCAGGCCCCACCTCTAATTTTGGGAATTACGTTTCAACATGAGATTTGGAGGGAAGGGCTGGTAATGTAACATCGAAACAATATCACATGTGAACCAACAATCATATGCAGAGTTCCTTTATTTATGTCTTTGGATTTTCTTTAATTTTTAAGATTCTGATAGCTAAAGGAATATTTGCTCTTTCCTTTCAGTAACAAAATTAAATTAATCTTTAAAATTTATAAATATTTGACTATAAAAATTCCATTAGGACTCATGTATAAATATATACTGCCAGTGACTGCTGGCTGCTGTGGTTCAAAGAAGAATGAAAATGACTGGATTATCAAAAGCAGGACAGGTTTTGTTCTATAACTGTTAAGAAAGTGACAAGTTGCCAAGTATTTGTCTAGAGCCCCTGATTCCTCTTCTTCCCCTCACACTCCTCATTTAATCCACCAGCAATCCTTTAGGAACTACCTCCAAGTGTTAGCCTGTTTTTCCACTTCTTCCCATTTCCACAGCTAACACCCTAGTCCCAGTCTCCTTCTTCTTGCCCACAGCAAGAGCCCTTTAAAGGTTTCTAAGCTTCTACTTGCAACAACTGATTCTCTAGGCAGCAGCCAGTTATGTTTTAATAACATGGAGTATGTCAGTTCCAGGTCAGAACCATCTCTCAGCTTTCCATTACACCCAGAATAAAACCCTAGCTCCTCCACATGGCCAACAAGACCTGATATAATGCACCTGTCAACCTCTTCCACACCTGTGCTATGTCCTTGCCATTCCTTGAATGAGCAAGTGAGAGCCCATCTCAGACCCTTATGCTTGCTCTTCTCTCTGCCTTCCACACTGTATCTCCAGAAGGCTGCACAGCTTGCTCCTTTCTACCTCTTAGATCTCAGTTCAAACAGCCGATCCCTGGAGAGGCCTCCGTAATCAGTCACCTCTATATTGCCCTCCAGTCCCATTCTCACTCACTCTTCATCCCTCTACGTTGGGATTTTCTGCAGCACACATAATCTGACATTCTTTTTGCATGTTTCTCTTTCATGGGAAGATAAGATTGATGAGAACAAGAACTTTGTCTTAATTGCTGCTAATTCTCCAGCCCTGTAATGTCACCTATCACATAGTATACTCCCAATTAATACTTGTCGAATGAATTTTTCTACTTCCAAATACAATGTCTATTCCCATGAGCTATTTATGAACACAGTTACCATAATGGAGAAGACTGATATGAGTGCCACAAAGGTGAGGGTGAAAGTCTAAAAACGTGGTGGTACAGAAACAAAATGAGAAGAGACCCTGAAGATCCGTAGCCTTTCAGATAACCTACACTGTACCAGACAGTATTATTACTGAAAGACTGTCAGTAATTCCCTACTCTGTGTACCTTACAGATCTCTGGCAAGAAAGCATATTCACCTGAGGGTGTAGGACCTTAGAGGACAAAAAGTGACGAGGAAGTGCCCGTTCTGAAGCAAAGGAAACCAGAAATCTAGGCCTTCTTCAAAGTCTAGGCCTGTGTTTTGACATTAAATAATTTGCCCAATCTCCTCTGCAGTTGTGATCTAACTCTGACCCTACTTCGTCTCTGAAAACGGAAACAGACACATGGTAAGTGTAGTGGCAAGAACTCTGCACTTGGAGTCAGAGAGCACAGGCTTGATGTTATGAGTTCTGACACTTAGTAACCTTGTGACTTTGGTCACGTTTCAGGTGAATGCATTCCCTCATCTGTAAAATGGAAATAATGCACCTCCTTCACAAGTTATCATGGAGAGTCCATGAGATGTGTCTGTGAGGGAGCCGAGCCTAATGCTTACATGGAAGTGCTCAGGGTATATTCGTTTCCTTCCATCCTTCAAACTCTATAGCTCTTTGCTTTTCATCCATCAAACACGAAACAATGATTTGGCAGGCCATATAGGCTTCTAGAGCATCAATACACAGGCTTTAAAGGTTTGTTTTCTGAGCTTCACATAACCAAATGTATTACATCTAATCAGCCAGAGATGCAGTCTTCTTTGGCTAGAAACAGTCTCAGATCTTGAAAATACATTGCCTTCACTGCATTTTATTCTCAGTGCATCACTAAAATGACAAGCTGCTTTCCTCAGAATGTATCAGGAATTCTGTTTCTTAGCAACACTCCTCCCACAGGCAATAAAAGACAGAACATAATTCCTTTGAGCATTAGGAGTCTGCTCGTAATACTGAAAATGTGGCCAATTTCCCCTTATATGCAGAATTAGAAATCAGTTCTCCATGTTTGAAAGACAATACAATTGAGACCCTTCAAAGTATAGCTTTTGAAAAGTTTAGCAAATTTCTTATTCTAAGGCCTGCTATTTCAGGCCTTATTTTTAATGATGTTACAGAATTTTACTGCATTAGGTCATGATTCAAAATTAAGAATGAAGCATTTCTAATTCTAAGCTCTTTCCTCCTACTACCTCTCAAATTTCCCATCTTTTGAGAAAGTATATCAACATACTCATTTTGACTATCAGCTGCACTCTTCAGTTTTGTATTCCAGATTTCAAAAAATAAAATTTTATTTTTATTTTTTTGAGATAGGGTCTCAGTCTGTCATCCAAGCTGGATTGCAATGGCATGATCACAGCTCCCTATAGCCTCAACCTCCCAGACTCAGGCAATCCTCCCACCTCAGCCTCCTGTGTAGGTGGGACTATAGGCTTGCGACACCATACCCAGCTAATTTTTAAATTTTTTTGTAGAGGTAGGGTCTTGCTATGTTACCCAGGCTGGTCTTGAACCTTTCGGCTCAAGGGATCCTCCTGCCTCAGTCTCCCAAAGTGTTCGGATTACAGGCATGAGCCACTGCATCCAGCCTACATTTTTAATCAAGTATAAAATAAGCTCATTATAGACATAAAGTTTGTTTAAAGGTTAAAATCCAAATACGTCTAGTGTTTATATTAATGATTCACTTTTCCATCAAATAATAATACTATTACTTTTATTTAGAAATTATATGCCAAGGGCCGGGTACGGTGGCTCACGCCTGTAATCCCAGCACTTTGGGAGGCTGAGGCGGGCAGATCACGAGGTCAGGAGATCGAGACCATCCTGGCTAACACGGTGAAACCCCGTCTCTACTAAAAAAAAAAAAAAAAAAAAAAAAAAATTAGCCGGGCACGGTGGCGGGCGCCTGTAGTTCCAGCTACTCGGGAGGCTGAGGCAGGAGAATGGTGGGAACCCGGGAGGCGGAGCTTGCAGTGTGCTGAGATCAAGCCACTGGACTCCAGCCCGGGAAACAGAGCCAGACTCCGTCTCAAAAAAAAAAAAAAAAAGAAATTATGTGCCGGGTACTCTACTTAGCCTTTTAAATGCTTTATTCTCTCCTCATAAAAACCTTGTGGGAAAAGTATTAATTCTCACTAACCATGGAACTGAGACTTAGAATAGTCAATTAACGAGGTCAAGGCCACACAGCTAGTAAATAGAGAGCCATGTAAATAATATATTAATCTTTACTCTCCAATATTTATTTGTTCCCTTTTTGTCTTTATTTTGTGCTCTGCTCGTCACTATCTTTGACCTAGTTTGTTGAATCTAATTGAATGAATAAAACCACATGTAAGTTTACACTTCTAGAAAAGGTGATATTCAGTAGTTTACCAAGGACATTTGAATATATCCAAAATTAATACTTAATCCTTTTACACTGTCATTATATATTGCAAAGATCCAGAATTAACACTTAATCCTTTTACACTGTTATTGTTGGTTGCCAAGAAGATATGTTGAATGAATTCAGTGTAGTAAAAAAGTTTCAGTGAGCTATGAGTTATTTCAGATAAGATTCTCATCACCAGAGCCAAACTATTTTTCATCTGTTTGACAATAGGGTGATTTATCCCATCTTCTCTATGTCTGCAATTTTGTCATGTCCTGCGAATAACTAGGTGACTAGCAAGCAAAACAAATTTGGTCACAATTATTTAAAGTGTGCTGTCATCTGATGAATCTAATTTTTTCTTAGACACGTGACACTTGATGGCTTGCATGTTCTATGACTAAAAACAGTCTTGCCATTATAATTTAATAAGCCACTCCTTAACTTCAACATGAACACTCCAGCAAATGCACTATCTGTTATGCTGTTGGCACAATCCAACAAAATGCATTATCATTCAGCTTTATATTAAGTAGTGTCTTGGGAGAGATCTCTCTCTTTCCATATATATAGAAATATATGAGTATGTAGATATATAGGTATTTCTCTATATATTTACATATATGTATATGTTAAATGAAGTGTCTTAAGGATAAAAATATAATAGATATTTAAAAGAGTGCTTATGATGAAAGAATGTCTTAAATACACATTTCTTCCTTTAGCTACCTTGGGATAGTAGTCCATTGCTAGAGGCATATGACATTATTTTAAAGGGCCATTAAACATTAAATGATTCATATACAAGTAAATAAGAATATAAATAAAAGTTGTACTTTATACACTAAAATAACGCACAAGTGAATTTTTCTAATAAATTAAAGGAAATGCACTATACAAGCTCTTAACCTCCTTGTACCCTGGACCTTGCAGGAAGGTTTATTTGAGTTAGGACTGCAGTCTGTGACTACAAAATGAAGACAGGCTCAATGGCTCAAAAGGTTCTCAGTCCCAAATCTTGGCCTCATTACAGGTTGCTCTAAGCAACTTTGTTTTCTCTTGTGGCAGAGGAATGACACTGTTCACATTCAGAACTGAATTCTATGGGCATACCCAGGGTCACATATGATTCTCAGCACAATTATAATTCTATACTTTTCTGATCTATTAACAAAGTGTAATTAAACTTTGGGGAGAATGTCAATATAAGAATGTTCTTAAATCAACTGTGATTTATAAAACAGCAACTCCCTTAATACTTGGTACTTATGATCCAGCATAGTTTGAAATGACGGTGGTGGATTAGCTTAGTACAGACAATTCTCCCATTCCAAACACGTGGAAAAGCTAGATACATGCACAAAAAAAAATTATTTAAGTAAACGGCTAAGCTTGAAAGGAAAATCCATAAATTTCAAAAATGAAGAGGGTTATTCAAAGTCAGAATAGTAAGTGTATGAGAAAATACCAACTTTAATGGGGGTGAGACCATCTAATGGCTAGGGACTGAGGTTTTAGCACCTACAGAAGGCATCTCCTTGAGACTCAGTTAAACAGAAGCTGAAACTTATCTGAAACTGAATTTCACATAATTGCAGGAACTCTGAAAAGACTATTCCTTGCATAAAGGGAGCCAAGAAAACTTTAGTTTTCAAGTCCAGGGACACAGCAAGAAACTTCCATTGTCTGCCCATTACTCTGGGTTGGGTTAAAAACCAAATGCTCCCATTAAAAACTGGAACTTTAACCCTGCACTTGGTACACTGAATCCAAATTAACTCCATCATCTTCATATAAAATGCCCAAGATGGAAATTTAACATAAGAAGCTGATTCTGGAATTGCTGGGGCCCTGATTACTGTGATGGAATTCTCCCAAAGCCCTGGGCTTACAGATTTTCACTTGGAGAAATGCTAACTGCTGAGCATACCTACAAAAATACAGTGACAATCTACATGAGACAAGTATCCATCAAGCAGTGAGCAGCACTACAACAGGAGGATCAGCACTCTAAGAATTTGAGGTAGCATAATCAAAGGAGACCAGAAAGTAGGGAAGTTTTAAATGATATGTAGAAACTGAAGACAAACAAACAAAAAAAATGGGTAAACTTGTAAAGAAGAAATAGAACTTCTAAAAATAAAAATACAGGCATAGAAATTAAAAAAGTAATAAATGTTAGCAGACAAGATAGGAAGTAATATCATTTGTGAATAGAAGATTTAAGAAAATTAGAACCAAGTACAGAGAGATAGAAGATATGTGAAAAATTAAGACACAAAGAACGGATTGGAAAAGTCTAACAATATGCCTAATAGAAGTTTCAGAAAGAAAGAATAAAGAGAATGAGAGTCCATAGAAAGATATAATGAGTAATAATTTTCCAGAACTAAAAAGAAAGACATGAGTCCACAGATCAAAGAATCATACTGTGGTCACAAGCGGAATAAATAAATAAATCAAAAACAGGTTTCATCATAAACTGAAAAATGCCAAAGACAGAGAGAGAATATCTAAAAGAACATGAGAAAAAAAAAGATTACTCACAACGGAGCAAAGAATGACTGAACTCACTAGCATCAGAGGGCAAAAAACAATAGATTAGTATCTTCAGATTAGTATCTGAGGGAAAAGTAGCTCCTGGGGCTGCACCATGGCATCCATGGGAACCCTCGCCTTTGATGAATATGGGCACCCTTTCCTCATCATCAAGGATCAGGACCTCAAGTCCTGTCTTATGGGACTGAGGCCCTTAAGTCTCATATAGTGGCAGAAAAGGCTGTAGCAAATATGATGAGAACATCACTTGGGCCAAATGGGCTTGATAAGATGATGGTGGATAAGGATGGTGATATGACTGTAACTAACGATGGGTCCCCATCTTAAGCATGATGGATGTCGATCATCAGATTGCTAAGCTGATGGCGGAACTGTCCAAGTCTCAGGATGATGAAATTGGACTTGGAACCACAGGAGTGGTAGTCCTGGCTGCTGCCTTGTTAGAAGAAGCCAAGCAGTTGCTAGACTGAGGCATTCACCCAATCAGAATAGCTGATGGTTATGAGCAGGCTGCCAGCGTTGCTGTTGAACACCTGGACAAGATCAGTCATAGTGTCCTTGTTGACATAAAGGACACTGAACCCCTGATTCCGACTGCAAAAACCATGCTGGGCTGCTCCAAAGTGGTCAAAGTTGGCACCAACAAATGGCTGAGATTGCTGTGAATGCTGTCCTCACTGTAGCAGATATGGAGCGGAGAGATACTGACTTTGAGCTCGTCAACGTAGAAGGCAAAGTGGGCGGGAGGCTGGAGGACACAAAACTGATCAAGGGCGTGATTGTGGACAAGGATTTCCAGTCACCTATAGGTGCCGAAAAAAGTGGAAGATGCTAAGATTGCAATTCTCACATGTCCATTTGAACCACCCAAGCCAAAAACAAAGCATAAGCTGGATGTGACCTCCATAGATCATAAAGCTCTTCACAAATATGAAAAGGAGAAATTTGAAGAGATGATTCAACAAATTAAAGAGACTGGTGCTAACCTAGCAATTTGTCAGTGGGGCTTTGATGATTAAGCAAATCACTTATTTCTTCAGAACAACTTGCCTGTGGTTCGCTGGGTAGGGGGACTTGAAATTGAACTGATTGCCATCTCAACAAGAGGGCGGATTGTCCCAGGTTCTCAGAGCTCACGGCCAAGATGCTGGGCTTTACCGGTCTTGTACAGGAGATCTCATTTGGGACAACTAAGGATAAAATGCTGGTCATCGAGCAGTGTAAGAACTCCAGAGCTGTAACCATTTTTATCAGAGGAGGAAATAAGATGATCATTGAGGAGGTGAAACGATCCCTTCACGATGCTTTGTGTGTCATCAGCAACCTCATCCGCGATAATCGTGTGGCATACAGAGGAGGGTTTGCTGAGATATCCTGTGCTCTGGCAGTTAGCCAAGAGGTGGATAAGTGCCCCACCTTAGACCAGTACACCATAAGAGCGTTTGCCGACGCTCTGGAGTCGCCCCATGGCCCTTTCTGAAAACAGTGGCATGAATCCCATCCAGACTACGACAAAAGTCCGAGCCAGACAAGTGAAGGAGATGAACCCTGCTCTCGGTACTGACTGTTTGCACAAGGGGACAAATGATATGAAGCGACAACATGTCATAGAAATCTTGATTGGCAAAAAGCAACAGACATCTTTCGCAACACAAATGGTTAGAATGATTTTGAAGATTGACGACATTCATAAGCCTGGAGAATCTGAAGAATAAAGACACTGAGAATACTACGTAGTAAGATCCATTACTGTGATTAAATGGATGTCTTGTGAAGCATCTACAGTTATTTATTACATCAGTTTTCAGACACTGTAGATACTATAATAAAAATAGCCCTTCGGTAACCATAGTTTGACTTGTTCAAAGCTATGTAATTGTAGGGGTACTATCTCAACAGCTTTTGTATTCATTATATTAAAGGAATCTCCTTAAACAACAACAAGAAAAATTGAGGGAAAAGCTGTCTGAGTGAGACAAATGTAGTTTAACATACAGTTTCCACTTTCTCCTGCCCTCAAAAGAAGAATATTAACGGAAATAGTTTAGGAAGAAGAAAACGTTTCCCAAAAGGAAGGAGTGGGTTGCAAGTAATGAATAGTGAGTGCTATCAATAAAACTGGTAAATAAGTACGACTGAGCACAAACTAAAACAGTAACAACAAAATGAGGATGGGAGGAGGATGAAAACCAAGGTGAAACAAACATCTGTGATCTATAACAACGTGAAAAATTAGTGCAAGATGTTAGGACTTAAACCATTCCAAGGTCTGTGTTCTGTTAAGCCTGTATGCATGTTCTCTTAGTTTCCTAGGGCTGTTACAACCAATTATCACAAACTTGGTGGTTTAAGTAAAACAATAAATGTATTCTCTCACAGTTGTGGGGGCCGGAAGTCCAAAACCAAAATGTTAACAGGATAAATTCCTTCTGGAGGCTCTGAGGAAGAATCTGTTTCATGAATCCCCTGGCTTCTCGTGGCTGCCGGCAATCCTTGGCGTTCCTTAACTTGTAGCTAGGACTCCAGTCTTTGCCTCTGTCTTCACGTGGCTTGCCCCTTTGTGAGATTGCCTTCATGTGCCCTCTCCTTTTCTGCCTCTTACAAGGAACCTCATCATTGGATTCAGAGCCCACTCTAATCCAGGATGACCTAATCTTGAGATCCTTACCTTGATTATATCTGGAAAGACCCTTACCCCAAATAAGGTTATATTCTAAGGTTCTGGGTGGACATATTTTTTGAGGACCACAGGTCAACCCAGTGTTCATGTTAAGAATGTAAAAGTAGCTACTAAAAAGGTTTTTCTAAAAAGTAGAATGTATACATTCTAAACAAACAGAGAAACAGAAATCTCCTTGAAGGTAGGAAAGAAGAAATAAAAGCATGGTGAATCATAAACCAAAGTCCAAATAAATTAGAAATGATTTTACATGCAAACAAGTTAAAATGCAACTGTTAAAAGACAAATTCAGATTAAAAACAAGACCCATGCATACCATTGCTTCTCTAAATATTCACAGACGTGTTTCATTCTCTTTAATACCTTCTTCAGTGCCTTAGCTTAGCAAGATAGAAGTACGTTTTCATTTGATTTGTGTCCTCAAATCATTTTCACCTGTGACATTAAGCTCAGCCTACAGAGGTTACAGAATAGAAAAAAGTCCCTTTCAAGCCAAATTTCTCCTTTTCAGGTGGTAGCCAATGAGTTAATTTTTCTGGAGCAGCTTTACAATTTTTTATCTTTGAAGTACTTTTAGATGGCTTAAAACATTAGTAAAAGGTTAAAGCTGTAGGATTTATTTTTCATCCCCCACTCATGTTTATTCTTCTGCCAATTTCATGTCTTAATTACCAAAAAAATTCTTTGAAATTCCTGACTACAAAGAACAACTCTTTTTACCAAACCTGTAGACTATGACTGATTTTCAGTCATGGTGAGCACGAATTCTGAATGCACAGCACGGGTCAATTTTAATGAGTTCAGAATTTCTTCTAAAAAGTCATTTGCAAACATACACACATGCACATCCAAACGGTAGCTCTTACAATTTTATCTAAGAAAAATTATGGGTTTCAAAATAAGATACAAAATACAAATTTTGAGCACAATGATGTAAAAAAGATGAAGAAAATTTCATCCATGGACTAAATGGACTTTTCCCCTAACCCCCATCTTGATGAAAAGATGCAATAGCCAGCTAGCCCTAAACAATGTGAACTATGTTTGTTTGTTTTTTTTAAGTGGACAATGAATATAGAAGCAATTTTAATTCAAGACCTACTCCAATTCTTATTAAACCTAAAAGTCAGACTAATTCTCTGCCCTTCAAAATATAGTTGAAAATTAGCTTTGTTTGCCTCCCCCAAAATATTGCTCTCTTCGATGGCAGGATTCTATAATTCATCTTTATATACCTGACTCACTGCATAGTGCTTGATGGTCAATAAATTTGTTGAATGTGCAAATTTACACAATAAATTCCCCCAAAACTGATTTCCCTTAGGTCATAAAGACTCTTTCTCCCACACTTTCACAACATTAGCAGGCCACAAGAGTTTATGTTCTGACAATCTGACCCCACATTATTCTCTGAACAAAGTAGTTCAGGCCTAAAGAAAAGTCAATACATTCAATCCACAGCCCTATGAGGTATTATGAAAGTGACCAGCAATTCTAACTCTTATTTTGGTTTTTAGAACAAATTAAGGTATTTTATTATTTAAACATGGAGAATAATTTTCTTTTAATAAATTATTCCCTTTTATTAAATAAGTTACTTTTAAATAAAATTTAAAAGATAATTAAAAGACATCACTTCATCTGTAAGGCCTTACTCAAAATGACAGGAGACAAATTTCACAAGTTGAAAACTTTGGATTCTATTTTAGTAATCACTGCTACATTTTAAAAATGAGCTAGAGCTGGGCACAATGACTCTGGAGGCTGAGGCAGGAGGATCACTTGAGGCCAAGAGTTTGAGAACAGCCTGAGCAACATAGCAAGACTCCATCTCAAAAAAAAAAAAAAATTAACCAGGCATGGTGGCACATGCCTGTACTCCCAGCAACTTGGGACTTGAGCCCAGGAGTTAAAGGCTGCAGTGAGCCAAGATGCCATTGCACTCCAGACTGGGTGACAGAGCGAGACAACTCAAAAAAAAAAAAAAAAAAAAAAAAAACCATTATAAAGTGAGCTAGAAAGTCAAGTAAAAGCAGTGAAAAGATACTAGAGTTAGACTTGTTGAACAATTGGGTGAGACAGAAAAAAGAGAGCAATTTTAAGTGATAACGGACTCTATTTTAACTGCCTCTTATACATTTCCTTGTTTTGATGGAGGCGAGCTATAGCTGGTAATCAGAATCTTATGTCTCTCTCTTTGCTACCTATTGAAAAACAGTCATTTAAGAAAATTTTTGTTGGGAGAAAAAAGGTGCTGCCTTAAGTAACTTTGGAATATGTTTTGACTGGATACTGTAAGGTTAAAGATGAAAAGAAGTGTACTCCAGTAGGTAAACTTATTATACATATTCTAGGTTAGCAATTCTGCAACCACTTTATTGTGTACTAGGGCTGAAAAAAATAGAGGCATAACTTATAGATAATGAAAGTTAAGTTCCTCACTGGCAGAGAAAGAAGTTACAAATAAATGAAGGGGAAAAGCTAGAATGAATCCTATGGTGCTGGATTAGGAGTTACAGATATCCATATAGACTCATTTTTAAATATATACAGAAATATACAGAAATCATTACAGATATGTGTGTATACCTATGTTAGTAAACATTCATGTATTTCCTAGCTCTGTTCACTGAGGTCTAGAAGCCATGACATCCCAGTAACAATAAGCGCATTCAGCACTCAAATCTTGGATTGTAAATAACATCCTCCAATAAAAGGAGCAGGGCTCTTTGGAGAAATGACTGATTCTAGGGCTGGGCAGAGAAAATAGAAGATCAGCCTGGAGCATCGTGGTAGTGCCAGAAAGTAAAAGCTAAAAAGAAAAAAAATGGGAGCATGTCAAAAAGATATGGCTCCCAATGGCCAAAGTTGGAACAATTTGAGCAACAAAACAAATAATTACAGTACTGGATAGTACGGCCGAAAAAATAAAATACGTATCTACAAGTCTACACTGAAAAATATCTCCCCTACATTAGAATTCCAAATAATGTATGTAGAAACCCCTCCCAAGAAAATGGAGCTTAACTCCCCTCCCTGTGAGCACTGTTGGACTTACTGACTTGCTTCCACAGAATAGAATATGAAATGAGAAAACAGTAACTTTATAATGGAGAAACCTGGCACATATCATTTTAACCAAGTGATCGAGGTTAAACTTAGCAGTGCTACGTCACGTCGATATCATGTACATATCGATATGAGAAAGTTACCTCACTTCTGTGGTATTCTTCCGCGGAAAACTATAATCCCAGTATAGTCATGACCCAAATTAAGGGACGTTCTACCAAATATCTAACCAGTACTCTTTAAAAATGTCAAGATCTGTAAAAACAAGGAAAGACTGATAAACTGTTCGAGTAAGAAGGCATGATTAAATACAATGTAGTGTCTTAGATTGGGTCCAAAACCAGAAAAAGGGCATTAGTAGAAAAACTGATGAAATCCAAATAAAGTCTGTAGTTTAGTTAATAGTGTTGTACCAATGTTGACATCTTAGTTCTGACAAATGTTCCATGCTTAAAGTATTAACATTAGGGGAAAATGAATGGTGAATGTAGGAACTCTTAACTTTGCAACTTTTCTGTGAGTCTAAAATTACTCCAAGGTTTTTTAAAGTTTTGGAGTATTTAAAGAAATCTAAACGTTCTACAACTCTTACTAATTTGTGTATTTTATCTATAAAATAAAAAAATAATTTTCATAATTCAAATATATCAACATGTTCAAAGTCAGTGATACAGGAAGAGAACTAAATACAGCCATGTGTTTCAGTCAACAATAGACTGCTCATACAATAGTGGTCCTCTAAGATTATAATGGAGCTGAAAAATTCCTATCACCTAATATTTATTACACTGCACTTTTTATGATTATTTTAGAGTACACTACTACTTATTTTTTTAAAAAAGTTAACTGCAAAAACTTCCTCAGGCAGGTCCTTCAGGATGTATTCCAGAAGAAAGCATTGTTAACCTAGCAAATGACAGCTCCCTATGTTATTGTCCCTGAAGACCTTCCAGTGGGACAAGATGTGGAAATGGAAGACAGTGATATTGATGGTTGATGAACCTCACCTTGTGTGGGCCGAGGCTAGTGTGTGTATCTGTCTGTGACAAAGTTCAACAAGGAAAAAAAATTAATAATAGAAAAAAGCTTATAAAGATATGCTTTTGTACAGCTGTACAATGTGTTTTAACTGATATTACAAAAAAAGTTAAAAAGGTAAAGTTCATAAAGTAAAAAAGTTATAATCAGCTAATTTATTATCAAAGAATTTATTATAAATGTAGTATAGCTGTGTAGTCCAATGTTTATAAAGTCTACGATAATGCATAACATTCTAGGCCTTCACATTAACTCATCACTTCCTCACCAACTGACCCAGAGCAACTTCCAGTCCTGCAAGCTCTACTCATGGTAAGTCCCCCATTTTTTTTTTTCTTTCTTTCTTTTAAACAATATTTTTACTGTACTTTTTCTATGTTTAGATACACAAATACTTACCATTGTGTTCCAATTGCCCAAAATATTCAGTAACTTGCTATACAGGTTGGTAGAGTAAGAGCAATGGGCTATACGATATAGCCTAGGAATGTAGCGTAGTAGTCTAGACCATCTAGGTTTAAGTACATTCTAGGATGGTCTCACAATGACAAAATCACCTAAAGGACACATCTCAGTACATTTTCCTAGGCATTAAGTGATGCAAAATAGTACAAAACACTAGTTTATTCTTAAGATGATCATCGGAAAGGTTTAAATGCATTTTACAAATTCTGTATAACTAAAGCTCCCACCATTTCTGTAAAAAGTTACATTTAGATGAGTAGAAGCTATTCTACTATCAGCTACTGAAGAGATAAGTAGAAAGATATTGTTGCCTAGTGGCATACAATGCAGGCTTATTTTTTGTGTGTGTGAAAGATTACTCTGAAAGAGCATGAGGAATATGCCTAATTTTCTCTCAACTTTCCAGTATATAATCCCGATCACACTTATTTAAAGTCATTCGTGACTTTAAATTGCATTTTCATAATTTACCAAATTTTAGCTACTACTACTTTAAGAATTTCTGTCTTGAAAAAACTTAAGATTCAACATGGGAAAAAGAAAAAAGGAAAACATACCTAAGATACTAGGTTTTAGAACAACTATGTACTACTACAAGTATCTTTTATAGCTGTATAATCTACAAGTATAAGGATGAAAAGATACTAAAAATAGATACCAATCCTAGGGTTTTCAATTTTTTCAAGGTAGGGAACTGTATTATTTCACTTTTGAAATCAGATGTACATATATTAGAAAAATCAATTAAATTGACATAATTATATAAAGCTGTAATTTTATGAGATAAAATCTTATTTAAGAGCTTTACAAAAAAACATGCAATAAAGTAACACGGAACCCAGGAATCAGTGACTTCACTTAACTCCCACAGCCCCAAACTTCTCAACAAAGAACGTTCTACCCACTAGTACAGAGATTAAAAAAATGAAATAAAGTATCTTGAAGAAATAGAGTATCTTGAGGACATACTAAGACTTTTTCTTATTTAGAGCCTTAAACATACAATATTCTTTTACTGATAAATTTGGTAAGAGTCCTCCTAAATATTGGTGGTGGTAGTGCAGACAACCATAGAACCACAAGACCAAGGGTAAAGAAGACTAATGTTTAAAAGGGCCCGGTCAAAGGAAGACAAAGCCTATACTTGTCATGAAAAAGGGATATTAACAATTCAAAAGGGAAAAACCCATAAAACTGGAGATTTCAATTTATGCTTGGAGTTTAGAAATTACAGCCAATTCATTTTCTGACTCAACTAGAGCTTTTTGTATTAGGCAAGTTAAACATAAAAAAAACAAGGACTACTTAGATTTTACAAATGAAAAGTGATGGAAAACAAACGTATAAAATTTGCATTCATAATAATATATTTATGATATACTTCTGATCACAGCAAACCAATTAAAAAACAAAAATTAAAGGCATCCCTTCTCTCATGCAGTTGACAACAAAAGTCTCCCCATATCTTTAGCTTCTGTGATCTCTACTAGAAAAAAAATTTAGAATAAACTGTACATAAATCATACTTACATAGAAGTATTAACAATAAATGCTATCTTTTAAGTTTTAACTGGCCACAAATTATCAATTAGGTTTTTCTGAAACAGGAGTTTACTATCATTTGCATTAGGATAATACCAATCAAGTATTGAGTTAATAAGAATACACTTAAATTTGGTGCAAATTTAATTTTATTAAACCTTACAATGAATGTTGTGGCATATGATTTTCCATTGTGTGACAATTTATTAGCTGGCATCCGAATACAGTACTTCTTTTGAAAAAATACACAATGGGAACTGACAAAAGGGAGAGAAACTAGTTGTTTAGTGACACATAAGGGCAAAAAAAAAAAAAAGAAAAAGAAAAAAAGAAAATGATGATGACCAATTAGTTTGTTTCCTTAGTATCTAACTCTAAAATGGTTAAAGTTCTAGGCAATAATGCTGCTGTTACAGTGTAAAAGAGTATGTCATTATCTCATCCAGCCTGCACAATTCTAAGAAAATTAATTACAAAAATTATCATACCTGTAAATTCAGCCTAAGGTTTCTGTTGGGCAATATGATTTTTAAAGAGCTACTTTTCCCATATAACCTAAACAATTTTCCCAAATAATAGTAGACTGGGGTCTCTATACACATTAAGGTAGTCACTTTACAAGTGAGCTATCACTTAACTTCAAATTCATAATGGGCACCAAATTATCTTTGATTTGGGTTTATGCCTGTCAGATTTATGAATAAGAAAAATGACTATTTTTAAGTCTATAATCCATTTGTCTTTATAAAGTAGACTGGCATCTAAGTAAAATGACCATTTCTTTTATAGAAATGATCAAAACAGTGGAACATCTAAAATTCAGGAGGCCCCAAAAGGGCATTTTCATAGAAATGTTAATAACTTACACATTAACTCCAGTCAATAACACCGTGCTACAGTGTACAGTTTAGTTAGACTCAAGAGTGTAATTGGTTCATTATTAAATTTACTCATCTGTGGTTCAAAAAATAACACAAATTTAAGTATTTTATTATAATCCATCTCATAATTGTGAGAATACTTTCTGACAAAGGCTTTATCAGTGTCACATTTATGAAACAATTTTCCCTAAAAGAAAATAAAATCAGGGACAATTTTGAGCTATTAAATTAACTGGTTTTTCAAAACCTCCCAATGGCATTTGTGGAGATGGCAGAGAAGGGAGAAATGTATTCTAAGTGAAATAAGTCATTTCAGTTATCAAGACTGAGTTCTAAGTTATCTATTTTTACTGGTGCAAAAATGCTATTTAAAGAAATCCTTACTTTACACAGGAGTTGCACAATTCAAATTCTGCTGCAAAACAGTGAGATGTGCCTCACTATAAGAGCATGTAAGCCCTCCCACCCAGCCCCCAAAGAGGAGGAGGAAATACTAAATCAATTAAAAATTCAATTGTCATCTGTTATCCTCAAATTATCGAGATCAACTAATGTAATTTACTATAATGGCAAAGTTTTCCTTTATAAAAATAATAGCTTATTCATATATAATTCTTATACCACAAAGTTAGAGGCAGATGATTTCAAGATACTGACATTTGATATTTCTAGAATATTGGTCTAAATCATAAAGTATTCTTAATATATGTGACAGTTCAAATATTTCATCAAATTTTCCCACAGTGAGAGATAGTAAAACCTCTTCATCAAAAAGTTGGAGATCGTTCATTTATATCCAATTTACCTTTTCTTAATGGTGAAATCAAATTTACAACCTAGCAAATGAGTAAGAATATCTTTTAAAAATTAAATCTCAATTATTTAACCAAAAAGTCTAATGTTCTCTTGTTTATTTACTACTCCTCATTACAAGGTTTTTACTGACTAAAGATGATGACATACCTAATGTGACTGTTTGCATTGATGACTCCTTAAATAGTGTAACATCAACCCTCAGAATAAAATGTCAACACAAAAATCCAAGTGAGTGATCCAGCTCATTGAACTCACAGGTAAACTGAGTTTTTCTCAAATCAATAAGGAGCTTTTTATTGAGAACAACTTCATTAAGACATTTGCAGGGCAAATATGCCATCATAAATTTTATTCTGAATTACAATAAAGTGCTGAATGATAATTACCTGAATCTTTTTTAGTACTTTTCACTTATCTTAAGTTAAAAGAGCCCTTTCTGTGGCATTAGCAAATCTGTGAGTGAGTGAGTGAGAGAGAGAGAGAGAGAGAAAGAGAAAGAGAAAGAAAGAGTGAGAGAAAGAAAGGAAGAAAGAGAAAAGAAAAAGCTAACTTCCAGTAAGGGAACAGGAAGCACTGCAACCTTTCATGTTTAACTGGGGTGACAAATAATTGAGACCAAAGTAATCAAAGTAATTCATGCAAGTTATCTTTAAAGGTATACATAAGCTTGAAGAAAGAAAGAACACTGTTACTGACCTTTGATATTATGGCAGTAAATTGCATACTAAAATACCTTAATTATCCTAGATGCCTAGATCTGGCTTGGCAAGCATCATGCCACTGACATGCTTTAGCTCTTTTTGTAACTAAAAGTGATTTGCAGTTCAATTACTGAGTATTTCAATGTGACTCATTAAGCTGTGTGATGAACTTTGAAGTTAAATTTAAGCAAATTCTCTACACCTAATCACACCATCAGCACAAGCAGGACAATGCTGGAGCAGCATGAAAGGTGGGTCACTTTAAAAAGATTCTTCCTTTTACTGCATGATATATTAAGATGACAGACCTAAATTTCAACTGGGTTAATGAGTTAGAATAGATCTGTTTCCCAAATTTAGCACACAATAATTTCAGTGGATTAGAGAAAGAAACCTCAGATGTGAAGAAAGTGAAGAAAAAAACAAACAAAAAAGCTTGAGCTATAATAGCTAACCTGCAGCTCTAAAAATTGTCATGCTACAGAGTACTTTCAAAAAATTAAGTTTGTAACAAACATAAGAAAACAGTGTTTTGAGTTGAAGTTGACCAACTGCTGCATAGAAAATATGCTAACATACAACAGTCAAGTTTAAGCCTGTGCATAGAGAAGATAAAGCACTTATGGTAACTGCAAATGGTAACGAGTCCTTAAGGTTTGTACAACCTAGTATGGGTCCATAAGGAAAAAACTGTAGTAGAAATGGTTAGGACAAACAATAAAGTAGAAACAGGGGGGAAACTTGAGAAGAGAAGAAAGAAGCAAGAAAAAAAGACTTTCAATTGTATAAAATTCACAAACCAGTAAAGTATAAAGACACCATGGAGAAATGGTTAACTCTGCCCCAAACACCCAACAGCAAACAAAACCAGAATGAATAAGCCTTTGGCAGACAATTTTAGAAATTTGAATGTTACATTTCTCAATAATTCACAAACAATATATTATATGGTATATTTATATTAAATATTGGGAAACCAATGTTGTAAATTTGATGCTTATAATGCTTTAGCCAATGAGAGCACAATGATATCAATCAAGCTAAATGAATGCTGGTGTTATCACAACAGTGCTCATTTATGAAACAACTGTTACCAATTCGTGCTTTAACAGTGCTAAAATACAGTCAAGTTATCATCTATGAAGGGAAACAAAAGTCTCTAGCTTTTCTGGGATATGCCCTTTATAATATATTCTATGATTCACTATGACACGAGCAGCAAGACACTGCAATGTGGTATGATTTATAGGCTGGATTAAATTTTTAGCTATTTCCTTCTCATCCAGCAAGTCACTAGCAGTTTGTTTGTGCAAGTTTGTGGCATCAAAATGTGCACCTGATTTAATAAGGAGATTCATGATGTCTGGATGGTTGTTAAGAGCAGCGATATGCAGGGGACTGTTGTCATCCGAGTCTCTGACGTTCACATCAGCACCACATTCTATCAGTATTGCAGTAACTTGTAGAGATGGAAATTTACAAACAGGGTACCGCCCTACACATGTAGTATTCTTGTCCACAGCCAGATGAAGAGGGCTGAAGTTATTCTTTCCCCTTGGATGCAGCTTAAGAAACCTGTATATAGTCTGCTTTTTGAAATGGTCTTGTTCTAGAGTACAAGGAACTTTCTCTAACAAGCAAATTAAGTGCAAAATAATAGAAAGGGCCTTATTTAACTGTAATGGGTCAGCTGGACACTGAGTTTGTTTGATAGCTCGCTCTATTTCAAGGACGCTTTTGCAAAGTATGCCCATAAGATCATCAAATGTAACAGTAGTACCCAGCAGGCCTTTAGCCCTATCCTGTAGCATAAAGGAGAATAGT
Organism: Homo sapiens; assembly: GCF_000001405.40. Lineage (NCBI taxonomy): Eukaryota > Metazoa > Chordata > Mammalia > Primates > Hominidae > Homo > Homo sapiens. The sequence continues at coordinate 115,524,999 of NC_000005.10, forward strand.
TCTGCAAAAGATAATAAGCTGCTGGCGGTCATTGGGCTTAAAGGATCCAAATTGCTCTGCTGCATATCCAAAGCATACTTCCATAGGTTGATGCATCGTTTGAAATTTCCAGAGTCTGCATAGACAGCGCCTCTATATCTAATATAGTAAGAGGTATCAGGATGAGAAGGACCAAGAATACGTTCTCTGATTAATAGTGCCTGCATTCTCATCTCATCAGGATCAGCAATAAGACCTTCTAGCTCTTCTGCACTGTTCACTTCCTTGGCATAATCATAAGCCATTATTAGTGTCTGTGGCACTGGTTTACTAATAATATTAGTCCTATCACTGTACCTCATGTTCATTGCCTTTTTCCAGTATTTCAAAGCCCCAAGCAGATCTCTTTTTTTGTCTACAAATGTAGCTCCCAGAAGCTCTAGAGCATTAATACGTTCTGTCTTGCTGGTCTGTGCATGGTGTGTCAGAAAATCCACAATATTTGTGTGACCAGTCACACTTGCTGAGAGAAGGGGAGTCATTCCATAACCATCCTTTTCCATCTTGGCACAATACATAAGAAGCATCTTCATGATGTCCAAACTTCCAGATTCTGCACAATCATGCAATGCAGTATTACCTTAAAGAGAGAGAGAAAAAAAGAAATAACATACATTGAGGGACCAAAATATAATGTAATATATATATGCACTTTAGAACCTAAAGAAAAGCAGGAAGCTTTAAGTTCCTAAGTAGGACATACTTGGTTTACAAACGAGAAAAAAAAATTCCCCCAGTACCTAAAACTAGTATCTGATATTAAACTTATTGAATAAATGACATGACCAAATTAGGTGTAAAAAGACATCCAAAGTCACCAGAAGAAATTCAAACTAATCCATGGTCTCTTCGTATTTTTCATTAATGTTTTAAAGTGCATATTTTATTATCTAAAAATCGGTAGAATACAAATAACCAGCTATTCACCATTTTACTGACAAGTCACTTAACTTCCAGGTCAGTTTCCACATTTATAAACAAGGAATTGGTCTTTTTTTTTTTCTTTAGAGACCAGGTCTTGCTATGTTGCCCAGGCTGGTTTTAAACTCCTGGGCTCAAGCAATGCTCCTGCCTTAGTCTCCCAAAGTGCTGGGATTGCAGGTGTGAGCCACAATGCCTGGCCAGACTGCTCTTTAATATATCTAAGATTCTTCATTTTGACTCTAATAGTAGTCAGAAATTATTTTTTCAATATTTATTTCTGATTGCCAAGTTGAATTTCAACTGTCTTAGCCAAAATTCTTGGTAACAAAGGACTTTCCCCAAAAAGCTCTCGTAAGAAAAACAAATCCATGGAATCTGAAAAATATGCGGGTGGTTCAATATGAACTTTAAAAGGAGATATCTGAAGTGTCCTTTCATAATGGATTATTTCCTATTATAATTTAACTTTTTAAACATTCTTTATAGCTGTACTAAATGTTCTAACACTGTCCTTTTCTTCCCACACACAGATTAAAACTGACAACAGGCACTGGCACATTAGTAAAAGCCTGTATGAAACACATTAAGACATCGGAAACACCAGGTATTTTAGCTAAGTTTAATGATAAACATTTTACTAATCGTCAAAATAGGAATTATCATGCCGACCTCTGGTATTTACATACAATGTTTACATAAAATTTCAACAGTCAGTCATTTTAGGCATGTCTGTAGAAAAGAGGTAGCATGGCAGGCTGAGACTGCTATCCTTAGAAAGACCTTCTTGCAAGGTTGGACCTTTGGCTGGTAGCTGGGAACTTGGCTGGTAAATAGTTCTCTATACTGATCTAAAACTTTCCCTAAATGATAAGGGTATCTCACTGTACCTAAACTGTATGTAGAAACAATGCAGTTTATGCTGAATGTCTGGTTTCCTTCTGGGAGTCTAGAATTTTGGGTATGAGCTAGGCACAGGGTACCTACATGACCAGCCCCCAGTAAAAACCTTGAGCACTGGGTCTGTCATGGGTTTTCCTTGGTAGAAACATGACACATATGTATTTACATTACTGGGGAAGAATATGCTCTATGTGACCCCTCACAAGAGGAACAAAGCATAAAAACATCTACACAAAGATTTCTCTACACTTCACCTGCGGCTTTACCCCTCATAATTCAGCTGCATGTCCTTATGACATTACAGTAATAAATCTTACCTATGAGTACAGTTATATGGTGAGTTACTTCCAAATTTGGGGGTGGCTTTGGGGATGCTCAACATAGCATGTGTACCAGAAAGTATTTTAAACCTGAATACTTCAAATAAATCTACTTTGTAACTAAAGTTAGAAAAAAACAAGTTATTATAAGAAATATTGAATCTTTCCACAAGTTTATCCTGTTTCGTCTTCTATGATATCTACAAGGACTATATAATTATTCTGACCCAAGATTTCAATGGTCTACAATGAAATAGTGTTTGATAAAATGTTTTAACAATGAGTAAGCTAACCAAGCACTGAAAGAGCCCAGAACTTCTGACTATCGATGTTCATTTGTTTAAAATAATTTCAATTAAACATGACTACTACACCAAGTATATTTTAAACACTCTTTTGTATTAAGGACCTCTACTATTCCCCATGTTTTTCTAAGAAATAGGCAATATAAGAGAAATCTGAATATAAAGAAATGGCTTAGATGGCACTTTTCTCTATTCAGAGTAGCACAAAATCAAGAATAAAATGTAGCAAAAGCTGGCCAGGCGCGGTAGCTCACGCCTGTAATCCCAGCACTTTGGGAGGCTGAGGTGGGCAGATTATGAAGTCAAGAGATCAAGACCATCTTGGCCAACATGGTAAAACCTTGTCTCTACTAAAAACACAAAAATTAGCTGGGCATGGTGGCACGCGCCTGTAGTCCCAGCTACTTGGGAGGCTGAGGCAGGAGAATCACTTGAACCTGGGAGGTGGAGGTTGCAGTAAGCAGAGATCATGCCACTGCACTCCAGCCTGGTGACAAAGTGAGACTTCGTCTCAGAAAAAAAAAAAAAAAAAAAGGTAGCAAAAGCCAATTAAATGAACTCTATTTCTGTATTTATCGAAAAAATACAAAATATATTTATTTTGAATACACCCACATACCAGGAGAAAAAAAGTAGCTTTAAAAAAACAAACAATAAGGAAGACTTTCACATCCAGTAATGGCAGAGATACCTGTAACATGATCACCCTCCCACTAACAACTAAAAAAACTGAAAAATTTATTTTTAAAAATCTGCTTGACAGGATTTAAGACATAACAAGGGGACAATATGCAGGAGAAGAAAAAACTAGAGAGGTCAAGTCCAGAATTTGAGGCAGCTTTCCCACAGTGGCCTCCACCAATTCTGGAAGAGCTAGCTGAAACACTGAGCAGAACTAGTGACAGCCTTGCAGGGATAGAGGGGAAAAGTGGAGCCTACAGCCTACTAAGAAAGGAACTTAGAAAATTCCCCACACTTTGGGTTAAACCTCCAACTTTAACCCTAGGGAGTTAAAGTTAACTGCAAATAGACTAGCTATCGCAAAAACTTAAATCGAATTTAAGATCATCTCATTATTGATTTGAAATAATCCAGGATGACTAGTATACAGAATTAAAAGCCAGAAGCAAATATAAATACTATTTAGAGGAAGATATTATCATATTAGGGTTCAAATTATTTATATTTTTCATATGTAATGCTTGGTATCCAATCAAAAATAATGAAAAGAAAATGAGGAACCATAACACAAAAAACAATGGAAATAAAGAGCTGACAGAAAAGCCCAACAGGAGACCCAGATAATGCAGTTTATCAACACAGATTTTCAAATAATAACTATGCTTAGCATATTCGAGGAGTTTTTTAAAATTGAGAATTCAACAGAAAACTGGAAACTAATCAAGTAGACATTCTAGAACTGAAAAACTCGGTGAGTGGCTTTAAAAGTGGATTTACACACAGCTGAATAGAGAATTAGTAACTGGAAGGTAAATACGATGAAAATATACAGAAAGAAGCAGGGAGTGGTAAAAGAACAGAAAAGATGGAGACTATAAGAGAAAGAGGGAACAACGTCAGAATATTGTTAACATACTCAAAACCAGAATTCTAGAGCAAAAAAATGGGTCCCAAAGCAATATTTAAGAAAAGATAAAGTCCAAGAATTTTCAGAAGCTGATGAAAGCTTAAACTGCAAATGCAGTAGGTTTTACAAACTCCAAGAAGGACAAATAAAAAGAAAAACACATTGACATACAACACAGCAAACTGCTGAAAACTAAGGACAAAGAGAAAAATCTTAAAACAAGAGAATGAATGGAAGTTACCTATAAAAGAGCAACAATCTGACAGCAAAGTTTTCATCAGGAACAACAGAAACTAGGAGACAGTAAATGATATTTAAAAGCACGAAAGAAAAGTAACTGCCAACTTAGAAAAAATTCTATACCCATATCAAGAATAAATGTCAAATAAAGAACCCTTTCAGGAATAAAGAAATGAAAAGGAAAAAATTAAGATATTTATTACCAGCAGATCTAAATACTATATGGTGTTCTTTAGGCAGAAGGAAGATGAGCCACGTGGAAGCCTGGAGATATAGGCAAAAACATCAACAAAAAGGGTAAATTTGTGAGTACATCTAAATAAATACTGATTTTAAAAATAATATCTTGTAGGGCTTGAAATACATACATAGAAATAAAACACTTGACAGCAATACCACGAAATTATGGAGGGTAATTGGTGTTAACGTGTTCTAAGATCTCTTTCTTGTAAAGACATAAAATTAGAAATTTATGTTAGCCTTTGATAAGTCAAAGTAATGCTATCTAGAATAACTACTAAAATAATAGAGGGTATGCACATAACTACATTTTCTCTAACATATAGAAAAAAATGAAATAATAATCCAAAAGTGGCAAAAAAGAAGACCAAGGAACACAAAACAGGCAGGACAAATAAAAATCAGAAAAGTACCCAGGAGATGAAAATCCAAAAATATCAGTAATTACATTAAATGTAAGTAAACTAAATGTTTAATTTAAACATTTAAAAGACAGAAACTGTCAGACTGAAGATACAAAGAAAAGACAAAAACTTAAAAGACAAAAACTGTCAGACTGAAGATACAAAGAAAACTCAAGACACACTGCCTACAAGACACACCTTAAATATATGGGTAGAAAATGATCTTTAGAAGTGAAAGTTTGGGAAAAAAATGCCCTTTGCAAAAACTAAATATTAAGAAGCTGTCTGATATTAAAATATGAAAGTAGACTTTAATGCAAAATACATAATTAGTGAAAAAAGGAAATATTTTATAATGTTAAAAAATTCAAAATATACAGATATAATAATTTTAAACTTGTTTTCACCTAATAACATAGAATTAAGTTACGTAAAGTAAAAATCGACAGAACTACTAGGAAAGCAAACAAATCTGCAAACATTAGTACATCTAAACATATCTTTCTCAGTTTAGAAGACCAAAACCAGTAAGGATGAAGATTTGAACATTACAAACTTGATTTAACTGGCATAAATAAAAGAACATGGCACTCAACAACCATAGAAAACAATTTTGCCCCCAGGGATACAGGGAGCATATCCAAATACTGACCATATTCTTGGCCGTAAGGCAAGTCTCAACAAATGTCAAGGGACTGAAGTCACTGAGTATGTTCTAAGTCCACTTATGAATGAAGTCAGATATCCAAAACAAAAAGATAACTAGAAAAACCTGTCTATTTGAATTTTTAATACTCACTTGCTTCGTCGGTCAAAGAAGCAAGCCCAATGAAAATCAGAAAATTTTTTTAACTGGGTGATCATAAAAAGCACTAAATAATAAATTAGATAAAAAGAAAGGCTTATTTTTTAAATAGCTAAGTTTCCATCTAAAGAAGTTACAAGAAAAAACAGTAAATTAAATTAGAGAAAGTAGAAGCAAACAGTAAAAAAAAAAAATTAATGAAAAAAGGGATACGTATGCGAATACAGCATTTTTTTATATTCCCACATTTTATTTAACTGTTGCCCCCTTTTAATCTTATATTAATAACTTTGCAAGGTAGAGATGATAAACTCATTCTACATACAAATAGAAAAGAGAATTTAGTGGGAAAACATAAACTCCTGTCTCCCAACTGCCAATTCAGTGTACTACTCATTTCTAAGGTCATATTTTAAATGCCAGTCATATTAAACCTCAATGAATAAATTATATCTAATATAAAACCAAACCTCATAATAGAACTTCAACCAATCACATCACTTTCCAACTCAAAAAACTTTCACAATTTCTCTAAGGAAAAGCAGACAATCTTTGAGATGGCCTTCAAAATTCTACATCATTGATTCTCAAAGCACTATCTGTGTGGAGAGAGCAATGAGGAAGAAATCTATAGTTTCAGAAAACATTATGTGCAGTAAAGTTTAATATTGGATATTCAAGGATACGTATTTTAAAAGACTAACAAATATTTCCCTACCCTATCTCTTTAGCTTCATTTCTCATTATCTCTGGAATGAATGATTCACTGTGCATCTAACTCAGGGACTGGCAAACTTTTCCGGTAAAAGGCCAGGTAGCATTTTAGGTTTCTAGACTATAAGGTCTCTGTTGTAACCACTAAACTCCGCCAAGTACCATGAAATATGCTATGGTAGTATGTTAAATTAATGGATATGGCTGTTTCCCAACAAAACTTTTACTTTTGTACTCTAAAATTTGATTTTCATGTGTCATAAAATATTTTTCATTTGATTTCTTTCTCAACCATTACAAAAATGTAAAAACCTTTCTTAGCTCTCAGGCAGTACTGAAATGGGGTGGGCTGGATTTGAACCCTGGGCCATAGTTTGCCAAACCTGCTCTAACCCGGAGACATGGTCTGCATCTCCCACACACAAGGGAGAAATTCTGCTTATGCTTCACATTATTCCATCCTAAGTACTTCTCCCAGCACCAAGAACAAACAGCCCTGTTCACTTCCACCTCTATGCCTCTGTTCTTGATTTTCCTATAAAGCACTTCCTTCTTTACCATTTTAACTTCTTGTCCTTCAAATCTCACTAGAAATTTCAACTGCTTAAAGAGGTTTTCCTGGTTTTATCATATCAATTTTATCATTGTGAGAATGCCTGGTGAATAAATATATGAGTCATCCTAATAATTATTCACATAACATCTACTATTATAATACCTTACACTAGTATAATGCTACTGCTTCACAAATAAGTTCTTACCTAAACAGTCTATTCTTAAAGTATACAGATCCTATATTTCTTATATCCCAGAAGCAACTAGCAACCTGCTAAAGCTAAGGTAGATTCTAAATTTTTAATATTTGATATCACAAAAAGTAATTCAATCTTAGCTTTTGCAGACAAAATAAGTTCAAAAAGTAATATCCTAGAAGGAGATCTTTTTAATTACTCTAACAGGTTAAGTGTATAACCACCACACTTTTCTGCCCTGGAAGGCCCTAAAGGTAAGTTTTTTAATTATAGCCTAGAGCATTATTACTTACAGCTTAGAAAACAGAGGGGAAAAAAAAAAGGCATGATCTTAAAGCAATTATAACTTTTGTGTCATTTCTCCAAGTCTTTTTATATAGTATGCTTTGACAAAGTTATAATCAGTATATATATAACTGTTTCCTGCTTTTCACCTACATCTTGGGCATTCTGTCATGTGTTATTACATCGTCTGCATAGTTTCTGTAACTACACAGATTCTACATAATCCTTCTTAATGGTTTTATGGTGAAAGTTCAAGCAAGGGAGCAAGTCATACATTACATAAACATTTCCCCGTTGATGGACATCTGCACTGCTTCAGAATTTTTACTATTAAAATTAATGCTTAAAAAACTATAAGGACAGATAACAGAGCAGTGATTGGCAAGGGCTGGGGGCTAGGAGAGGGGTTTAATGCAAAGGAGCATGAAGGACATTTTTGTTCTTACCTTTAATAAATGCGTAGTATATGTTTGTCAAAAATTACAGTACTGTACACTAAAAAGTATGAATTTTATTGCATGTAAATAAGTCAATAAACAAATGACAAAAAAATTAACGCCTACCTAAAATAGAATCACAAATGTGTGATGGCTTAATAGACATCTTCAATTCACTACCAATGGGATTATAAAAATTGTTTAAAGTTCCACTTTATAGTATTCTTTCTACTACTAAAATTAACTTTTTAATTTATATTACCTCTATTCCTTGGTAAATAGAATATTTTCTCATATCTGTTTATAAACTTTATTTTCTTTTATGCCATGTCTATGTTTCAGTTTCTGAGATTAATCTGGCTTTCTATGTATAAGCACTTTATAAAATGATAACCAGTTTGTTAAATTTACCGTAAATATTTTGCTATGTCAGTTTTTTCAAGTGCTAGATATGCTATAAGTATTAAATGTAATTTTTTGTGAAAAAGTATAACAAGCCAAATTTAAAAAGTGAGTTACCAGGGTCTTGTGACTAGTATGTACTGTTACATGCCAAAGATCATTAAAATCATATTTTCTTTTTTGCTAGTTAACATAATTGATTTAAAGTTTTGGTGCATAACGATATATGCCAAGTACTATAGATTTAGCTCAAGAATTTTCTCTGGGTTACACAGGCCCTTTAAAAACATTCCCATAATACAGCGATCGTACTTCCCAAAGATTTTCCATCTCCACATCATGTCTTCTTTTCGCATTCTCAGAATGAGAAAGACAATGAACAATAAAACAACACAAAGTTCAAAAATAAATATTACCAGGAATCTGAGATGAAATTAAGGATATGCAGCAATGAAATTTAATGAATTTACCTTTGGCTAAAGAAAAAAAAGGAAGAGAAAAAGAAAAACATATTATATTAAACAATTCTCAATGCCTGATTAAGAAAAAGTTCATTTGGAGAAAAAAAATATTCTGGCACTGAATTCATAAAAAAAAAAAATTTCATGATTTCTCAAAAGACATGTTTGTTAAATGGGCATTTCTTAGAAATCCGGTTAGTGGCACAACATTAAGTATTAATTCTGTTAAAGCATTTCTCTAGAAAGCTAAAACAGTATGATACGAATACATTAATTTTCAAATTCATAATTTAACACAAAAACAATGCAAAGAAAATCTGGAAGAATGAAAAGTGCCATTTTCACTGGGATGCTTCTGGGATGAATATTAAGGTCAGGAAACTATGGTAAGTGCTCGTGCATTAAAGGGTGGTAGTATTCCTCAAGAAGCATCTGAAGTGCCAATCTTCACTGCTGTTAATTTTAAAGACACCTGTAATCTTTTAATAGCAGGTGAGTAAGACATTAAAAATTCATGTTCAACTGTGAAGCTTAGGTGCCTAGGAATAGAATCAACATTTTTTTCAAATTAGGTAACCCAAAAACATAGCTGTATTTTGAGGAAGAACTAGTTAGAGGCCTAAGAATTATCTGGGTCCAAACCAAACGTTTTGAGTTTGATAAGGGCAAGTGATTGTTACCAACCAACCATCTAAATCATAAAAGAGCTTCAACATAACATATAAATATCTCAATTTAGATAAAATTACCAAGATTCACCAGGATCAAGTCAGTTTCTAAACCACCCTCACGGAGTAGACAGAATTTACTGCTCTTTATAAAAAAACAAAAATGTCCTCCTAAGGACTGCAAAATATTTAACAAACACAGTAGATTCTGCCGTTTGTAAATTCCTCATGTATTTCAAGCTTTGTGTGTGTGTTTAGCATAAGTCAAATAAAGCTGTGCTTCTCAAACTTTCATGTATAAAATCACCAGAGAATCATAATAAAATGCAGATTTTGATTCAGATCATCTAGGCTGGATCCAAGTGATACCTACGCTGCTGGTCCTTGAGTAGCAAGAAAATAGAGAAGGATTCTTATTTTCTTGTTTGCTATATAGATACTTGCCACATAGCTAATATATCTAATAGCAATATCAAGTCATATGAACATAAATTTAAAAGGAGGGCTAGGTCACAGCCCTGTTTTACACCATATAGAAATAAAATTGTATCATTCCTCTTTACTCTAAGTTTAACCATATGCCAAAGCAGGAAGGGGTTGTGTTTTACAATTAGATTACAAAGTTTCATCCATGGAAAAGTTCCTGCATAGTAAATGGCATAGTATCAGTAAATTCTGCAGTCTATTCCTAACAATTTTCTTGTTTAAGTAAGACATTATATAAGTGACACATAAATTTCCTTAAAAATCCGTTTGTAAAATAAAAATCCAAATTGGTATAAACACCACCATCAAAAAAGTTAAAAAAAAAAAAAACAAACACAGAATGAGAGAAAATATTTGCAAATGATATATCTGATAAAAGACATACATAAGAATATATAAACAACTCTTACAGTTCAGTAATACAAAGATAACCCAGTTATAAAACATGCAAAGGTTAATGAAGAAACTCCTCCAAAGAAAATAGAGACAGAGAGAGCCAATAACCACACGAATTAAGTACATGAAAAAATGCTCAACGTCATTAGCGATTGGAGAAATATAAATCAAAATCACAATGAGATATCACTACACACTTCCTAAAATGGCTATATTAAAAAAGAAGAAGAAGAAGAACAAGTGTTGGAGAGGGTGTGGAGAAACTGGAACTCTTCTTACATTGCTGACAGGAATGTAAACTGGTACAACTGCTTTGAAAAACAGTTTAACGGTTCCTGTTAAAAGAGTTACCATACAACCCAATAATGCCACTCCTAGGTATGTGCCTGAGAGAAATGAAAACATATATCCACAGAAGAATTTATCCATGAATAGCTAAAAAGTATAAACAACCCAAATGCCCATCAACTGCTGAATGAATAAAAGTGATATATCTATTTCAATGGAATATTATTCTGCAATAAAAAGAAAAGCACTCATACATGCTACAAAATGGATGAACCTTGAAAACATTACACTAAGTAACAAGACAACTCACAAAAGACTACATATTATGTGATTCCATTTAAATTAAATGTCCAGAACAGGCAAACTTAAGACAGAAAAGAGATTACTGGTTGCCTAAGACTAGTGCAGTTTCAGGGGAATGAGGAGGGATAGGAGGGAGTGACTCTTAATGGATATGAGATTTTTTCCGGGGGTGATGAAAAGCTGATAGTTGTGATGGTTGTATAACCCCGTGAACATACTGAAAAGCCATTGAATTGTATACACTTTAAGTGGTTTTGTGAATTTTATCTCAATAAGGCTGTTTTAAAAATCCAATTAAAATAAAAATATTATATTTTTGGTGAAAGTATAAGTGTTGACTGATAGAAGCAGCAATTAGAGGGTCTTTTATTATAATACATTTATTTGGAAAGACACAAAAACAGTCCTCATCTCTCTTTCTTCAGCCTACTATGCTTGGCACCAACCCATTCCTTCCTCAACTTTGTAGCTGGGGTTGGGCTGAGTACAGAGGTGGTCCACTTGTAAGATGAGGATAGGGTGTGTGGTTCAATTGCACAATAATGCTGATTCCAAGTATTTTATTCCCTGAATAACTAACAGGTGTAGGTTGATGGAGGAGGTAAGAAGGGATAAAGGGAAAAAAACAACTTAGGGTATCAAAGGAGCACTAGAAGAAGGATTCTCTGCTTAGAATGTTTCCCTTCCCCATGTGTAGTCTATCATGAGAGATACTCAAGAACAGAAGTTCAAAAAAAAGGAAATTAAAAAAAAGAAGATAAATTGTGCCAAGACTACTTACTATGTGCCCTCCCTTCATTAATTCTTTGTATAAGGCACTGAGCAAAGAACAAACAGAAATTTAACAATAAAGGTCCTTGAGCTTACAACAAAGTTAAACGCTAAAAAATATCTGCATCCAAAGAGGTAAGATGCATTCTTATAACCTGAGGGAGATGAAGAATTGCATTTGAAATGAGTCTCGATGTTAAGTAGAATTTTCAAGGCTAAGAGCACTGGAGCTAAGGGATGAGGACTAAAAGCAACTAATTATGTGTAAAAAACTCATCTAATGACAGAAAACTTCAACATTATAATTCCCTGTCCTCTAGTTCACAGACTCCCTGTTCAATCACAGCTCTTCCCAAAGGGAGGAAAAAAAGAAGGAAGACATGTTCTGATCAGATTTGCATCCAACTGACTTTTTCATCTGGGTCTCTCCCTATCTCTTCCACTTCTATCTTCCATCACATACATTCCTGCTGCCTCAACAGCATAAATCTATGTAATGCCCTGGGTTTCCTGAATTTTATTTCAAACAAACATATTTTATCAACCAATCAATGAAAATCTGATAAAAAATGAACCAGTGAAGGAACTACATTGTACCCGAAGGCCAGTAAGTGAAACGTAACTTCTATCTTAAGCTCATGTTACTGCCACGAACAATATGAACAGCAGTAGTGCTCAGGATCTACTCATTCTCACCAAACTGCTCAATTCTGTGAGGATTCACAGTTCAAAATCCAATCTCCAGGGACAAAGGACCACATGGATATTTCCCTACTGGACTCAATTTGCACACCATCTACAGCTTAGTTTATCCAACTAAGATACTAATTCTTCCCAAGGACACAGAAAAGTGTGCCAGGGGATACAAGAGGGAAAAGAATGAACACAGAGCAACTTACAGGAGTAACTTCATAATTTGGGATTAAAGTGTTAATGACTTCAACTAGTAAGTTATTTAAACATTACTCAATCAAAATAAATATAGATATATTAGAATAAGTCCCTCCCTTCCCCCTTTTATTTTTCTCTGTAAGTAGGTGTGCTGAGGTAACCAACAGCTGAGAAGAGTTTTCAAAGTCAAGAAGGAAAAGAGAACTTCAGCTTTCAACACTCAGATAGTACTAAAGTATACTAAAATAACCTAGAATGACATCAATCATTATCTTAGTCTATCTGAATACCAACAGTTTTTAGTTTACAAGAGAGATTTTCTCATTTGAGATTCTTGTGCATTTACAGTGGGGAATTAAATAAGATTTTTCTTTAGCATTTCCTTGACTAAAATACATCTATATTCTAAATGCCCATTCTATGAGAGAGAAATAATATAAAGCCTTGGATTTGCTTTAAACTACTATAGAAAACAAAAGGAAAGTAGAAACTTTTTTTTAAACTTTAGCAAATGGGTAATTGTTGAAGTAAGATGATGAATACATAGTGGTTCAATGTATTCTCTCTGTGTAAGTTAGAAAATTTCCATAATGAAAAGGCAAATAATCTGTCTGAACTAGTTCTCTCAAACCCTTTTAATGCTAGCAATCCTTGCCACATGCCTACATGAATTTCTCCCTTTTCTGAACCCCTATATTCTACCTGTGCTACTCATTTTTGTCCAACTACTGTCTTACTTTGTTACTTCAAGTCTTCATGCATGTATTTATTTCCCTACAGAAAGGCCTATAAAACATAGTGCTTGCCATCAAGGAGCTTATAATCTTTCCTCTCTTAAATCCAACATGTCCACTCAACAAGCTCATTTAGGGCCAGATACTCTTCCTAATGCATGGGGTAAAAACACTAGGTCTTTAGCCTCAAAGACTATGTAGTAGAATGCGGTTAGATGTCACAGTGTTGTAGTAGAATGCAGTTAGATAAGTTTCTCTGAAAACAAACAAGCAAACAAACAAACCACTCCAGTTAGTCCCCTGCTGAAAAACTTTTACTGGCATGAAAAATAAAATCCAACTCCTGTACCTAGATTAAATGTCCTTTAAAATTCAGCCCTGAGTGCCTTTTAGTTCTAATATGCCTACTTTCCAATTCCTGGACCCTCCAAGCATATTCTTCAAAGTGCCTTTCCTTATGCCATTTCCTAAACCTTCAAAACTGCCAAAACCCTTCCACAGATCCACATCCCAATAAACTTTCTGCAGATCTAAACCCCAACCTGTCCATAGATCTAAACCCCAAAATTCAAAGCCCTGTTTAACTTCTACTTTCTCCATGAAGCATTCCTAGTCAGTACACCCGCTCTAAAATCCTATAGCATGGATTGCTTATACTATTCCTTCAGAAGTTAAAAATGTGACACCTCGTATCTTCTCATAACCTCCAAAATGTCCCACAGAATGCCTTGCCTACAGAAAGTGCATGTTAATTACCTTATTACCAATTTATTTAATTACTTTGGGTATCTAAACTGACTGATGAATGAGGACAGAATGTCTTCTAGAGCCAGTCTCCAAATCTGAGCCTACAGCGTTTTCTATTGGTCTGTAGTACTGAATCAAGAACTTTTAGCTGCTCAATTTCTGTTAGAATTAGGGTGTAAAAGTGGAATTGAAGAGGACTTAACTTTGGATCTGCAAAGTTCTAAGTCCAAACAAAAACAACCCCAAAACACAAACAAAAGAACCAAAGGAGGCCAAAGATGACTATAACCATGAAGCGCTGAGATCACTGTGATAGCTCTGAGAAGGACTCACCTAATCACTACAGATTTACAGTCTAGATTCTTAAATAGGAACCAACTCCCGTCTCAAAACTCAATTGCTATGACTGTTAAACTGAAGAGGTATTCCTAAATATATCAAAGATTTTCTCCCCTTTTGGAATGCCATGGGAAAAGAAGAAAACCATTGTCCCCTCAGGTTATAAGTTGTTGGGGATAAAGCATTTCCAAATATCTAATAGAAGAAAGTACTACTGTTGCACTTACCATACTGTGGTTTAAGTATCTGCTTATGAACCTGTCTCTCCAATCAAACCATGAGCTCCTCAAGAGCAGGGAATCAAGGACTGGCTATCTTGTCTTATTGCTCTTTGTATATCCTAAGTCTAACAGCCTGGCACACTGCGGGACTCAACAACTGCTCTCTCAATTAGTGAATTCCACCTTAGGTTAAAACATGTTCAAAATGCCAATAGCCTGTTAAAAAGTAATGAAAAGAGGTTAAATAACATGTTCAAATATCAACCGCCTGTTTAAAAGTAATGGAATGTAGAAGTCACATGCATTTTATCTTTAAGCAGACCAAGCACAATGTACTGACATTTTCTTTCCTCAGAACCATTTCCAGTGAATGACACACAAAATGTCCTAAGGAATTATTCTAATTTAACTCTAGTCTTATTAATCTTTTCTACTTTTTGAATGGGGCTAAAAAAGTGGGGAAAAATCCTCTCTTGCTGCTAAATCACATCCTTCTCCAGTGTCCCTGCCTTAGTTTCAATTGGTTCCTGCTTTTGTTACCATTAACCCATAGAAAAAAATCCAGAACCAATGAGAGAATGAGCAGTGAAGCTTCAGGATCAGAGTGGAGGAGGATGAACATGTACTTTAATCTGCCCCCAACATTCATGAAGAATCACTATGGAAATTAACAGATACCATGAAAAGGTAAAAATTCTGCACATGAAGTGACAATATCTATATGCATGTGTATGGGTATAAAGTTGAGGTTACGAGAAAACAATTTTTGGCATGAAATTGTTTTCTCATGTTATATGTAGTTTTTTTAAAGACATACATATTAGATACTGATACTGGGGAAAAAAATGACTTAGAATAAGTTTGGCCAAAAGAGAGAACAGACATACCCTCACATATAAGGCTAAAAGATGATAGTGGTGATAAAGGGAACATTGTTTTGAAAGAGCTCAAAGGTAATCAAGTTAAATACTGTTCACAGCTTCTCAGGAGAAAATGCTGAAAAAATCTGAGCTATTTATATTAGAGTTCTCTCATATACTATATCTCCACAAGTACATAAAGAAGCTTTGGAAAATATAACGGAAGTAATACCAGTTCTCATCTCTCCAATAACATAGGCTTTTAAAACATATCCCAATTTGACTTAAATATGAGTTTATCAATAATATCTACATCAAGCTGATGAATAAAAAGCCCAAAACAAAGAAACAAAAAATTCAACAAACCTAAACAAGCAGCCATGATTTCAAACCATTCCCAATATTAACATGGTTAGTTCAGCAGTAATTTGTTGTCTTAAAACAAGCATTCTTCAAAAGAATGATAATTGTTTGGAGAAAAAAGAAAAGCCATGCTGTCATTTGATCTACCAAGCCACCTCTAAAGATAATCAGGAACAAATGAAAACACTTATTAGAAAGAATGTTTACAGAAACATTTTTTATCATACTGAAAAACTGGAAGCAACATAAAACTCCATCAGTAGAAGAGTATGCAGCTATTGAAATTAAAGAGCTATAATTGGTAATATTAAAGATAACATTTATTAAGCTAAAAAACAGGTTATAGAACAGCATATAAAACTGCATACATATATCAGTATGCAAAATTCAGAAATATCTTTGGAAGTATTATCCCTGAGTACTGGGATTTTGTGGGATTTTTACACTTCCTCTGGAAAAAAAAATTCAGAAAAATCACAATGATCTTGTATCATTTTTATAAAAGATCACACTTGTATCATTTTTATAAAAGATCACACAATCTACAGCAAATATGCTCAGTAACTATATAGTGCCCCATAATTGTGTGGTTTAACCTTTCTGAAAGGCAGACACTATCACAACTGCAAATGTACATTCACTTTGATTTAGCAATTCTGAACACAGGTATTTATACTACAGTTATTCTCACACAAGCGTGAAAAGACACATTTTTGTTCAAGAATGTTCACAGCAGCATTGTTTATATTAGCAAAGTACTGGATGTGACCTAAATATCAACCAATAGAGACTAGATAAATTATGTACATTCATACAATGAAATACTGTATAGCCACAAAACAGAATGAGGTAGCTATGTGTGTTGGAGTTGAATGACATCCAAGGTTAGAAAAATAAATAAAGATAAAAAAGTATGTAATCAACCACTAGACGGAGGGCTACACAAACAAGCATGCTTGTACATAGACAAGTATGCTTGTATTTGCATAGACCAACTCTAAAAGGACACATAAAAAACTGTAAATAGTGGTTGTCAGCGCATTAGAGATCTAGAAATCAGGAATAAGACTTTTTATTCAAATGTAAACCAACAATGTAAACCAATTTACACTGTTTGATTTTTTTTAACATGTCTATATGCTACTTTTAAATTTTAATGGCTTTTAAAAATTAGGTAGTGAATTATTTTGCTGTCGTATAAATAGATTCGTGTAAGGGAAGTTAAGGTTTTCAAGTATCAAAATTATGCTATCAAGGCAGTTGCTTTTAAGGGTTAAAAAAATTCTAAACTACTTTTTGCTGCTTTTAGTTTATTACAATCAACAAAAATTATACACAATCAAAAACCGGAGCCCTTCTTCTGGACAAAGGTGTTTACACTGTTGCTAGCCAACAAATCCACATCTGTTTAATCTAGTCCTTGTTCTTCACTCTCAGTATTGAAGCAGTTTTAAAAATGTGTTTTCTCTCTTGCTATATTTAATGCATGTTCTTATAAAAGGATTATCTATTGACCACAAACAAATATAGAATAAGGGAACAGATTTGCTCCTTTCCACTGATATTAATCCTTCCAGGTCAGTTTAGCCTAGCCTTCTCTGACAGAAAAAGTGAAATGACTGCCTAGAACAAACAAGACCATGACTCAATAAATATAGTAATTTCTACTCCAAGGTTGTTCTAAAAAAAAAAAAAACAAAACAAAAAGCTAAGAAAAATGTATTACATTTAACCATATTCCCAAGTAGATTAAGCATAAGCCTAAAGGCTCAGATCAGCTACCACTAACATGCTCTGTAACTCTGGGGAACCCATTTCCCAAGAATTTTAAGTTACTCCAAATAAGAGAGAAAATACTGCTTAACAGAGTAACAGAAGTCTTTTATCACACTTTTTCAATCTATTACCAAACATCATAGAAACACTCAACAAAGTCATACTGGAAGACTTACCTAATCAAAACAGGTCTGTCAATGCTGGTTTACTCAACACCAGTGCTTATAATGATGTATCAAACTTCCTGAAAATAAGTGGTAGACATTTAGAAAAACAAAGAAGCTGAACTCACCTTTGACACTTTTTCTATTAACATCTGCCCCCTTTTCAAGTAAATACTGAGCAATCTCTTTATGTCCTTTGTAACATGAAATCATCAAGCACGTATGCCCATGTCGGTTTGACACTTCCAAATCAGCTTTGTGTTCTACAAGGTACTTCACTATTTCCAAATGGCCATCGAAACACGCAGCTCGAAGAGGAGTTGAATTGGTTAAAGTCGTGTTGTTGACAGATGCTCCATGATTTAACAAGGACTGGACCACCTTCAGATGTCCTGCTGCAGAAGCGGCCCATAAAGGGGGAGCCCCCTCAATGGTTTCGCCATCAAAATTGACGGAGCCCCCAACTTCTATGGAGGCACTGCATTGCTCTAGGAGGAATTCCACCATGTCAAGGTGCCCATACCTGGCGGCCATCAAGAGTGGCGTGGCCCCATTTGTTTTTTCAGAGATCAAGGAGGAAACCTCCTCTTTGGATTTGCTTGCCAACAATTTGGTGAGAAGCCGGAGTTTGCCATCCCGAGCTGCGTTAAATACTGCTGTCTTTAGATCCATTTATGTCCAGTTGAGAGGCTGTGCTTTATTTATCTTTCAAAGCAGAGCTCCAGTTTAACTCTATCGACACAGGCAAGAGTCACAGGAACCAAAGTCCAATGTTAATTGCTGCACCCCAGAACGGATACACAACCACGAAGAGTATGTTCCGTCCTACTGCTTTCCAACATCTGACAACCAGGGCACCAAACTAGAGAAAGAAAAAAAAAGTAGCAGCATTTAATTTTCTATAGAAGAAGGCAAAACACTTCTTAATTTCCACTTCTGTGGGAAGAAAGGAATAAAAGCTATACTTCAGGCACTACTCCATCCCACACACCCCCCCCACCCCCAAAGAAAAGGTGGTAAAGAAAAATACAGAAGGATACACAGAGACCCAAATGTTCTGGTCGCAGGCAGTCTCCTCCATGTGCGGAAAATTTAAACACTACAGGCAGCCCGTTTTCTCGCCTCCAGCTCTAACCAGCCAAGCTTTGTTCTAGTTTTGCTTTGCACACGCCCAGGGAGAGTACAACCGAAAGAGGCAGGAGACTCGGGTTCAGAAATGTTTCTCTTTCTTGCAACTGCAGGAGAGCTGGCCAAGGGCGCCAGGCTGGAAGGCCTGAGGCCGGGTTTCGAGAAAGAACAAAAAGGTCGGACACACCAAACCCCGGCTAAGGCCAAAACTGTGCCCCGAAAGATTCTCTTTCCTTTAAAACTACTCACGGCTCTCAGGAAATCCGCCTGCCTTTTAGTCATTAACTTCGCCCGCCCCATTTCGATCACCCCCCACCCCCCGCCAAGGGATGATCCGCAGGTTCCTCAAACCACAGTCGCCCCAACACAACCTTCCCCTCTCCCTGTTCCAGACAACGGCAGCCCCCTCCCAATCTCCTCCATCGACCACAACCCCCTCCCGATGGGCCAAGCTGTGGCCTCCAGCCCGCTGCCCGCCTTCGGCTCCCCCGGCGCCCTCCTTCCCGCCCAGGCCTTCCGCGGGCACCTCAGGCCCCGGCCCGAGCCCTGGCAGGCCGCTGCCGCCGCCACTACCTGCCCGGGGACTAGTCCTCCCCGCCGCCGCTGGTCACTCGGGCTTTGTCCGTCCCCTTCAAAGGGAAACCGTTGTCCCCACCGCCGCCCGGGCCGCCCTGCTCCGCCTGCGGCCGCACAGCTCCTCCATGCTCCGCGCCCCAAAGGAATGAATCCGGCCGCGCTGTTCGCCACGCCCCGCCACCCGAGCTGCCTCCCGCCCTTAGTCGGCTCGGACTGCAGCGGCTGCAGCGACTGCTGCGACGGATGGTGTAATGGGCTGCGAGCCGGGGGCCGGACAAGCCTGAGCGTCACATCACTGACTGTGCCGCCACGCCATTGGGCCGGGGGAGGGCGGCGGCCGCGGCCAGCAACAGCCTAGGCGCGGGGCGGGGCGTCGCGGCCGGGGTGGGGCGACGGGGAGGGGGCGGGGCCTGAACTACTGGGAGGACGTGCCTGCGTGCAACGCGCTGGGGGGCGGGGCGCTGCGAGGGGGCGGATCTGTGCCCATCGAAGCGGCCCGAGGCAGCTCGAGTTCTGAGATCTCGCTGGCTCTTCTCCTCTCGGATTTTCGGGGTGCTCCCTTAGGGAATCTTTCGGTCCCATCTCAGAGACCCCAGAAGGGAAGTGTATTAGTGCGTTTTCACGCTGCTGATAAAGACATACCCGAGATTGGGTAATTTATAAAGATAAAAAGATTTAATGCACTCAGAGTTCCACGTGGCTGGGGAGGCCTCACAATCAAGCCAGAAGGGGAAAGGCACGTCTTACATGGCAGCAGGCAAGAGAGGAAAATCAGAGCCAAGGAAAAAGGGAAACCCCATATAAAACAATCAGCTCTCCTGAGACGTACTCACTACCACCAGAGCAGCATGGGGGAAACAGCCTTCTTGATTCAATTATCTCCCACTAGGTCCCTCCCACAATATGTGGGAATCATGGGAGCTAAAATTCAAATTTGGGTGCGGACCAGTATTACCCTCACACACGTGAAGTCTCTCGGACTAGTCTTCCGTCCTTACTTTGGTGGGCCCTGGAAATTACCAAGCTCGTAATTACACCTCAGAACACACACGGAGGAAACTGAAATTTCAGAAAATGTGATTAGTTTTGGAGGCTGTCAAACTGACTCTCTTTCTAAAGTAGCCTCTAAAAAGCATAAAGGCTACGAGGAATGGTAAACCCTAAGAGCAATGTAAAGTCAATGAGGTCAGGTTCTTGAGCTCTGAGTAATAAATCGGGAACTAAAGCTTAAAAGGTTATATATATGAATGAAAAGAATTACTTCTTCATATAGTAGTTGATAAACCTCTGGAATTTGATGCTAAAACCTACGTTGCATTAAACTAGGATGAAAAAGTTTAAATGTGTTTGGGAAATAACGCCCATAATGAATCCTGATGAGAAAACAGAATTTTTGAAAATGGACCTTCAATCACTTTGTTTGAGGGAACTTAAGCTCACATAATTCCTTAGTACCACTAGGAGAAATAGAATATTACAGTAGGCAGTCTGACCCTCAGCATATGTAATCCATAACGTTATGTTAGAAGTCATGCAGCACTAAAAACATTTATAAAAAATCACAACTTCATTTTTGTATATTGTAGTGTTGTTCAGAAGTTTATGTAGTTTTGCATAATTGAAATAATTTTCATACAACTATATATTTTGCTTTTCCTTTCTATACTCTAAACGTTTCTTATGTTTTTACAGTCTTAATAATTTTTAAGTATAGCATAGTATTTCCCTTAGGTAGTCAGTATCAGACTACACTCAACATCAGATTCCCAAAACTGAAGTTAAGGTAATTGCCACTGAGAAGAAAATATAAAAGAATAGAGTATAAAGGATAAGATTGACCATCCATAAAAATTAACCAGCCAAGAGGACTGGCTGTTTTATCCCCAGCATATGTCACAGTTCTATACTCTCCCAGGGTACAGATAACAGTGTACAGTGTCCCAACCAAGGCCTAACCTGAGCTGACCTGTCTCTCTCACCTAATTCAATAAGATGTAAACATTCACATCAGCCATCTTCAAACTGAGCTCTGTATCCCTCATGGGATTGTTAAGGGATAGACGGACACTTAGTTTAAAGGCTACCAATTTCTGCTGTGGCTCACACCTGTAATCCCAGAACTTTCGGAGGCTGAGACAGGCAGATTGCTTGAACCCAAGAGGTCGAGACCAGCCTGGACAACATGGTGAAATCCCAACTCCACACACACGCACACACACATGCACGCACACGCACACACACACAAAAAATTAGTCAGGCATGGCATGCAGGAGGCTGAGGTGGCAGGATCACCTGAGCTGAGCTGGGGAGATCAAGGCTATAGTGAGCCATGATCACACCACTGTGCTGCAGCCTGGGCCACAGAAGGAAACTCTGTCAAAAAAAAAAAAAAAAAAAGGCTACCAGTTTCTGAATCTTCAATTTACACCTACGTTCTTTCCTAAAATTGATCTGCTGGTAAAGGAATATGGTCAAGGTGTCTCATTTCCCAACTCTTTCACAATAGCTGTATGTTTCCCAATTTGTAAAAGGAAAGACATTTGAGAATCTTACAGGCATTGCTCTGGGTTATAAAAGGCTCAGCAATCTTTGCCAATTCTTTATAAATTTAAAACACTGATCTATATTAGAAAGTGTATACTTCTAATGACTGGGTAACAAATTCTTTTGCAAGTCAGATGATTTCCAAATAATTGCTTTGAAAAAAGTATGACCTAAAGATCACTGATATCGATTAGAAGGAGTTCAAAGAATTAAGTGACATTGATATAATGACAAAACTCCTTATAGACCCAACTACTATTTTTTTTTTTTTTAGACAGGGTCTTTCTCTGTTGCCCAGGCTGGAGTACAGTGGCACAATCTCAGCTCACTGTAGCCTCGACCTCCTGGGCTCAAGTGATCCTCCCATCTCAGCCTCCCAAGTAGCTGGGACAATAGGCATGCACTACTACACCTGGCAATTTTTTTTTTTTTTTTTTGTAAAGACAGCATTTCACCATGTTGCCCAGGCAAGTGTTGAACTCCTGAGCTCAAGCAATCCACCTGCCTCCCCCTCCCAAAGTGCTGGGACTACACGTGTGTGCCACTACACCCAGCCTCCATCTACTTATTAATGTGAAAACATTTTCTCAGAATTTATAAAAATGAAAAATTGAGAAAACATTGAATCTGAACTTTGTCTCATTCTAGTAAGAAGTAGTATTTAACAATAAATGTGTGCACTTAATTGTAAAACATCACATTTAATAATCAAAAAATTTATATTTTGTATTGTTTTGAATACTTGAAAATTACTAATAAATACAATGATGCCTCAATCTGGAAGAAAATGAGCACCTAGGGTCTTTAGTTATAAGAAACTTAAATTTCAACTTATATGTATTTCTTTATATGTGTGTGTGTGTGTGTGTATATATATATATATATATATATATATATATATGTATATTTTTTTTTTGTGACAGAGTTTTCCCTGTTGTCACCCAGGCTAGAGTGCAATGGCACGATCACGGCTCACTGCAACCTCTGCCTCCCAGGTTCAAGCAATTATCCCTGCCTCAGCCTCCTGAGTAGCTGGGATTACAGGTGCCTGCCACCACGCCCAGTTAATTTTTGTATTTTTTAGTAGAGACGGGGTTTCGCCATGTTGGCCAGGCTGGTCTTGAACTCCTGACCTCAGGTGATCCACCCACCTTGGTCTCCCAAAATGCTGGGATAACAGGCATGAGCCACTGTGCCTGGCTTTTATATGTATTTTCATTGCAGAGAAAT
Source organism: Homo sapiens (assembly GCF_000001405.40). Lineage (NCBI taxonomy): Eukaryota > Metazoa > Chordata > Mammalia > Primates > Hominidae > Homo > Homo sapiens. The sequence continues at coordinate 115,548,300 of NC_000005.10, forward strand.
ATAATAGAGTGATTCATAAAACACATTCAGCTAGGCATAGTGGCTCACGCCTGTAATCCCAGCATTTTGGGAGGCCCAGGCAGGAGGATTGCTTGAGCCCAGAAGTTCAAGACCAGGCTGGGCAACAGAGTGAGACCCTGTCTCTACAAAAAACTTAAAAATTAGCCAAGCATGGAAGTACATGCTTGCAGTCCCAGCTACTCCAGAGGCTGAGGTGGGAGGATCACTTGAGCCTGGGAGGTTGAGGCTTCAGTGAGCTGTGATTGCACCACTGCAGTCTAGCCTAGGTAACAGAGCGAGATACTGTCTCAAAAACAAAAACAAAAAACATATTCAAACATAAAAGTACATTAATTAGGATATATTCCTGAGGAATGGGATGTGGAATGGAATTATAAATGCGAAGAGAAAATAAATTATGTAAAAATATCCTATAGGTAAATAATAATTTGTTCATATATTTTTTTAAATGGTTCATAGTAAGCATAACTGCTATGATATTTAGATTTCGTTGGATTCATTTAAAAGCATGTTTTATTTAAAAATGTTAATTTTTACATTTTGCGGAAAATTGCAACCTTTGCGAATACTTAAACTTATGATGAAAAATTTTAGGTGACAATTGAAAAATATGTAGGAGGGTAGATAGCATCTCATGTGCATGAGTAAAAATGTTTGAAGACTTAATTGAAATGTTTGGAGACTTATTCACAACCCCCTATTGGAAGTCATTTCCATTTCTAAAGAACATTTGTTCTTCCAATCTTTGATTTTTTTTTTCTTAAATAGAAAATCAACTAAATTTCCTTTTATATAGATTTTACATTGTGTTTCTAAATGCCCACCTCTTTTCTACCTTCCATCAATGGGAGGGACAACTTTTTTGTTTGGTTTGGTTGGTTTGCTTTGGATTGGTTTGGTTATTAAGACTTTGATGTCTGGTTAAATCAGCAATTACTGTCTTCCTGAAAGCCACAGAATGCTACTGGGGCATAACAGGAAGACTCATTTTTAAGGGGTCTGTAGGGGGAGCCAAAGACTGGAAAAGGGGAAAGGGACCAGAGACAGCCTCTGAATTACCCATTCAGGTAAGTACCCAGAGATGACAGACAAAAAGGGGAACCACTTCCGGGAGCCAAGGTGAATATTCAGGCTTCCCCGACGGGGGAGCAAAGTGTTACTTGCATCCAGAGCATTTCCCTAGGCCCAAGGCTTTATAATGTAAGCCCAGAGGAGACATTACCCCTTACCTGAAAGGCTGATGGGGAGGAGGAATTGGATCAGCAAAAAGGGGACACCCTAATTATAGAACAATGAACATTTTCAGGCCTATAAGTTGTTTTCTTCTTCTCACATATTGCCTTGGGATAAATTTCCAAGAGTTGGATTACAGAATGTCTTTTTGGCTTTTCATATACATTGTTATACTATTTCCTAGAAGACTTAGACCAATCTGTCACCACCAGCAAGGCACTATTGACTTCACCAAACATTGAACCCACTTGATATTATATTTTTTGAAAATTCTTACTGGTTTTGTATGTGTTAAATGATACCGCCAAGTTTCCCAAATTTACCTGGCTACCCTTGGGATTTTTTTGGTCTGTGCAATATCCTTGAATTAGTAGAACATTCCTTCTATAGTATTCCTTCTGGGGATTGTCAAACATTTAATTCCTGCCAGTCTATATTTAAACCAGAAACCTCAGTGAAACAGTTTGCTTGCACGGTTTTGGTATACTTTGGTAACTTGTTCTAATTTGAGAAATGGCCAGGATGAATTTTTTTTAAATCTCTAGTTTTTGGTAACTAACTGGGCATAGTTCTATTTAGAAAAGTATGAAAAGAATCTACTTTCATGAATTTAAAAGTTACACAAAAATAGCATAGCAAGGTGTACGCTTCTTGTGCTATTTAGAAATGTCTTTCTCATATAAGTCCGCTTTATTAACACTGATAATTTGCTCAAGGTGAGATATTTTAATTGTCATAAATTCATTCACCACCTTAAAAATTATTGAATCCTGGAATCCCAGCACTTTGGGAGGTCTAGGCTGTCAGACTGCTTGAGCTCAGGAGTTCAAGACCAGTCTGGGCAACATAGCAAAACTCCATTTCTACAAAAAATACAAAAATTAGGCAGGCATGGTGATGCACACCTGTAGTCCCAGCTACTCAGGAGGGTGAGGTGAGAGGATGGCTTGAGTCTGGGAAGCGGAGGTTGCAGTGAGCTGAGATTGCGCCACTGCACTCCAGCCTGAGTGACAGAGCCAGACCCTGTCTAAAAACAAAACAAAACAACAACAAAAAAAACCCCAATAAAACAAAGTTATGGAATCCTATTATGTACTATGTTAGATACTGGATGAATATGACATAATCTCTACTTTTGAGGAATTGATGGTCTGTAGGAGAAATGTAGCTATAAACAGATGAAAACAAAATATGTGTATAAACAACAGTGAGAGCCCAAAGAACAGAGCTGCTAACTCTGCTTGAGCAAATCTGGGAAGGAGGTGAAGGTTAAATGGAATTTTAAAGGATTAGTAGGAGGAAGCCTAGCCAAAAGTCAGCAGGAGGGGGGTGGGAGGGGGCACCATCCAGAATGCTGGAGCTGAGAGAACACGTGAGATGTTCCCTTCTTTCTTCCTGCTTCCCCCGTGCCAGGGAGAGAGTGGTGCCCTAAGCTACCCTCTGAACGACCAAAAATCCCTACTCCCCTCACTCAAAGTGTATCCTAATATTAACACACCATTTCCTATTCCTACAGCTCAACCAGCTTTCATATTTTCTTCATGCAGCTTCTCTCTTGCAGGTTTTAGGAGGAGTGAGACCCCACTTAAGGTTATTTACTTAAAGCAAGAATACTTCCTTGGGGTACTAGCATTTTAAAAAGGAAACTTGTGAACCCAAATTAATTTTAAAATTGTAGAAATATGCACGCAAGAATTCTTTTAGCAGGGAGATTTCCAGGTTCCCTTTGGGTAGTTTGGTCTTATCTTTACTTCTCTGAATGAAGCAAGATAAGGAGGCAGCAACTCAGTCACCAAATTCTGTTAATTTTCTCTTGGCCCAGTCTCCCTCTATAGTATGGGGTTATCATTTCACTTATCACATTATTACAAGCTAGAAATCTTATGTCATTATAAAAGTATCCATTTATTTCCTTTGTTGTCTTATTTCCTGAAGTTGTCAGGGCCCTAACTCTAGCTCTCTAGCCACACCCTAAGTGACGAACTCTGGTCCTGAGTTCCCCATCACCACCCAGACTGATGTCAGATGGGGCCAGGTTCTTCTCAGTTTTCAACACATGCGACCCCACCCAAAGTCACTGGATCCACGCTTTATTAGAGAGGGATGAGTCAGATCTCTACTAACCCAGTAGTCTATCTAAGTCTCCACACAGAACAAGGACTCCCTATCGTCTCCCATACCTGGGTCAAGGGCACTCCCACCTCCTCTCCCAGGCCTGGGGAGAGTGCCTCAGACTCCACTGCAATGCCCCTGTTGACCAGGACTAGACACTCGAATGATCTTCTGGTGCTTTCCTCTTTCAGAACTCACAAAACAAACTTTGATTTTACAGCCTCACTCTCTAGGTGTCTTCACATCCTGGCACCAGTTCCCAACTATATCAAAGCTGCCTTCTCACACACACACCAACACCATCCCCACACAAGAGCTCCCAGCCACCTCCTCAGATGCTTAGCTCGAAGGCCCTCTTCCCCCTATTTGAATAGGAACAAATCACTATGGATGATTCTCTCTCTCTCCCAAGGTGATTACTCCAAACTCCAGAGCTGCTTCAACACCCCCCCAAGTGCTCTCTGGTCTAGGAACCTCATGCCATTCATCCTCCCAGTGGAATTTACTATGTTCTAGTGTGGAATTCTGTGAGGATCAGCTCCACCTCATTTCCTATCCCCCTGACTTTCTGGGCGTCTAGTGACTGTGTCCACTGACTCTGTGCCTCCCACTCCATCTTTAGGTCCTTCCTACACAGGCACAGGGTGTTCCACTGCTGCCATTCTCTGAAGAGGCCAGTGCCTCAGAAAGAAAGGTCACTTTCCCCAGCCCCAATCCCACCTGTTTTTGGCTTCTTTCTCCTGCTGCCAATTGGCAGTTCCAATATGTCTTGTCCATATCCCAGCCCTGAACTCAGTCATGACGGTAGGGACCTTCACTTTGACTCTTTCTTGTTGGAGCCAGCCATGAACCCATCTTCAAACTCCCAATACTTATGATTGGAAACCCCCTGGCCAGTTGTTGCCTGGATTGTAACTGGGGCTACTGTATCTCTTAATAATGACTCCCATTTGGCTCTTCCACTGGCATTATTCTCTGCACCTAGGTTAGTTCTTCAAAGCCTGTCCCATTGTAGTGGGTAGGTCTCATGCCAAGTCTTGGCCTCTCTTCCTGCCACATGTGGCCATACATACAATCAAATCTTGAGTTACAACTGCTAGTCAGAGGGGATAAGCCCCTTAGTGTATGTTCTGTGAGTTCAGTGCTATTGTGGAGCATGCCTGAGGACCCATCTGAAGACTTTCATTAGTGGTAGGTCTGTGCTACCTAAGGTTCTCCCCATGAGAAGCATAGATCAGATCCTCAGAAGCAGGCTGGCAGATGTGTCCTTGACACTGAGTACTGCTGTATGTTTATCCTCTTTAAGCTCAGTACAGTCAATCAGTTTTCCATGATTTATTTTATTTTGGCTAAGTCAGTTTACTGTTATTTATTTTAACTAATAAGTAAGTGTTTTCCCATGTGCTTCAGACAAGCTTCAATTCCTTAGTCAGAGGCACCCAGTCCAAGGATACCTAAAACAGCCCTCACCTTCCAAGTCCTTATTGAAAGTAACCCTCTGATTAGCCATTTGTGGAGGGCAGGCATATTTCTTTCATCTATTCATTCAGTCAGTCGCTTATTCTTTCAACACGTATTTATTGCTGACTGTGTGCATTGCGCAGTGCTGAGTGAGCCTGGAAATACAGCATGCATGAGCAAGATTGTGTCATCTATGCCCTCCTAGAAAATCCAAAGAACCTCCTCTGGGCTGGGGTGTGGTGGAGAGGAAGGCTTTCTAGAGGCAGTAATGATTGAGCAAATGCCTGAAGAATAGGTAGGTGTTTTCGCAGGTGAAAGTTGCAGGCAGAGAGAAATGCTTACAAGCATTAATTCTAGATAAGAAGAGAAAGGTTGGCTGCTGAAGAACTAAAAGAAATCTCACATGGCTTTAAAATAACCCACAACAGGGGATCAGTGAAAAATGGAGAGTTTTGAAGGAGGCAGACTGGGGAGAATCTTAGGAAGTCATGTGAAATAATTTGAACTTGATGCTATGGCCATAAAACTTCCTTCAGGTGGAACCCAAACCTGGGCACAGGGGGCAAGGCTGGGCCCAGCTTCTGCTAACCTGGAGGGCGCCAAGTCAAAGTCAGCATCTGGTTGTCCTGAGAACAAGCTGGACATGATGTGGAAAACTGTCCAGCTAAGTCCCTCACTCCTCAGGCAAAGGGACCCCAGAATCTCACAGTGTCCCTTACCTGGATCTCTACCTGGATCTCACGGTATGCCTTCTGGATCACTGAGTAAAAGAAGTAATTTGCTCATGTTCCACCTCCACCTTAAAAACAAAAACAACAAAACAAAAAACAGAACACTCCTAAATTCTAATTCAGTGCGTCTATTCAGTAGGTTCTGGGGCTAGAATCCCTTATTTTCCCTGCCCAGAAGAGTCCTGCCTATTAGGGCTCTACTTTATCCAACTTAAGAATAAACAATAATGCCTACAGTTGTTTGTTTTGATAAAATCACCAGCTTGGGTCCCTCAGTTACAATCGCATACAGGCCCCACTCATGGTTCCTGGGGTAACATAAAGTTGCTATGCCCTGAATGAGAGGCCAAGGTGGGCAGATTCCTTGAGCTCAGGAGTTCAAGACCAGCTTGGACAACATGACGAGACCCCGTCTCTACAAAAAATACAAAATTAGCTGGGCGTGGTGGTGTGCACCTGTAGTCCCAGCAACTTGAGAGGCTGAGGTGGGAGCCTGGGAGGTGGAGGTTGCAGTGGCCCGTGACCACACCACTGCAGTCCAGCCTGTGTGATACAGCCAGACCCTGTTTAAAAAAAAAAAAAAAAAAGGAAGAAAAGAAAAGAAAAGAAAATGTCAGTTGTGTTGGAAAAGAAAATGTTTTGAGCAGTACCCTAGTTCTGTGGCTAGAGAGAGGAGAAAGAGCAATGTAATTTCCAGAAACCTTTTCTGGAGGACTAGATTAATGGAAGTGTGGATTCACCCAAGCTGTTGTTGGCTCTTAAGTTGGTTTTGTTTTGTTATCATTGTTATTGTTGTTCTTGGAGTAGCTTATAAGGTTTGAAGGATTTAGGGGAGAAGTCAAAGGCCTTGCTTCGGTGAAAAATTATGTGACCCTTACCTTCATCTGAGAATATTAGGCTGAGAGCTACAGTCTCCCCAGTTGATCCTTTGCTCTGTCTACAACCTGTTCATCTCTATTTATGTCTTGGGAGGCAAAATGGTGAAAACTGTGCTTTTTACATCTTCCACAGGCTGACAGCAATCTCACACTCAACCTTGTACCTATCATCAGCAGGACACTGACAGTGATGATAATGATGCTAAACAACCACCAATATTGACATTATTTTTAAGAACCCATTGTTTTCCAGGTCCTATACCTTATTTTACATTCCTAGCTACTGTAAGAAATATGTATTTTTAAACTGTTTGTAGAGGAAAACTGCTAGGATATACATGCAAGGTTTCTGTTGGCCCGTTTCAAAGAAAAATGTGTACACGTGGACTCAGGGTGGGGGTGGGCCCTGCCAATTTCCCAGCCTCTGTAGCTCCCTTGTTATAACTGGATGCCACATATTGCCCTGCCTACTTCCTCCACTCCCCATAGCTGCCATTGTGCCCTTTACTTCCTCTCTTAGGATCCTTGTGATGCTTTATCTATTTCCTTTATACAACTGGAAGGCCCAGGAGGGCAGGGGCCATGTTTGGATGTTCAATTCTGAGTCACCATAATTCAGCAGAGTGTGTGGCACACAGGTTGTCCTCAGTGAATATTTGCATAGTGAAAATGAATGAGTGGATGTGGAGACTCAGTCCACCTCTGTTCAGGCACAAGCTGGACTTTGAATAGGAAGATTCAGCCTTTCCCCTAGTTTCCAGGCCAAACTAGATACAGGGAGACAGGTTCAAATGTCTTTAGCGCACTCATCAGGCCAGCACCTCTAGAACAGCAGGACCCCCAACCTCGAGGAAGGAATGTATGAGCTGAGATCTGAATGTGGAATACCTTGTGCAAAGACCTAAAGAAGAAAGGGGCATGGCAATTCAGAGCTAGCAATGACAGCTCTTGTGCTGACCATGGGTTTCCAAATTGTTTCTTAGTTTCCTTTGTTGCTAATTAGTATTATAGTTTGCTGCTAATAATAGCAGTGAGCATTTATTTAGTGTTTCTGTGTGAAAGAGGCTGTGCAAAAAAGGTTTAGCATTGCTACGTTAATTTTTATAACAGACATTGTAAGTACTTCTATACAGATGGAGAAACCAAGGGTTAGAGAAGTTGAGTAACTTAAACAAATTCACATGGCTAGTAAATGGCAGGGTGGAATTTGTCTGACTTTAGACAGTCTGGGCCAGAATGTAGGTACTACGTTGCCTCCCCAGTATATTTCCTCAGTAATGGGTCTACTGTCTCCAATTTGCCATTCTCCATACCCCCTCAGTCCCTAGGTCCTGGGGCTGAGCTGCTGTGTATAGTTGTCTCCCTGAAGGACTCCCATCTATTTGGGACCTGGCCTGCAGCTTATAGCTTGCAGGACCACATCCCCATCACTGGAGAAACACCAGCAAGAATGGGCCCCACCACCTTGGTCTTGTTTTCTATCCTGAGCAGTTTCCTCTAACTTGCTTCCAACCTGCTTTCTTCTCCCATTCCTGACTGCTGGACACCTAATCCCTAGATTCACTGCCCATTTGTAGACTTATTTGCCCTTCAGATCTGATATGTGACCAGATTCCACTGGATCATTTGTGGATGGCTCATGTTGATTATGGTTTGCACTTACCCCTTTTGTTTTGCTGTTTCCAGTTTCTTTGAGTAAACACTTCATCTGGGAAATCCCATCCTCTGAACCCTGCCCGCTATGATAGGCTCCATGAGGATGTCCATGCCAAAATCAACATAACTGAAGGAGAGATGGAACCATGGCATGGTCTGAACCCCTAGATCCCGCCATGTCAGAGGTCAAATATCCCCTGGCCAGTGCCACTGTGTTGCTTGCCTCCAGAATCACTGAACAGTGCTCCCTGGAGTTAGGCAACATGCTAACCCTGTCCTAGCCTCTCGGATATATGAACAAACACATCCGTCTTCCAACGCTTTTTGTTTTTTGTTTAGGCCAATTTGAGTTGGATTTCATTCATTGCTATCAAAAGATTTCTGACAAATAGTAAACAAACATAACATATACAAAGTGAGGTCAGCACTAGGAAGAAGAAACACATATGCTTTTAAGGGTGTGCAACAGAAGCCATGACCTATTCTAAGGGGTCAACATGGGCTGCTTTGAGAAAGTGTTACTTGATGTGAAAGCCAGAGGAGGAGCAGTTAATTAGGAAGTGAGTAGAGCAAGGAGGAGGAGTCCAGGTAGAAGTAAACACTGTTTCCTAAGGACATGTCTTGAAGTGAGAAAAAACTCAGTGCACTGTGAAAGCAAATAGAAAGCCAACACGTGTGGAGTATTGTGAATAAGAGGGAGATGTGGACCCCCCAAGCTAGAGGCAGGTAGGAACCAGACCATGCAGTCCACAGAACTCTGTAATCATGGAGTATCCAGACTAGTGATGAATGCAAAGTGTTTTTCACTTGGCAGAGAAATAACTTGGTGGTGAATGTAGGAGTGGTGGTGCCAGGTGACAGAGTTTTTCAGATGGTCCCATTAACCCTTCCAGACTGAGGCATTAGCCTCCTAACAGGCCTTCCTACAACTGCTCTTGCCTCCTTAACCAAATTTCCCCCAGCTACTCAGAGAGAAAGGCACATATGTCATGAGGCTCCTTTAGATTCAGCAGCTTCTCCCTGCTCTTAGGGAAAAGTTTACAAATATTCATGTGGTTTCCAAAGCCCGCCAGGCTCTGGCCTGCACCTGCCCCACATCCTTGATTCGTACCTCTCTCCTCCCTGACAACTCCTCGCTGCCTTATTGGTATTGCTTTCTGCCTGCATGTCAGACTCTTGCTGGTTCCTCGGCTTCAGGCCCCACACACACTCTTTTCCTGGCCGATGCCTACCTTGCCACGCTACCACTAGGCCTCCACTTAAATGCCCCTCATACTTGCCCTAACCCTAAGGACTAAGTTGGGTCCTAGTTTATTCTCATAGTCCTCAGTCTCCTCACTGTTTTCATGCCTCATTCACTATCTGTGAATCTGTGAGCTCTGTGGGTCCTTTCCTGTCTCTCAGGGCCAGGCAGTAGTAATGCCAGGAACCTAGCAATAACTGTCACATTTCTTTTGTTATTCTGTGCGCTCTGGGAGGTGGGGGTGGGGGAGCGGTGAGAGGAAGTTAAAGGAAGAAAGGTTTACAACAGTTTGTATGTACTGTTCATGGAGACTGATTTTTTGTTTTGTTTTGTTTTGTTTTGTTTTTATTGTCAGGAAGTATGTGCATGAACAAAGAATTTTGAGAATGAATTCTTCTGAAGAGAAGGATATAGGTCATTTCTGGACCTTTCAATGTTAAACGCTGTGTTTTCCTTGCCTCCAGGCCCTAACTGTGTCCCTGCCATGTTTCTGTCATGTTCTTAAGGCCACTGAGTTTAGGTAGTTAACACATCATGCCAGGTGATAAGAGCACAGGCTTTAGAAGCAGATAATTCAGTTCAACACACATGTATTGCCTGCAGCAGGTTCAGAATAAGACAGAGTCCCACCCCTCATGACCTCACAGTCTGGTGTGGATGACAGACACATAAACAGGCAATTTCAATATACTGGGTAAACAATGAAAAAAGTGTGCAGAATGCTACAGAGGCAACCACCACTTCCTAATTGTGTGTCCTTGGGCAAATAATTACCTTTCTCAGAGCCCCAGTTTCCTCAACTTTCAAATAGGGCCAAAAGTTCCTACAGCCAAAGGATTTTTTTTTGCGAACAGAATGAGATAACATTTGTAAAGCAAATAACACAGTGTTTTACACACAGGAGGCACGTGATAAATGGTATCCATTAGATTATCTAATAAGGTCAGAATCTGGAGTACTTATTCTATTTGTACTGACTAAATTTGTGTGATTCTCTCACCAAAAACTGAATTTTCACATAACCCTATGCACTGTAGTAATTGTAACAACAGTCCATATGATCCTTGCCCTTGTTCATAGGAGAGACTGGACAAGAAATGATGACTATGTTAGCAGAAATCCACGAGTACTACTCGTATAATGCTTCAGAGAACATTCTGTGCTGACAGCATGCCAGGGCCATTGTTTTAATATACAAAGAACAAAATGTCCACATTATCACTGTAACTTCTTCTATCATCTTCTTCTCACTTCTGTTCACTAGTCCATTTTTTATTCTATTGCTACCCTTATCTCTGGCTGGTTGTTCCAACAATATTAACCCCTCTATTCAGAAATCAAAGATTCCCTCTGAATCAAAATCAGACACCTAACTATGTTCTAGGCTTCAAGTACCAGGTCGTCTTTACCTTTGCCCCCGTGTCTGCCATAATTCATTAAAGATTTTCTCTCTCTCTCTCTTTTAATTGATATATAAATAGCTGTACAAAATTTGGGGGGTACATATGATATTTTGATATATCTATAAAATGTGTAATGATTAAATCAGGGTAATTGGGATATTCATCACCACAAACATTCATCATTTATTTGTATTGAGAATATTATAGTTCTTTTCTTCTAGCTATTTTGATAAATGCAATAAATTATTGTTAACTGTAGTCTTTTCTTTCTCTCTTTGGTCATGTCAGCCTTCTTATGACTTTGTCCAAGATAGCTTTACATAGAAGCGGTATCCAAGTGTGCATGATTTAAATGCCACTCCCAAAATTCCTCCAAAGAGTCTTCCATGTGCTGGACATTTTACCTAGATTAAGTCTTAGGGATCCCTTTCATATTAAGATCCATTTTATATTAAGAAATTGACTACCAAAGTGATATCTGGTTGGCTTTTTCTTATTGATGACACTTAACTATTCTTAGAGAAAACTTAGCTTGAAAAAAATGCCAATAGACTTTGTTTAAAAAAATTTATTGTGACCTTTTTTCTCAGTTCTTTGATTTCCTCATGCTTAATTATTGAGATCATCATCTATGAGATCACCATTACCAATGGAGGCCCCATAGTTTTAGAAGTCAACACTTATGAGATCACTGCTAGAGAATAACTAACAGACTTATTCATAATGTGGCATCTGGTGGTTGACACTGTCATTCTTAAAAATTGCAGTGTCATTTCATTAGCTTTATAAACATTTGAGTTATACCATACTTGTCACTATATCATGTGTTCCTATGTATCTGCCATAAATTCTTTAAGATATATGAAACATGGGCTACACAAAAAATAGAATCATTGCTATGGTAGGCAGAATTCTAAGAATGACCCCCAGTAACCCTCTCCAGAAGGCAAAACCAAGATCCTGGGTGGGGAAAGCCAAGAGCCTAGAGAATGAAGTAGAGAGTCAGGGATAATTATTCCCAAGCTTTGAAATCCAATGGAGTTGGTACAGCTACATGCCAAAACTTCTTTGGACTGATAAGTTATTTGTACCTTCTTTTTTGAATTGGAATGCCTGTAACTGTCATCTTATGCCTGTCCCACTATTGTACGTTGATAGTGTGGGACAGGTAACTTGTCTCTTTAGTTTCACAGTCCATGAATAATGAGGAATTGTGCCCAGAATTAATTATACACAGGAGCCACATCAACACCTGGTTTAGATGATGATATTTTGGACTTTTGAGCTGATCATGTTTAGATGAGATTTTTGGACTTTGAACTGATGATATAGAGAGAAAAGACCCATGGGAACCTTTGAGGGGCATGTGTTTTGCATGTGTCACAGGTGGATCATTGGGGGTAAGGGGGTGGAGAGTAGCAGTCAGAATTCTGCCCCAATGACTCTCAACCTTGTACAATTGTCTTGCTTTTGAGTGTGGCAGGAACCTGTAAATATGAAATATCAGCCCAATGAGTATGTTATGTTATATGTCAAAAGGGGAATAATCCAACTAGACTCACAAAATTTAATTGCATGAGCCTTTTAAAAACAAAGAGTTTTCCCTGGCCTGTGGCAGCAGAGGGATAAATAAAGTTAGAGGGATTCAAACTCAAGAGAGATTCTCTTACTGGACTCAAAGTCTTCTGTTACTGTCATGTTGCAAGAGGGCCTGTGAGAAGGAATGGCCTCCAGGCATAGAGAGTAATCCCCAGCTGAAGGCAAGGAAACAGGGACCTCAGTCCTACAATCACAAGAAACTGAATTATGCCAACAGCTTGAATGAGCTTTGAAGCTGATTGATTACTCCCTAGTTGAGCCGACAGTGGAGAATATAACCCACTAACACTTGATTTTAGCCTCTGAGACTCTGAGCAGGGAGCCCAGTTCTGCTATGCCAGATGTTGACAGAACTGTGAGCTAATAAATGGCTGTCATTTTAAGCCACTAAGTTTGTAATAATTTATTATAAAGCAAGAGAAAACTGATACAATTCCTAAATATTTATAGACTATTTCAATGTATGTCCCATGTAAGTGGAAGTCAATTACTATTCAAATCATCAGTTGCTCATTGTCTTATTAGTTATGATGAATCAACCACTAACAATTCACATATCTCAGCTTTAAAACGCAATCAAATCAAACACTTGTATTTTCCTTGAACCCCCAACAGAGATTCTACTTCATTATATTAATCACGGCAATGCAACGGAAACAAATTAGAGTTGTATAGGCAATAAATTTCCTGAGGAACTTAGATGATGACAGAACAAGACAGGACAAGAATGGTTGGTGCAGGTAGAAGAGGGGTTGGCAGGCACTGCAAGTCATGTGGGTAGGGCAGGCAGGCTGTAGGCAAGCCCAAGAGAAGATGCAGCCTAAGAAGACTAGCATCCAGGACTCAGGATCTAGATAAGAGGTCCAGGAATCAGACTTAGGGCACCAGCAACAGGAAGGGACTTGAAGCCAGGTGTATTAGTCTGTTTTCATGCTGCTGATAAAGATATAGCCGAGACTGGGTAATTTATAAAGAACGTAGTTTAATGGACTCACAGTTCCATGTGACTGGGGAGGTCTCACAGTGATGGCAGAAGACAAAAGTCACATCTTACATGGTGGCAGACAAGAGAGAAAGAGAACCAAGTGAAAGGTAGTTCCTGTTATAAAACCATCAGATCTCTTGAGATTTATTCACTACCATGAGAACAGTATGGGGGGAACCACCCCCATGATTCAATTATCTCCCACCGGGTCCCTCCCACAACACATGGGAGTTATGGGAGCTACAGTTCAAGATGAGATTTGGGTAGGGACACCACCAAACCCTATCATCAGGCCACCTCAAACTGATCTCAGTATGTTGAAAGATTAGTCCTGAAAGGAGGAACATATAACCCACCTTGCAGGGAGTTCAACAGGTAGTGCTTTAAATAATTCCTTTTCCAATAGAGTAATGTTTTCTAAAGTGTGGTTCCTGTATTAGCTGTATCAGCATCACCTAGGAAATAGGAAATTCTCTAGCCTAACTGAGACTTAAGGAATCAGAAACCCTTAGGGGTGGGGCTCAGCAAGCTGTATCTTAGTACATCCTCTGGGTCATTTTGATATGCAATAAAGTTTGAGAACCCAGCAAGCATTTTCACCTTTACCTTCTACTGATAAGCATCTTGAGATCCACAGAAACAAGTCATTAGCCTAGATAGAGCTCCCTCTGTTTTCACACTAGAGCCTGTCTATCAGGACACATGGAGGGGAGCAACAGCCTCCAAATGTTGCTCATCTTGCTTATCACCCTGGGTATATCATAAAGCACTGAGAGTTTTGTGCCTAGCTTGGGTCAGTGGTTCCATTTATCATCTAAGTATTACCTTAATTTTTTTTTTTCAGAAATGTCATTTACTAAAATACTTTTATTGTGTCTCCTTGACTTTTTCCTGTGTAGTTTTATTTTTCAGCTAGTAATCCAGAAACTTATTGCAGCTCTTTTTATCCCTACACTTGTGTCTACATGGTTTATTATCAGTTTTCAACTGGCCACGTGGCATTCAAATATTTCTAGAACTGAAACACAACTGAAGTTCATTTATGACTTATTATCTGTACATTAAGATGCTATTACCATGATCTTTTAAAATCTTTTTAAAAATATATAAATATGAATAGACACTAAGAGAAACCCAGGACAGTCAAAATATTTTTTTAATTTAATTTACATTTTTTTCCTTCATGAACAGTCATATTGCAAAAAAATGACATTTTAAAAAAGTAAATATAACTGGGATTTCATTGCCAAAAGTTAATTGTAGAATGACTAAAGTATAGGTAGAAATTATCTTTTATTTGTACCATGATGAAGAACGCAACCAGTCTAAGACTATACCTTTTAAGGAAACATGTTTCTGCTCTTTTGTGGTATTCTCAGTCTAACTTCCTTAAATCATCCAAGGAGAACTATAGAACTTCTCCAGTGAGGACCATTAATAGGAACAACAACATTTTATTTCCTTTATATTAAAGTGCCATCACCTTATTGACTTTAAATCTGAATTTTGAAATATGGCAATACATATAGAAAAGCAGATGTGCATTTTATATTGTTGTACTTTTCAATGAAAGGAAAACAAAAATTACAGTCCTTGACATTCAGAATCTCACCTTACACTAGGCCATATTATTCTCCTATTAGGCATAAACCATCATATAGAATACTGACTGCAGACAACATTACTCTAAGACCATGATAAAACGAGACAAAATAAGGACACTTCATAATTTTGTCTATGCACAGAAAAAAAAATACAAAGTCAGCATGCAACCCACAAAATATAAGATGTCTCCTCTCTTGGCCAGAATAATTGACTACTACTTATTAACCAATTGCAACTTTATGATCATTCTAACTTCCTCTCCCTATAAATAAGATTTATTGATATACCCAATATACAATTGCCCCTGCTTTCTTACAGTCTCTAATCTAGAACAATCCCTCACCACTTTAGACCATTCCCCAAATTACTCTACCAAAGTCCAACCCTATAATGGGTTCCTTCTCATACCCTTTGCCTGAGGTGCTCCATGGTCTCCTATGGTGTATGTTCTCCCTCTCTGCAACAGGTAATAAACCCACTTTGTTCAGTTACAGGTGTGCTTTCAGTGGTCAATTGTAAGCTATTTTAATTTTTTAAAATTAAAGTTTCTTTCATGTAGATGCCTACAATCCTTTAATATACATTATAAAACTTGAATAACTTGAGTGGATCTGCAAAGCTAATTAATGATTGATCCAGCAGCTCATCTAGTAGTTCAATGCTCTGTGCTAACTACCTAGCTATTACTTGGCATTATGTTTAATCTCTTGAGAAGTCAAACAGCATCAACTATTTGATTTATTTATTACTTATATGCTTAGATTTGGTAAATTTAGAAATGGTGATTGGTATAGTTTGAGTATTTGTCCCGGTGAAATCTCATGTTGAACTGTAATCCCCAACGTTGGAGGTGGGACCTAATGGGAGTTGTTTGAGTCATGGGGGCAAATCCCTCATGGCTTGGTGCTATCCTTGCAATAGTGAGTGAGTACTTCTAAGGTCTGTTTTTTTAAGTGTGTGGCACCTTCCCCCAGCCCCTAGCTACTGCTTTCATCATGTGACGTGTCTACTCCTGCTTCATCTTCTGCCATGAGTAAAAGCTCCCTGGCCAGGCGCAGTGGCTCACGCCTGTAATCACAGCACTTTGGGAGGTCGAGGTGGGCAGATCATGAGGTCAGGAGTTTGA